>NC_000001.11:43493228-43796259 GCF_000001405.40 Homo sapiens
GAGTTCAGTGGTGTAATTATAGCTCACTGCAGCCTCAACCCCCTGGGCTCAAGTGATCCTCTCACCTCAGTCTCTTGAGTAGCTGGAACTATAGGCATATGCCACCACACCTGGCTAATTTTTTAATTTTTTGTAGAAATGAGGTCTAACTATGTTTCCCAGGCTGGTCTCAAAATCTCAGGCTGGGATTACAGACATGAGCCACTGTACCAGGCCAGGCTTTTTTTTTTTTAATAAAATACCTTTATTCAAACATAATTTATATACTATACAGTTCACCAGTTAAAGTGTACAATTCAATTCACATTTAGAGTTGCGGTATAACACAGAGTTGTAGTTTTTTTTTAACCATTTTTATATCTCTATTGAAATTCTCCATCTCTTAACGCATTATTTTTAACTTTTCTTATGGGATCTTTAACATATTTATCACTTATCTTGCCTGCTAATTCCAACACTGGATTATCTGTTTCTATTATCTTATTTTTTTCTTAACTAAGAGTCATGTTTTCCTGTTTCTCCACATGTCTGATAATGTATTATTGCATACAGGACGTTGCAGGTAAAACATTGTAGAGATTCTGGATTCTATTACCCGCCTTCAGACAGAGTGGAGTTTTGTTCTAGCAGACAGTTAGATTACTAGCATATCACCCGGAACTAGTGGAGGCTTGGTTTTCACACTTTATTAGAATGCATTTATTTTAGTTTTGTCCTCATTCCTAGCGAGAATCTCTTGGATCTGGACATGGTCCCCCTGGGATGTCAACAGAAAGCCCGAGGTGTTTACCAAGCTTGCCTAACATAATGAGACTCAAACTCCAAACACTGTTTGCCCTGAAGTGCACAAGTACAGACATCTCTACTCAGCAATTTCAGGCTTCCAGCTGTTATTTTCCCCTAATCTCTTTGGAATCTTCACTCATGTAGGTTAGGGGTCAGCCGCAGATTTGAGAAAAATGTGCACATAGATTCGGTGCTCTGCTTAGCTCCCTCCTGTCTGGTTCTCCCTCCTCAATTTCCTGCTGCTCCAGCAGCCTCCGACTCTGTCTTCCGACTCCTCAGTCTCCTCAGGCCGCAGCTTCTATTTGTTCTGTGTCCCCACATTCCACAAGAACCGGGAGGTGCTCTCCAAAGAGAAGCCATAGAAATGTGGCTCTCACCCAGCATGGTTCCTTTCTTTTAAGAATTAAATCCCATCAAGTTTATGCCTGTTTTTTGGGGGGTTTGTTTGCTTGTTTGTTTGTTTGTTTGTTTTTGTCATTCTCCAGCAGCTTCAAACCATTTTTAAAAATATTTAGATCAGAGTTTATCATTGTTATCTTAAAGAGGACTAGTCTGATATAAGCCACTCTGCCAATACCAAAAGTTAAGACCTTGTTCCAGAACTGTTACCCTTGTAATATGTTATTAGGTATTCATTACCCATTTTATTGTACAAGTAATAAATACTTATATGTTTAAAAATTGCCAAATGATACAGAAATATACAAAAGAAAAGTTAATTTTTAAGTAATTAAAAAATTAATCACTTTAATTATTCCCATCCCACTCCCCTCTCCATGATAATTTGGCATGTATCTTTACAGACACACACAGACACATATATGGCTTTTACATGAATGGTATGATTTTATGTGTATTATTTAGTAATCTACTTTGTTTTCACTTAGTATGTTTTTTAGAGATTTTCTGTGAGTACACATTTATTCTTTCATTAGGTATTCATAGAGCACTTGCTATGTATCAGGCACTGTTCTAAGTCCTGGAGATAAATCAGTGAACCAAACTTACAAAAAAACTTGCCTTCATGGAGGTTATAGTCTAGCCAGGGTGGGAGGAGGTGAATCAGAAATAAACAATTAACAAAATAAATAAGGTGTTGTGTGCCGTGGAGAAAAATTAAGTGGGAAAGGCAATAGGATTGCTAACTATCTGGGAAGAGAAGGTGTTTGCAAATTATTTAAAGAGTGAACAAGGAAGTTGACGTTTGAGTGGCTCAGAAGAAGTGAGGTGGTATGAGAAAAGAACTCTCCAGGCACTGGGAACAGCAGGAGGGAGGACTTGGCGGCGTCTGCCAGTCTGTTTGGGGGAGCAGTCAAGAGGCCAGTGTGTGTGATGTGGAGTGAGCAGGTGCCGTAAGAGATAAGGTCAGATTGCTGTAGAGGCCCAAGTGGCGCCGCGCCTTGGAGGCCACTGTAGTTTCCTGTCTCTACATGTCATTCCATGGAAATGGGTTAGCTGGATCCCCTTTCACTTCAGCTGGCACCACAGGGTGTTCCTGTTGAGCCCTGGCCCCCACAGTTCCATGAATGTGTCTCTGCTCTGTGCTCCCTTGCTGGCCTGAGTCTTTCTTAGCTGTGCTGCAACTTAGCTATAGAGTCTCAAAACAGCTTTCCCTATGATCTCTTGGATACTTGCTTTGAGTCCAGATTCTACCTTCATGGTGATTTCCCCACTGGAAACCACGGTATGTTCTCCTGCCAGCAGACCTACTTCAGGATCACGCTCCCCCTGATCAGGTCTCTCCCCAATCCCAAATATCAGAGAAGAGGGGCCAAGATGACCATCCACTCCTTCCCGGGAGGCCTTGGCCTTCTTTGCAAATCCATTCACCTTCTCCTCAAAAACCAAGTCTACATATTGAAGACATATGTAAAAATCCTGCTTTTATGAAGCCATAAAAGGCTCCATTTCACCATTCTCTTAGGGCAAGGAGTCCCTATCTAATATACACTGCCATAAATAACGGATACCACTAAAGTTATCCTACCCTGAAAGGAAGAGATCTGTTTCAAGGTGAAACATTCAATCTATATAAGCAGAGAAGAGGGGCAGCCCCTTGGCACTCTCTTACATACGGATGTACTATAATTTAATTGGTCGTTCCTCTACTTTTGGATATTTCTTTTCCTCCTTTTTTATTATTATAAATAATTCTGCAATGAATATCTTGGCATGAGTGCAAAATATTTCTTTAGATTAGATTCTTGAAAGCAGAATATTGGGTCAAAAGACATAAGCATTTAAATTTAAAACATTCCCAAATTGCCCTACAAAAATGCTTTACCAATTTTTATTCCAATAGGAATGTCTGTTTCCCCCCTCCATCACCATCACTAAATATTAAGAATCATTTTTCACCTTTGATATTAGTATTGTTTCAATTTCCATATCTCTGGTTGCTAGTGAGGTGGAACTTTTTTTATGTTTATTGGCTGTTTTTCTTTTTCTGTAAACTGACTATTCATAACCTTTGCTTTCTATTGGATCATTTGTCATTTCCTTATCTTGCACATGTTGTTTTAAGTTTATTCCTAGGTATTTTGAAGTTGTTGTAAATGATTACTACAGATGAATAGAAAAGCTATTGAGTTTTAGTACATCAGTCTTATTTCTGGCATTCTTCCTGAACATTTTTCTTGATTTTAATAGTTTTACAATTGATTATCTTTTTTGCCTAGGGAGACTATTGTATCATTTGCAATAATGGTTTATTGTGATTACTGATGTATTTGGACTTATGCCTACTATTTTTATTCTATATATATATATATATTTTTTTTTTCGAGGCAGAGTTTCTTTCTTGTTGCCCAGGTTAGAGTGCAATGGTGCAATCTCGGCTCACTGCAACCTCTGCCACCTGGGTTCAAGCGATTCTCCTGCCTCAGCCTCCTGAGTAGCTGGGATCACAGGCACCTGCCACCACACCCGGCTAATTTTTTTTTTTTTTTTTTTTTTTTTTTTTCAGATGCAGTCTCACTCTGTCGCCCAGGCTGGAGTGCAGGGTGCATTCTTGGCTCACTGCAAGCTCCACCTTCAGGGTTCATGCCATTCTCCTGCCTCAGCCTCCCAAGTAGCTGGGACTACAGGCGCCCGCCACCACGCCCAGCTGATTTTTTATATTTTTAGTAGAGACGGGGTTTCACCATGTTAGCCAGGATGGTCTCGATCTCCTGACCTCGTGATCCGCCCACCTTGGCCTCCCAAAGTGCTGGGATTACAGGCGTGAGCCACCGTGCCAGGACACGCCCAGCTAATTTTTTGTATTTTTAGTAGAGATGGGGTTTTGCCATGTTGGCCAGGCTGGTCTCGAACTCCTGACTTCAAGTGATCCACCTGCCTCAGCCTCCCAAAGTGCTGGGATTACAGGCTTGAGCCACCGCGCCTGGCCTCTATTCTATATTTTCCATTGACCATGCTTTCTGGTTTCCTTTTTCATTGCCTGCCTGTTGAGGCTTGGTAGCATTTCTTTGTTCCTTTCGTGGTCTAGAAGTTCTGTGTTCTGTTGCTATGCTTCTTGTGGCTGCCCTTGCATATTTTGTTAAATACTGAAACAAATTTTTCTGTCAATATCAGGAATCCAATCAATTCATAACCTCCCCTAAACAAAATAAAAATCATTAATACACTTGAACCCAACTTCCCAGGCCTCATTTCCCTTGTTTTATTAAAATCATTTGAGATCTTAGTACCAGATTGGGTTTTTTAAAATCTTTTTTCACATTGTGTCTCTATTACTTAGGGATACTTTATTTTTTGCTCTTTGCTATATAGAAGTTCTATGATTTCTTTTGTCATCTCCCGTGATTTAAAAGATAGTAATCCTGTTTTTAATTTTACTACTGATCGACTTTTATATTCCTGAAATTTCTCTGATGATGAAAGGTAAAAACAATCTATATCTCCTAACTCCTTTACTTGACGTCAAATGAAGGTTTTAGTGTACCTTTACCTGCCTTGCCCACTTCTCACTCATTTCCCAGTCTTTTAAAATTTACTGTGGGCTTATAAATCCAACTAGCATTATAATTATGTGCATCTTTTTTAAGAATAGATTTTTTGTTCAATTCTTGATTTACTTCGTTGGTTTTAATGCTTGCAACCAGTCTTCTATATTACAACGTTCCTATTTCCAAGATTTAATTTTTATTTATCTCTCAGGTAGCTGAAGTTTGTCTTCAAGTTGTTTACTTAGGGAGAACACCTTTCTACATCATTCTTCATAAACCTGGATGATATTTCTGTTGTTTTCGCACAACAATGACAACTTGTTGGGTACAAAATTTTTGTGACCATCTTTTTTACTCAAAACTATAACCATTGCTGTCTATCTTCCGGTGTTTAGAAATGACAAGGCAAAACCTAAGGCCAGCCTAAATTTCCCGCTTTGTAACACAATTTCATGTATGGATTCATTTAAATTTTTTTTTTTTTTTGAGACTGAGTCTCGTTCTATTGCCCAGGCTGGAGTGCGGTGGCACAATCTCGGCTCACCACAGCCTCTGCCTCCCGGGTTCAAGTAATTCTCCTGCCTTAGCCTCCCATGTAGCTGGGACTACAGGCGCACGCCACCATACTTGGCTAATTTTTTTTTTTTTTTGTATTTTTAGTAGAGATGGGGTTTCACTATGTTGGCCAGGCTGGTCTTGAACTCCTGACCTCATGGTCTGCCTGCCTCAGCATCCCAAAGTCCTGGGATTGCAGGCGTGAGCCACTGCGCCCGGCCAGATTCATTTAATATTTTTCCTTAATCTTGGAAAATTTCTTTTTCTTTTTTGAGACAGGGTCTCGTTCTCTCACCCAGGCTGGAGTACAGTGGCATGATTATAGTTCACTTTAGACTTGAATTCCTGGGCTCAGGTGATCCTCCCACCGCAGTCACCCAAGTAGCTGGGACTACAGGCATGTGCCATCCCACCCCCAAAAAAATACAAAATTTTTGTATTTTTTTGTAGAGATGGGGTTTCACCATGTTGCCCAGGCTAGTCTCGAACTCCTGGGCTCAAGTGATCTGCTTGCCTCAGCCTCCCAAAGTGCTGGGATTATAGGCGTGAGCCACCGCGCCCCCAGCTGAAAAGATTCTTTTCAGTAAGGATAGGTCCTGGTATATAATTCTGTATACATTTTCTCTGGAACTTATTGATTGGCTTGCCCAATCATTTCCAGCTCTGGAAATCACTTCCTCTTGGGTATGTGACTATTACGTCCGTTTGCTTGGTTGTCATGATCACAAATATCTCTTGGCTGTGCCCTCCTCTCCATCAGCTCCCACCAGAGGAACGCAACAGCCTTCAGATGGATCTCTCTGCTTTCCTTCAGCCCACTTCCTTTTCTGTCAATGTCAGGAAACAAATCAATTCATAACCTCCCTTAAACAAGAAAAGATCATTAATACACTTGAACCCAATTTCCCATGCCTTATGTCCCTTGTTTTATTGAAATAATTTGAGATCTTAGTACCAGTTTTTTTTGTTGTTGTTTGTTTGTTTGTTTTGTTTTTCTTGGAGATGGAGTCTTGCTCTGTCACCCAGGCTGGAGTGCAGTGGCGTGATCTCGGCTCTCTGCAACCTCTGCCTCTCGGGTTCAAGAGATCTCCTGTCTCAGCCTCCTGAATAGCTGGATTACAGGGGTCCACCACCAAGCCCGGCTAATTTTTGTATTTTTAGTAGAGACGGGGTTTTGCCATGTTGGCCAGGCTGGTCTCGAACTCCTAACCTCAAGTGATCCATTCGCCTTGGCCTCCCAAAGTGCTGGGATTACAGGCATGAGCCACCGCACCCGGCCAGTACCAGGTTTTTTTTTTAATCTTTTTTCCCTTTGCATCTCTATTACTTAGGAACACTTTATTTTTTGCTTTTTCCTATATAGAATGTTCTATTTCTTTTGTCATCTCCCGTGATTGAAAAGACACTAATTTTCTCCACTTCCATTCATGACTTTTGAGGGCAAAGCCCCTGAAGGCTTCACTCACTGCTGCGAATGTTGGCTGTCTACAGCTCTCAGAATATGACCCAAACTCCTTAGCGTGGCCATGGCAGCCTCTGGCGAGTGTCCCCAGTGGCCTCACCGGCCATGACACTCCTCCCTGCTGCCTGTGATGCAGCTGCACTGGCCTCCGCTTGCTCCTTCACAGATGTCTGTTCCCTCCTGCCTTCTCTTCACTTTCTATTCCTTCTGCCTTCATGGTCTGGCCAACCCCTCAGGGTTGTTTAGATGTCAGCTGAAACATTGCTTCCTCAGGAAAACTCTCCCTAACTCCTCCACTTTGTGTTCTGTTACAGCTCCCTAAACTTTGTCTGTCATTCATTTTTCCCCATAAGTATTTACTGAGTGCCTACTATGTGCCAGGCACCATTCTAGACATCAGGGATACTGCCAGGAACAAAAGAGACGAAGGTTTCTGCCCTCATGGAGCTTAATTTCACAGATGCTCCTTCATAGCATTTCTCAGACTTATTATTTAAACTACTTGATTGTGGAATTGTTTTTGTTCTGTCTCCCCTACAAAACAGTAAGCTCTATGAGGGCAGGGATCAAATCCACTTGTTGACTCCTGAAGCTCTAGGATATAATATCATGCCTGGTATATAATAGACGTTTGAGGGGTGAATTCATGCTATTTGTGGAAGTCAGGACTCTTTCATGTTGCAATCCATCTCAAACTAGCTACAGCAAAGGAAAAAAAAAGAACAAGGGGAAGATTTATCAGCTCACTAGCTGGGAAGGCTGTGGGCAGTTCTAGCATCCTGCACAGCTGGGCCCAGAGACTTGTTCAGTGCCAACAGGGCTCCCTCTGCTCCCCTGCGTGTGCTGATCTTATTTTCTCCAGCTCTAGATGGATTTCCTCCATGTTGCCAGGGGAGATGGGTACTGACAGTTCCAAATTCACATATTCTCAGCTTAGCAACACCAGGAAAAGAAAAGAAAAGCAAAGCACTTGTTTCTCTAGGCATCTGTATATACGCAGGGCCCAGACACCTGGGGACTGGTCCGGCTTACATCCCCTACCCCTTTTGCTCTGTCCAAAAGAAAAAAGCATTCTGATTGGCCAGGTCCGGGTGGTCCACCTCTCTCTGAGGGTCTGGGGAAGTCAGGTAGACAGGGCACCACAGTTGACCTTTGCCCCAGGATGTCTCAGAGTTCAGGAGGTATTCCCCAAAGGAATAACAGGTATTACCAACAAGAAGAAAGAAGTGTGCTCTCCCTCTCCCTCTCCCTCCCCGTCTCCCTCTCCCTCCCCCCTCCCCTCTCCCTTCTCCCCTCTCCCCTCTCCCTCTCGGTCTCCCTCTCCCTCTCTTTCCACGGTCTCCCTCTGATGCCGAGCCGAAGCTGGACTGCACTGCTGCCATCTCGGCTCACTGCAACCTCCCTGCCTGATTCTCCTGCCTCAGCCTGCCGAGTGCCTGCGATTGCAGGCGCGCACCACCACGCCTGACTGGTTTTCGTACTTTTTTGGTGGAGACGGGGTTTCGCTGTGTTGGCCAGGCTGGTCTCCAGCTCCTAACCGCGAGTGATCCGCCAGCCTTGGCCTCCCGAGGTGCCGGGATTGCAGACGGAGTCTGGTTCACTCAGTGCTCAATGGTGCCCAGGCTGGAGTGCAGTGGCGTGATCTCAGCTCGCTACAACCTCCATCTCCCAGCCGCCTGCCTTGGCCTCCCAAAGTGCCGAGATTGCAGCCTCTGCCCGACCGCCACCCCGTCTGGGACGTGAGGAGCCCCTCTGCCTGGCTGCCCAGTCTGGAAAGTAAGGAGCGTCTCTGCCCGGCCGCCATCCCATCTAGGAAGTGAGGAGCGCCTCTTCCCGGCAGCCATCCCATCTGGGAAGTGAGGAGCGTCTCTGCCCGGCCGCCCATCGTCTGAGATGTGGGGAGCGCCTCTGCCCCGCCGCCCCGTCTGGGATGTGAGGAGCGCCTCTGGCCGGCCGCGACCCCGTCTGGGAGGTGAGGAGCGTCTCTGCCCAGCCGCCCCGTCTGAGAAGTGAGGAGACCCTCCTCCCAGCATCCGCCCCGTCTGAGAAGTGAGGAGCCCCTTCGCCCGGCAGCCGCCCCGTCTGAGAAGTGAGGAGCCCCTCTGCCCGGCAGCCACCCCGTCTGGGAGGGAGGTGGGGGGGTCAGCCCCCCGCCCGGCCAGCCGCCCCGTCCGGGAGGTGAGGGGCGCCTCTGCCCGGCCGCCCCTACTGGGAAGTGAGGAGCCCCTCTGCCCGGCCAGCCGCCCCGTCCGGGAGGGAGGTGGGGGGTCAGCCCCCCGCCCGGCCAGACGCCCCGTCCGGGAGGGAGGTGGGGGGTCAGCCCCCCGCCCGGCCAGCCGCCCTGTCCGGGAGGGAGGTGGGGGGGTCAGCCCCCCGCCCGGCCAGCTGCCCCGTCCGGGAGGTGAGGGGCGCCTCTGCCCGGCCACCCCTACTAGGAAGTGAGGAGCCCCTCTGCCCGGCCACCACCCCGTCTGGGAGGTGTACCCAACAGCTCATTGAGAACGGGCCGGGATGACAATGGCGGTTTTGTGGAATGGAAAGGGGGGAAAGGTGGGGAAAAGATTGAGAAATCGGATGGTTGTGTCTGTGTAGAAAGAAGTAGACATGGGAGACTTTTCATTTTGTTCTGTACTAAGATAAATTCTTCTGCCTTGGGATCCTGTTGATCGGTGACCTTACCCCCAACCCTGTGCTCTCTGAAACATGTGCTGTGTCCACTCAGGGTTAAATGGATTAAGGGCGGTGCAAGATGTGCTTTGTTAAACAGATGCTTGAAGGCAGCATGCTCGTTAAGAATCATCACCACTCCCTAATCTCAAGTACCCAGGGACACAAACACTGCGGAAGGCCGCAGGGTCCTCTGCCTAGGAAAACCAGAGACCTTTGTTCACTTGTTTATCTGCCGACCTTCCCTCCACTATTGTCCTATGACCCTGCCAAATCCCCCTCTGCGAGAAACACCCAAGAATGATCAATAAAAAAAATAAAAATTAAAAAAAAAAAAAAAAAGAAGAAGAAAGAAGTGTGCCACCTGGACAAATGCAGTAGCTACCCTGTTTTTTGGCATAATGAGCTTCTTGCCTTCCTTACATTTTGCAGCCAGTGCTTTTCACATCTCCCTCCCTCTCAGCCTGCCCCTTCTGTCTTTTCGTTAGTAACAGTTTCCTGAAGGTGCTGGCTTCGTGCTGAGGGTGAGCAATGGAGGAGTCCAAGGCACCCTGTGCCTGCTCTACACAAAGCTACATTTTGAGGACAGGGGCCTCAGGTGGCTTCTTCATACTTTGGGAAGCTCTGCACTATGGGCACCATGGTAATGATCCACCGGAGAAGAGCTACACAGACTCAATCAAGTCATTTTGCCCCTCTAAGCCTGAAAAGCAGGTGAGTAGAACCGCCCCGCCCCCCACGACCCTCTGATTTCAGGTGTTGAGGAGCTAGTGTTTCATGTAGCGGGGGGCTGCCCAGATGCTCACTTCCCTGGCTGTGTTCAAGGGCCAGGCCACAGACTAGAGCTCCCCTTCATGCATGTGCAGTGCCCTCGGCATTTGCCTCATCAGTTTAGAGGCTCCAAGTCCCAGGGCCACACGGTTTTGAGGACACCACACACTGTTTTTGTATAACACAGTTAGGGTCTAGATTCAGATCATTATAAGCCCGTTCATGCGCTTGCATGAAAGTCCAGCACGATATTCCTGAGTCAGGCAGGGTATGGAGTCATTCTCCACTGTGCAGGATCGTCCCGGACTCCCAAAGCATCCAGTGTCCCTGGCCCCTGACCACTAAATGCCAATGGCACACACCCCTTTAATCATTGTGACCACCAAAAAGTGTCCCCCACAATTTTCTAAGTGCGTGCTGGGGGACTGTCTACACATGGCTTCTCATCTTTTGAAGGTTTTGAACCTGGGTTTACTGCTCCCCATACCCCCAAGTCCTGCCGGTACCCCAAGCCACTTCACTCCGTCACAGATCCCCTCTCCAGGAACGCGGCAACTACAATGTAGATCAAGGGAAGAGTGACCTTTGTTTTGCTTAGAACTTTTCCAATAGTTGCTGAGCATTTAGGAAAACCACCAGGAACAAAGCCCCTTGAGGTATTTTCGTGTCAACACATCACAGTGTCTCAGGCTGCGTTTATGCCTGTGATGTTCAGTGACTGTACATCCACATATAAGCCTGCGGCCCCTTCATGATGTCTGCAGTGCTGTCGTGATTGAGATCTCATCCTATATCATGTTCCCTTTATTTCTCCTTTATGTTACTGTCGGGCCCTTATTTGGATATTTTGACATTTGAACATGTTGGATGTTTGAAACTATATACATAGTAGGTAATATTATTTATGCATTTCTTTCTTTCTTTTTTTTTTTTCTTTTGAGAAGGAGTCTTGCTCTGTTGCCCAGGCTAGAGTGCAGGGACGTGATCTCAGCTCACTGCAACCTCCACCTCCTGGGTTCAAGCAATTCTTCTGTCTCAGCCTTCTGAGTAGCTGGTACTATAGGTGCCCGCCACCACGCCCGGCTAATTTTTGTATTTTAATAGAGATGGAGTTTCATCAAGTTGGTCAGGCTGGTCTCGAACTCCTGACCTCAAATGATCCGCCTGCCTCGGTCTCCCAAAGTGCTGGGATTACAGGCGTGAGCCACCGCGCCCGGCCTATTAATGTATTTGTTTCAAGATGGTAAAGAGAATGTTATTTGGTTGGTGCAAAACATTTGTTATAAATATGAATTGGGTATGATAGACTTGAGAGCAATAAGCCTAGAAGTTAGGCAGATATCAGCAACAAGAAGGAATATTTTTTGTTGTTGTTCAGAACCATCTTACTTTTTTTTGAAACGGAGTCTTCCTCTGTCACCCAGGCTGAAGTGCAGTGGTGCAATCTCAGCTCATTGCAACCTCTGCCTCCTGGGTTCAAGCAATTCTCCTGCCTCAGCCTCCCTAATAGCTTGCCACAATGCGAAGCTAATTAATTTTTTTTTTGTATTGTAATTTTTTTTGTATTTTTTAGTAGAGACAGGGTTTCTCCATGTTGGCCAGGCTGGTCTCAAACTCTTGAGTTCAAGTGATCCACCCGCCTCAGCCTAGTGCTGAGATTACAGGCATGAGCCACCATGCCCGGCCCAGTCTTAACTTTTCTTAATAACAGACCCATAGCAAAGACATAGGAACTGCCTTTCACCAGGAGTGTCAGCCTTTGATACTGCTGGGGTGCCAAGAGCACCATGCTTCCAATTCCTCCACCTGTTACTCTCACAAGCATCACACCGAGACATTTCTGCTCCCCTGCCGGCCAGCCCTGGAGACGGAGAGTCCTGGCAGTGACAGACTGGCCAGGCTTGGAAAGGGCCCCTCCTCCACTCAGCAGTGGCTTTATTGCTTGCTCAAGGCCACTGCTTTTCCCAGGATCTCCTGGAGTCCCTCCATTTTTTCCTGAATCCTTTATAGCTGTGAAGGACTCACACTTCATGGGCCTAGGACCAAATTCAAGACAGGCACTGGGGGCTTCCCAATCCCCTTTTCCCCAGACACAGGTCCCCTGAAATATTCTCCAGGCCAGGGCAGGCAGTCCGGCTGGAGGTGGTCTCCAAATCAACACAGCCCGCACTCCCCATCCATGCTAGAGAAGAGCTGGGCGCCTTCTCTGAATCCCGTAGCCATTCTTCTGTCCTAACCGCCCTCTTTCGGACTGCATGGAATCATGTTTGTTCTGGAAAACAGAGGAGCAGAAACAGGAGGTCTTCATTTGGATTATTTGGATTCCAAGCACAAGGTCTTCTCTCATGTCCCCACTTGAACCTTCTCTGGGTCTCGCCGGCTTATCATGTCGCCTGGTGAGTGGACTGCGCCGGGCTGGGCCTGCTCCTCCTGACAGCCTTGAGGACTGTCCCGGCATGTTGCTGCATCCCAAATAAACAAAATTCCAACTCCAAAGGCAGTGACGCATAATGTGGACTTTTTACTGAAGGTTTTGTGAGATGACACAGGAGTCATCATGCTCCCCACAAGTTTGTTCCCCCAAGTTCCCCATCCACAGCGGCTGCACACTCCTCTCCTTGCTCTCCGACCTTTTTTCCTTGCCTTCTCTTTCTGTGTGCTCCAGCTCCTCCCTGACACCCTCTCAGAGTCAGCGTGTAAAACCTGGGCATCCTTAGCCAGAGGTCCCCTAGGAGGCCTTGGTTCATCTCCCCACCCTCTCCTGATGGAAATACTTGTGGTCTTCAGCAAAGAGAAGTGAGTATGCTATTTCCAGCTCCAGCCCAGCCCCACAGCACCCTCGTCCCCTCCCCGCCTCCCCTCATCCATTGCCTTCAACTCTGAAACTTTCCTTAGGGATGTTCTTGCCAGCCCCAGCCTGGCCCGCAGGGGACCCCTGTGATTACCACCAGCACCCTGGACAGGCTCCAGGTGATGTCCTGGAGCCTGTCTGACTCTGTGGAAGGATGTCCGCAAGTCCTGGGATTCACCTGGAACAAAGCCAGCCTGCCCAACCTTCTGCCTGGGGCGGCTGCTCTATCCACCCACTATGGCACTCCCACCCATCCCTCCCAGGGGAAAGGTAGTCTTTGCCAAGCTCCTTCTCCACATCACTGTCTGCCACAGATGGCTTTCACTGCCGTAAGCCATTCATGTTTCCAGGGCATGAGAGGGTGGAGGGTGCCACAAAGCCCTGGGCCGTTCTGGGCTGTCCCTGAGGCTGTATGACTCTGGCCCTGCAATTCCAATGGACCAAACTTGCCCCCTCAGAGACATACCAGGAGCGGTGTCCTGCCAGGGCCAGGGGCTGACAGACAACCTTCAGAGCAGGGCCTTGTCTATTGAGATTGGGACCTGCTCACCTCCAGCTCCCCACATACATCTCCCCTCTGTTCCCAACTCTGATTTGAGTTGCCTCCCTCTCTGCCCGCTCACTAAGGGCTGGAATGCAGGTGACCCTCCGGATTCCGGAGGGTCTAACATTGTTAGGAAACCCTGGCTAAACTGTTCCCACTCCAGCTGGCTTCAGACATTCCAGATTCTCAAAGCTGTGCAATGCCCCTTGTCAAATGATTCACTCCAAACGCCTCTGGAACTCATGCACATGTGTGGAGCGCCTTCCCACACCTGGTAACCTGGGGTTACTAACTCAAGACCTGGCCTCCTAGCTCTCCACCATCAGGGGTCAGATCCCTCAGCTCACAGAGCCACAGGGACAATGGCTTTAGCAGCTGGGAGTTCAACGTGGGTTCCCTCTTCAGAAGCAAACCCTGGAAGGAAGATTCGCATGCAGGTGATTTAAGAAGAGTTCCCAGGAAGAGCCAGTAGGAGAGTGAGGCGTGGGGACCAAGAAAGGAAGGGGGTTAAGTAAGGGTGGGCTATTGATCAGTGTCCCACAGAAGGTGACTTTGGCCCAATCCCTTCACAGGTCTTTGAGGCTGGTGCAGGTCACATGTCAGATGACCCTGTCCAGGGAGCAGTGGAGCTGCAAGGTTTATAGCCCGAGCCCCTTAGTCACTGGTAAAGGTTGCCCTTGCCCCACATGCATTCCTAGGCACTTGCACCCTCCTTGCATTTACTTAAAATGGGCTCCAGGAGCCTGAGCTCAGCCTCTGGCAAAGATGGAGTGCAGGCTGTTGGAGGTGAAAGCACTCAGGTGGCTGGTGTGCAAAAGTGACCCAGGGGTATAGGGGCAGAATGCAGACAGCATTGGCTACAGAGTCTCTCTGTAATCATTTCTCAGTGCAAACTCTTCCTATCCCAGACCTGCAAACCTCTCACGCTCCCCTGGCATGTTCCAGCCTCCACTCTCAGCCTCTTCCCGTCCTGGGAGCAGAGCCCCTTGCTTGCTGCAGGGTCTGTCGCCTGGCATCTGCTCACCAGCTGGTGAGGCAGGCCTGGAACCCGATCCAGTCCAAGGGCATCTGCTCCCAGCTCCTCTCCCCTCCAGAAAAGGATTCAACCCCTTAAGAAATGGGAAGTCTGTTGAGGTTGGAGTTTCCTATAACCTCATAAAGGGGGATGGAAATCCCTTCCACATGAAGGGCAGCAAGGGCCTTGGGCATACCACCTGCCCCACAGAGCAGACAACCTCTAGACAAGTGGGAGTGTTTGTCCTGGGCAAAACCATCCTCTAAACCCTCACCTGTATGACCAGTGGATTTCTCTGAGCCCCCAGGGGAGCTCATGCCCTTCTGCTTCACCACCAAGCTCTCCACCCACCACTCAGGCTAGGAGGGAATCACTGGTCCTTTGATGCTCCTCTTCTCCTCTTCATTATATTTTGCTGTCTCCAGATTCAGTGTGGTGGAGAGACTTTGGGAGGCCAAAGCAGAGGATCACTTGAGGTCAGGAGTTCGAGACCAGGCTGGATAACATGGCAGAAACTCTGTCTGTACTAAAAACACAAAAATTAGCCAGGCATGGTGGCACACGCCTGTGGTCCCAGCTACTCAGGACGCTGAGGCACAAGAATCGCAACTCTGATTTGGGTTGTAAAACCTGGGCATCCTTAGCCAGAGGCCCCCTAGGAGGCCTTGGTTCATCTCCCCACCTGGGCAGTAGAAGTTATAGTGAACTGAGATCACCCCACTGCACTCCAGCCTGGGTGATGGAGCAAGACTCCAGCTCAAAAAAAGAAAGTGTGGTGGAGAGGGCTTCCCACATCCCCACAGATGTATGGGTGTCTCGCCCCAACTTGGGGTCAAGGTGTCACTGGGTTTTCATTTCAAAGGGTCACCGGTCAACTTTGTCTCTCCATCCGCCTCCTCACCATCCATCTCCTCCTACTCACGCCTCATCAAAAAAGAAGGCTGGCTTCTCTTTGGCCTCTCTGGGGCATTTCCTGTTCAGCTTGTCATGGGAGGTATAGTCAGTGTCCTCAGACAGGTGGATTCCCACTCTTCCAGGTCTCTCTTGGGTGGCTTGCTGTTTGGACATACCACCTTAACAGCCCTGGCCTCTGGCTGCATGTTAGAAACTGTCAGGAGTCCTGCCCCATCCCCTCTCAGATATGGAATTTTCTCAATTGCTAAGCTATTTTCTGCCTATCTGGGGCCACCAAACGCATTTTGAAACTCAACCTCCAGTCTGCAAACCTGGCTCTACACCTGGATAAATTGCAAGAAATCTTTCAGTGGCAATAACAGAACACCAGCTCAAATTACTACAGGGAAAAAGGGGGATTTGCTGGTTCATTCACTGAAAAATCACAGAGGCAGTTAGCTTCAGGCTCAGCTGGATCCAGGTGCTTAAACAAAGAGTTGGTAAATGACAGCCTGTGAGCCAAATCTAGCCTGCCACCTGTTTTGTAAATAACTTTCTATTGGAATGCAGCCGTGCTTATTTGTTTACATATTGTCTATGGCTGCTTGTACCCTACAACCACAGAGCTGAGTAGTTGCAACAGAGACCACATGGCCCACAAAGCTGAACATATTTACTATTGGCTCTTTATAGAAAAAGTTTGCCAACCCCTGGCTTGAACAATATCATCAGGAATGTGCCTTTATCTCTCATTGCCTAAAGGCTGTTGTTAGTGCCCTTGCCCTTCCCCCTAAACTGCAAAGACTGAGAGTGGCTGAGATGTGACTCCCCAAGTAAAGACCGGGGGGAAGGATAAATGGCTTTGGAGCAGGCCAAAACAACAGATGTCTGCTCTACAGGCTCTGAACTTGTTTTCTGTGCAGTGACAAGCCGTAAACCACTTGGAGTTTATCCTTCAGCTTGGTGGCATCCTGAATGAGACTGTCCCTGTCTCCTTGTTGCCAAGCCCAAAACAAGATCAACAAGTGATCATGGCTACAGCCCGACTATCACCATAGAGAGTGCTCAGTCAGCAGCACCGTTCCGGGGGCAGCGTGTGGATGAGAACATCTTCACACCAGCCCCAAGGCCCTATCCGATCTGCATAGAGCATGCCAAACACATTTAATTATGTTCTGTTCAGTCCCTTGGGCTGGGGAGTCCCCTTGGGGAGCAATTCTAGTCTTGCCAATTGAAGTTCTGCGGGTAAAATAATTCTTAGAATCTCACCATTTTTTGATGAGATGATCTCAAAACAGAAAATCCAAAAACTGATAAGAACTTTTCCCAACACCCTCCTGCCACCGAGTATGCTTCTTGATCTTTGCTGGGGTAGCTGGGCATGGGAGGAAGTACGCCTTCCAGACTTGACTGTCCAGTTTCAGAAGACAGCAATCAAGGTGTGCCAGTTTCAAAAAGCATCCCATGCTGAGTCATCTCCAGAAGGGCGGGTTGGTGGGCAGTGTTTTCTATGAACTGCACTGGGGCGCAGGTGTCACATTTTATTTGGACATCCTCTGCCATCTTGGGCCAGAGGAATCATGCCCTAATTAGCCCCAGCATCTGTTCCCTCCCCAAGGCCTAAAATCATCATGCGTGGACTCAGTGCCGCAGGGTAGCCTTTTTGAAACAGTACCAACTGCTTCCACAGACCATGTATGAGGCACAAGGAATCCTGTACAATACCTAATAATTAGGGCAATTTCTGTCATTCCTAGAGAATGGCGTTCGGGCCATAAGAGAAGCTTTGTACCCTTCCTGCCAAGAGACCTACTTCTTCCCTTTCACTGTCAACCACAGCTAGACATCTTCCTAGCAAAGCTCTTTGCCAGTCAACCACATTCATCTGGGGCAGAGAGGTAGATTTGGGTTATATAATTCAAGGCTATAAGTACAGCTTCTGAGCATTGCCCTAGGCTGTCAGCCAAGCCTCTTTTCCAGACCCTTTTGCCATTCCAAATGGTCTACGCTCCCTCATTAAAGATGGTCTCGGTGATACGAGGACATGACCTTTGTAACATAGCAGCTGCACCTTCACAGCACATGAAAACAACATTGGAATTACAGGCCACTGGAGCATCCCCTGAGCATGCCTCCCAATACCCAATCCAGTGCTGGTAAGTGAAGGGTGCAACAGCCCACACCTGAATGGTGCTCCAAATTCACATTCCTTAGATGTATTCTGATAACGCATATCAGCATTAAAAATGCTGGTCTGGGCCTGCTGCGGTGGCTAACACTTATGATCCCAGCACTTTGGGAGGCCGAGGCAGGAGGATAACTTGAGCCCAGGAGTTTAAGACCAGCCTGGGCAACATACTGAGAACTCATCTCTACAAAAAAAATTTTTTTAAATTAACTGGGCATGGTGGCATGCACCTGTAGTCTCAGCTACTCAGGAGGCTAAGGCGGAAGGATCACTTGAGGCTGGGAGGTCGAGGCTACAGTGAGCCATGACCAAGCCACTGTATTTCAGTATTTCAGCCTGAGTATTTCAGTCTCAAAAAAAAAAAAAAAAAAAAAAAAAAAAAAAAAAAAAAAAAGCTGGTCTGTTCATAGAGTATTGGGCCTTACTGCCAAATGGCCATTGATGAGCAACATCACAATTTTATTATCCCCATCGACCTGATATAACACCACCTTCCATCTGTTTGTCCTAGATCAAGATTGTCTGCTGGCATTCTTTCCTTTAGGGAACCACCTCTCCCTCATTCCATGTGGCTTAGGGGGCACTGATCCCCACTCAGTCCTCATCCTCAAGACCCAAAGGTGGGTGTGTGACATGAGCCTGCAAATCAGACTACTCCATTTCCAATCTCTAGCCGTAGTGATTAGTTCACAGATGGGCACATGACCAAGCTGAGCCAATCAGAATCTTCCCTGGGAGTTTTCTGCCAGAACTATCAAGAAAATGCTCCTGTATTCTCTGAGAGTGGAAGATGGAGCTGCCTTAGCCATTTTCACTGTCCATGTGAAGGAATAATTCTGCAATAGAAGAGAATGAGGCCAACAAGCAATGTGAACCAGAGAATAAACCAAGATGAGAGATGGAGGGGGATGGAGACAGGCACAGAAACAGAGAGAAACGTGATGACAGTTATATGAGTCCTTGAACCCAGCCATTTCTGAGTATCTAGTCTAGGCTTTGAGAAAATAAAATATTATAAGCACCAGTCTATTATTTCATCTTTGTTTAACATTGTAATTGAAACCAGAGGTTTCAATCCCAATAAATAAGGAATCTTCAGAGAATGAATAGTTATTGACACAGTGCTTTTGAGAATGCAAAGCACTGGACTGGACATAATTTTTTGTGTGGCAAAAATTAGGAGTAAGGTGAAAGGTAGAAAGTACAGAGAAAGAGAGACACATATACACACACACGCAGAAAGAGAGAGAAAGAGAGAGACTATTAACCATATGGAGTTAAGATCTTACTTCAAATTACATTTATTCTTATTTTATACCTTGTCATCATGATATTGAGCAGTTTGTATGCATGAAGCTCTCCTCTGACATTCTACTCTAACTGCAATGGTTTATTGTTTTACAACCCTTAACCCTGAGACTATGATGCTTGTTTATTGTAGAAAATTGTATTTACTCCTTGTAAGTTCGTTATAAGGAATTGAACTTTCCAGCAACCCTGTAATATTTCACCTGAACTGAGTATGACTTCAGTGCTCTTGTTTTATTTAAACCAAACAGCAGTACAAGGCTGGTATAGTTTCTTGGTGTTGGGAAAAAAAGTATTTGTAAAGTGTTTTTTTTTCCCCCTTGCATAAGTTATACAAGAAAAACAAATACTGGTTATAACGGACTCACATTAAAAGCACAATGCACAATTTAAACTTTCTTCCACACCCTGGGCTTTTGAGTTATGTCAACCAATATATTGTCCTTTCTTGTTCAGGTGCAACAGAAAGAATCTTGAGTAATGCACCTTCTGAGGGGGAGTGGTGAGGGAGGCAAGGGCTAGGTGGGTCAGCAGGGTGAGCTGATCCCTACTGTTCCTAACACTCTATCCTTTTTCAGGGCCTGAGGCTGCCCCTGACATTTTCAAGATACCTGGATACCATCTCTGAGCTAACACCGATTTCTAGAACTCCAGAATGCTACCGTGATGCCGTGGTCAGAGTGGGAATATATGGGGTCAGGGTAAATGGAGCTGTTGACCTGAGTCCACCCCATGGAAGGCCCAGCAAGGCCCCAACCCTATCTTGCAGTCATTCTCCTTGCTTCCGAAGGTGTCGTTGAAATCCATAGCACCAGCAGCCTGCATTCCCACACCAGATCCTTGATCTACGTGGATTAAGAGCTTTCTTTTTTTTTCCAGAGGAAGGACCTAGTATGATCTCCTGCCTTCTCCTTCCCTAGCCAAACAAAGTAAAGCTAGACTACATCCCTGGGATAATTAAAGATGTTAGTGAAACCACAAACAGCTTGAAATATACAGAATTGGTGATTCCTATCACATACCAGCTAATTCTCCAATTTGGCTGTAGCCAAAGAAAGACAGGCCTTGGAAAGTGGCAGTGGATCACCATATGGTTCGTTAGTGACAACAATTTGCGTCTGCTGCCCCAGACCTGGTCAGATCACATGTGTCCCCCTAGCTGTCTTCCTGGCTGCCTGTCCTAAAGGTTGTCTGTGGCTGTCTGGCTGAACCGTGGGTTCTTAACAACCACACCCCCTGGAAGCGCCAGTGCCAGGAGAGACTGCAGCCTCCCCCATGGGTGCCTTCTTGTTCCCTCTCATGCCAGGTATCCTTTGTTCCTAGGTGTGTAGTTCACCATGCCTTAGATGCCACCATGTTTGCTCACTTCACAGATGTGATGGAATCTGGTCACAGCTGACACTGGCCTTGCTCCACACTTCTGGATGATTTCACTCCAAGATACAATCTAAGCATGCAAGGAAGGAAAAAATCTGTCATAAACAACCATATCAGTCAACAAATGCACACCTGAGGCATCGAAAAACGTACAAAATCCCAAAATCCTGGATGCAGTAGTAATCCCAACACTTTGGAAGGTCAAGGCAGGAAGATCACTTGAGCTCGGGAGTTTGAGACCAGCCTGGGCAACATAGTGAGACTGCTTCTCTACAAAACAAAACAAAACAAAACAAACAAAAATTAGCCAAGTGTGGTGGCACATGCCTGTATTCCCAGCTACTCAGGAGGCTGAGGTGGGAGGATCAACTGAGCCTGGGAGGTAGAGGCTGCAGTAAGCTGTGTTTGCACCACTACATTCCAGCCTGGGCAATAGAGCAAGACCCTGTCTCAAACAAAAAAATCAAAGAAAAATGTACGAAATCATTGTTGACATCTGACTTGAGTGTTTCTTTCAGCACATGAGGAGAGTAGCCAGAGAAACGTTTTCAGAAATGGCTGAACCCAAACAGCACCTTAGTAAGCAAGGGCCTTTTCATGCGGGCATTCACTGCACCCCAAATGGCCACCTGCTCAAGGCCAGAAGGAGGAAAACCTCTTCCAACCACCTAGCACTTTCTCTGGCCTAGTAGTCTCCTCTAATCTCTTGCAGTAGTCTGCCTCTACCTCCCTGGACTCTGGTACACGCTATCAGCTGTTCAATCCCTCAGTTTCTTTCCAGATGAGGAAGGCTGGGGTGGAGATGGGTACCACTTGTTGGTGGAATATCGACAAGAAAGACAGACTTTTCATACTGCCAAGATCCATCCCCTCTTGGCATATGGCCTGTGTCATGATGCGGAAAGAGCTGTTGTCTGGTGACAAGTCAGGTGACCACATGTCCCTTTGGTTACCCTGGTCATCGTACATCTCGTGCTTCAGGAAGGCAGATATGGGCACAGAGAAGAACTTGCACCACCATAGTTGTCATTTCTATCTCAAGGTGGTTGCCACGGTTTCCCCCTGATTTGGAGCTGGTATTCCAAATTCCATCCCCTCTCAGGCTGATCAATCTTCATTTCTTTGTGCCGTAAATCTGCAAGCCTGGCAGTCCTAGTGAAGTTATACTCTGAAGTTTGAAAGGAACAATTTAACCAAGATGCAGCTGGGTATCACTCGATGGGGAGAAAATCCCAGAAAAGGCCCAGCCTTTAACCCACACATGATTGGGTCCTCTTGAGCCATTGCATCTGACACCCAAGACCAGACTTGAAGTCAGTCCCTACATACCATGAAATGCCCCTCAGTACAAATCCGACTCCAAAGTGACTGAACATTTCTTGAAGAGCTGGAGGAGGTTACATGACCCTATGCACAGCAGAATCCCTTGAGAATCTCCTTCAAAATCCATGCCCCTTTAGCATCTCTCCCAAAGGCATTAGCCAGTTTTCCCCTTCTCATTCCCGTTCTCCCACCCACTGTCCACTCCACAGCCTCTCCCTGCCAGGCTGGCTCTGGCCCTCCTCTGTTTTGTATATAAAAATCCTGCCAGCCTGAATATACCATTCAGCAAATGAGAAGCCAGCCAAAGGGTGCTCTGCAAAACAAAAGCACAGTCATTAGCTAAACAGCTCAACTAACCAAAACATTGTTCCCCAAGTGTGCCCTGGTGGTCCTCAGTTTATCCTACCACTCCATGTTCAAAAGCCCAAATATATCTATGTTAAGCCTTGTCCTATTTTTAAAAATAAAATTTCTACTCCTCTCCCCAAGCCGTCTTTCTGTCCCTGTTCTCAATGTGTGAGGTTATGAAAGTAGATTTAAAAGCTCTGCCCTGGCCAAAGTTGAGACAGCATCACTCTTTCACCACCATTTGCAACTCCAAACTTTTATGTGTTTTTACTAAACTGCCCTCCAAACCAGCATGTCCAACAGAACTTTCTGCATTGAGGGAAATGTTCCCTACAGGCACTGTCCAGTATGGAAGCCACTAGCCCATGTAAGCATTGAGATCTTGGAACTGACTAGGGTGACTGAGGAACCAAATTTCCAATTTTTATTTAATTTTAGTTTAAATAGCCCCATGTCGCTAGTGTCTACCGTATTGGATAGCACAACTCTAGCTTAATTCCTCTAATGACAATAAGAAGCATTATATGAAACTGTCAAAAAATATTTAAAGTCACCGTAGGCTGGGCACGGTCGCTCGTGCCTGTAATCCCAGCATTTTGGGAGGCCGAGGCTGCCAGATCACCTGAGGTTGGGAGTTCGAGACCAGCCTGACCAACATAGTGAAACTCTGTCTCCACCAAAAATACAAAAAATTAGCTGGGCGTGGTGATGGGCGTTTGTAATCCCAGCTACTCGGGAGGCTGAGGCAGGAGAATTGCTTGAACCCAGGAGGCAGAAGTTGCAGTGAGCCAGGATCACACCACTGCACTCCTGGGTGACAGAGCAAGACTCTGTGTCAAAACAATAAATAAATAAATAAAATAAATTCACTGTAGGCTAGTATCCAGGATGTTCACTAGTTCATGTATTATCCTCTCAATAGAAGAAATTTTTCTTAGGTCTAAGGAACTGAAAAAACAAAGCTGCTCCTTAACACCTAGTTTAGTTTATTTTGGTTTTTAATCTTAAGGATACCTAGGAATCACATAATCAAGCCTGTTTCCCTTTTTCCTTTGACTGTCAGGAAGCTCAGTCATATTTAGAGTCCATCTCTACTATGAGTACCTTTGGATCTTAATATTACCCTCAGTTCCATTTCTTTTTTCTACCCTGTTGTCTTTTTTAAAAAGTGTATAGTTCAATAATTTTTATTTATTTATGTATTTATTTTCCAAGACAGAGTCTTGCTCTGTCACCCAGGCTGGAGTGTGGTGGCACAATTTCGGCTCACTGTAACCTCTGCCTCCACCCCCAGGTTTAAGCAATTCTCTTGCCTCAGCCTCTGGAGTAGCTGGGATTACAGGCACATGCCACTACATTCAGCTAATTTTTTTGTATTTTTGGTAGAAATGGGGTTTCACCATGTTGGCCAGGCTGGTCTCGAACTTCTGACCTCGTGACCCACCCTCCTTGGCCTCCCAAAGTGCTGGGATTACAGATGTCAGCCACCGTGCCTGGCCAGTTCAATAATTTTAATAAATTTATAGAATTGTACAACTATCACCATGATTTAGTTTAAAAACATTTTTATCATCCCCCAAAGAATCCTTGCGCTC
The DNA here is from genome assembly GCF_000001405.40 of Homo sapiens. Classification (NCBI taxonomy): domain Eukaryota; kingdom Metazoa; phylum Chordata; class Mammalia; order Primates; family Hominidae; genus Homo; species Homo sapiens. The sequence continues at coordinate 43,516,860 of NC_000001.11, forward strand.
ATTTCCAGTCAGTTCCTTTTCCCACAGTCAATCACTAATCGACTTTCTGTCTCCATAGATTTTCTTTCCTTGGACATTTTATACAAATGGAATCATACAATATATGATTTTTGTGTCTAGTTTCTTTCACTGAGCATAATGTTTTTGAGCTTCATCTGTAGCATCTATCCATATTGCATTCCTTTTTATTGCCAAATAGTATTCTACTGTATGGACATACTCCATTTTGTTTATCCATTCACAGTTGATAAACATTTGGGTTGTTTCTACTGTTTGGCTATTACAAATAATGCTGCTGTGAGCATTCTCATATAAATCCATCTGTGGACATATGTTTTCATTTCTCTTGGGCAGATAGATACCTAGGATTGAAATTACTGGGTCACATGGTAAATTTATGTGAAGAATCTGACAAACTGTCTCCAAAGTATGGCACCATTTTACATTCCCGTAAGCGACGTATGAGAGTTCCAGTTTCTCCACATCCTCACCAGCACTTGTTATTGCCTATCTTTTCTATTATAGCCTTTCCAGTGGGTGTGAAGTGGTATCTTGCTGGGGTTTTAATTTGTATTTCTCTAATGACTAATGATGTTGAGCATCTTTTCAAGTGCTTATTGGCCATTTATACGTGATCTTTGGTGAAATGTCTCTTCAGTTCTTATGCCTTAATTTATTTTATTTTTTGAGACAGAGTCTCACTCTATCGTCCAGGCTGGAGTGCAGTCGCACAATCTTGGCTCACTGCAACCTCTGCTTCCTGGGTTCAAGCGATTCTCCTGTCTCAGCTTCCCATGTAGCTGAGATTACAAGTACTTGCCACCACACCTGGCTAATTTGTGTATTTTTAGTAGAGATGGGGTTTCACCATGTTGGCCAGGCTCGTCTCGAACTCCTGACCTCAAGTGATTCACCCACCTCAGCATCCCAAAGTGCTGGGATTATAGGCATGAGCCACTGTGTCCGTCTGCAATTTTTTTTTAATTTTAGTTTTAATTTTTATTTCTTTTTATTTTATTATGTATTTATTTATTTATTTGAGAAAAGGTCTTGCTCTGTTCGCAGGCTGGAGTGCAATGGCACAATCTTGACTCGCTGCAATCTGCACCTCCCAGGCTCAAGCAATTCACCTGTGTCAGCCTCCCATGATTTTTTTTTTTTTTTTTAGACGGAGTTTCCATCTTGTTGTCCAGGCTGGAGCGCAGTGGCATGGTCTCGGCTCACTGCAACCTCCACTTCCCAGGTTCAAAGGATTCTCCTGCCTCAGCCTCCCAAGTAGCTGGGATTACAGGCACACGCCACCACGTCTGGCTAATTTTTTTTTTTTTTTTTGTATTTTTAGTAGAGACGGGGTTTCGCCATATTGGCCAGGCTGGTCTTGAACTCCTGACCTGAGGTGATGAGCCTGCTTCAACCTCCCAAAGTGCTGGGATTACAGGCATGAGCCACCTACGCCCGGCCATCCCACACAATTTTAAATTGAGTTATTTGCCTTCTTATTAGTTGTTAAGAGTTCTTTATATGTTCTGGGTACAAATCTTTTTATTAGATATATGATTTACAAATATTTTCTCCCAGTCTGTGGTTTGTCTTTCCACTTTCCTAATGGTGCTCTTTGGATTGAGAAGTTTTTAATCTTTATAAAGTCCAACTATTCCTTTTTTTAATTATTTGTGCTTTTTGGTATTGTATTTAAGAACTCTGCCTAACCCAAAGTCATGGAGAACTATTACTATGTTTTCTTCTAGGAGTTATATAATTTTATGTCTTACATTTAGGTCTATGACCCATTTCCAGTTAATTTTTACACATGGCATGAGACAAGAGTCTAAATTCATATTTTTTGCATGTGGATATTCAATTGTGTCAGAGCCATTTGTTGAAAAGACTATCCTTTTCCCATTGAATTTCCTTGGCACTTTTGTGGAAAATCAATTGACCGTAAGTGTAAGGGTTTATTTCTGGACTCTCATTTCTGTTCCATTGATTTGATGTCTATCCCATGCCAGTATCACACTGTCTTGATTCCTGTTCTTGTTGTCATTTTTTCTCTCTCTTCATATATTTATCTTTAATTTTATGTAACTGGGAGAATAGGTCCTCCCCTTTCCCTTTCCCCAAATTGATATCAGCCCTTGGCAAGGATGTAATTGAGGCTCCCTAAAATCAAACCATCAAAGCCTCTCTTGCGAAAATTATTGAGAAATCATTAAAGGGACTATGACCATATTCTTATTCGAACAAACCCCGAAGGGGATCAAGAAAGGAACAGACATCTACCCTTGCCACAATAATCGGATTTACTGATTCCCAGGGAATAGAGAAGACACACTGCTAATTATGAGGCAATTAAGGAATTATTTCCTTTCTCAATGTGGCTTTAGAATGTACTAGACCTAAGAAGTAATGTCTGTGTTTGAGCTATGGATACGAATGCATTTTATTTAGCAGGTTCAGTATGTAAAGAAGCCAATGGAAATATTGGATATCGAAAAGAAAGCCCTATTAGACGGCTCTCACCCATCTTGAAGGATGGGCTGTCAAATGCCAACACCCTTCTCCACAAGAATGATCTTGGGAGGAGGTTCCAACTCCAGCATTACTGATGCTGATGCAACTTCACGAAGCCTGCAGACATGACTCCAACGGAGTTGTCCTGACTTGGAGAATTGCACAGGGGAAAGGAAGGAATCCAGGAGACTGGTGGGGAAGGAAGGGATTTTCTGAAAGCGAATAAAGCTGCACTGGTGGGCGTGGGAAGGGTTGATGAAGAATGCAGTTGGAGAGAGGCTGTCTAATGGAGGACAGGAGAGAGAAGATAGCCCTCCACTCTTAGGTACTTTTCTCTTTGGTCTCTGGGAAAATCCTCGTTATTACCCAGCTACCACATTCTCTTCCTGCATTGTAATTCCTCTTTCAAGTTGCACTGCCCTTCATTAAAGCAAGTAAATATGGCAGCCCAGTGTTGGGCAATGGTCTTAAAGAGAATAAAAAGAGGCTGTGGTGAAGGGGCAGAGAACCTGCCTCATCCCCCACCTCTTCATTGGGACCCATGGAAATACTTCCCAGCAGAGACAAATTGAAACACGTGGCAGCCCTTAAAATGCATCACATGCCCTTGTAATAGTTTGCTTATAGAGTTTCTTACGGATAATAATGACAGCAAATATTTATTTTCTTGAGGTAGGATATTACAAGCTCCAGGTGGTGACCAGCATTATGGTATGTGATTCCCTGTAGAGCTTAGAAGAACATTTGAAATGGTGAGCCAGCTCCCAAGTGAACAATTCAAGAGAGGCATAAGACTGAGTCTTCTACTTCCCTGTTTACATTCGATGAAACCCACCTCTGAAGGGGCACTGGGGAGAGGTGAACAACTATGTGACATTTCAAAGTGTATTCAACTAGTCAGCTAGATAGAGAGCCCTACTATGTGCCAGGCATCTTCTATTACATGTTTTTTTATAAGTCACTGAAATCTTTTCTAAAAGAAGGTAAAGTATGGAAATAGAAAGAAGAAAAAGCACTCAATAAATCTTAGTTGAATAAATGAATTGCAAGAGCCAGATGGCGTGAGCCTTAAATGAGCAGGGATTTTTCCATGAGGCTGAAGGAATAATGATCTGGGAGTGGCTTTTGAGAGTGAGAAAGATGCTGCTCTGCCTCACTACTCTGTGGTTGTGGAATGGTGGCCTCCCCTGGAGGCAGCTGCTGTGTCCTCAGTTAGGCAGGAATTGCAGGGAGGAAGTCTGAAGGGGCTGAGAGTTTAAGAGGTTGAGGAAGGAGCAGTGGGGAGCTGGATGGGGGAGGGCAACTGCAGAAGAAGGTGGATGGATGTTGAAACAGGCTTTCATTCAGACAGTCGGGGATTACCAGGGTATGGGGCCTGGTGGGATTAGCTTTTAAATAGTTCTCCAAACTGGTGCTATTAGAGGCTTGATTATGCTAATTCTAATAATCATCAAATAGCTTCTATTTTCAAGAACCTACAATGTGCCAGGCTCTGACGAAGCTCTTTACAAACACAATTTCATGTCCTTCCTATAATGCTGCAAAGTCAGTATTATCCCCTTTTTACAGAAGAGGAAACTGAGACTTAGAGAAGTCCAAGACCACACAGCTAATAAGTGCCATGGGTCTTACTCAGAGCCAGGGCCATATTTTCCCAAATGCAAGGCCGCCCTCTCGCAGCCTAGTCTGCCCTCACTGAGGCCAGTTTAGCCTGAGGCATTGGGTGGTGTTGGTGGCATGTGTGTGGGGAGGTGTCCATGACATGCGCCTATGCAGCTTCAAGCGCCTTGCCAGAAGCTCCCCTATACTTCTGAATCCCACTGCCCATATGCCTGGATCCCCATGGGCTCCATCCCACTTTGCACAAAGAGCTGGGGACCCAGAGAGATACACAGCCTCGGGGTGATGTCTGCTGCCTCAGAGAGGAGTTGACCCTCTATGGCCCCTTCACAAGCACAACTGTGCGGGCCACATTCTGGCCAGCGCGGTGCAGCTAGCCCCCTATACATACATCTGGCGTTACCTGCCTCTCACCCAGCTGAGCGCTCAGTGCATGTGCCTAATTCACCAATGCATTCATTCAAAAAAGATGGATTGAGCACCTCCTATATACCAAGCACTGTCCTAGTGCTAGAGATCTGGCAGGAATAAAGTAATGTAGATTCCTGCCCTGCTAGACCTTAGAGTCTAGCAGCAGAAACAGTTGTTAAACAAAAATGAAATCAAACTACAGATTGTGCTAAATTATGTGAAGGAAATAAAGAGAGTGCCGTCGCAGTGATGGAAAACTATTTTAGATAGGGTGGTCAGCTGGTCAGCAAAGGCTTATCTGAGAGGGTGACATTTCAGTGGAGACACGATAGACCCCTCAGATCCCCTTCCACCATTTTTGGTGAGGGGGTGAGAGGCAGACGCAGCCCCACCTTCAGCGTGCCTTGCCTTCCAGCAGCTAGCACCAGTTCTTTTATGGAGGACGGTCCTCGACTTCCTGGAGCCACTCTGTCTGCATGCAAGCTAGAAAGTCCCCGAAGAGGGTGTACTCATCACCCGCCATTCTCAGCCCCACTGGTAGCCCTCAACAGATGACTAAGGAGGCTAGGAGGTATGAAGGCTCACGCCCTTGGCAGGGGTGGGGACAACACTGAGGCATACATTTCCACTCATGGGTCCCCCTGAGGTCAGGCTGAAGCTACTCTTCCAAGAACATGGCCTGAAATCCCCCCTTGCTTGGCTTCTTCCCCTTCTCTGTTCGGCTTCCCCTTCTGCTTTGCCAGTTTCCCCCAGGAACCCTTGCTTAATAAATCACTTCATCTCAGGGTCTTCTTCTGGGAAACCTGACCTAACACAGACATGAAAAATGAAAAGGAGACAGCCACGCAAATATCTGGGAAAAGAGCTCCAGGTGCCATAGGAGGAGCGGCGTCAGAAGGGTGAGCCTAATAGAGGAAATGAGTGAAAGAGTAACTCTCCCCTGCTTTTCTTCTTTCCTTCCTAGTGACTGTTCGTTTTTTCTCCTTTGTGGGCTCTTCTGCCTTTCCTTGGTCTCCAGATATTGAGGATAACAATAGCTAACATTTACTGGGTAGTGACTGGGTGCCAGACATTACTCTAGACACCTTATATGGATTTAACATATAGCTATTGAGTGAATGACATGGATGACAGGCATCAATCCATTAAATGTGTAACAAGAAGTATAAAGGAATGCTCTGGCAGACAGCAACAGGGCCCTGTACTTATTCAGACTAAGGGTCAGGGAAGGCTGCCCCAAGGCAGTGATGCTTGAACCAAAAGTGAAGAATGAGTTACCATGTGAAGGAGGTGGGGTGGAAAGTCTTCTAGAAAGAATGGGGAGAGGGAAGGGGGAAATGCAGTATGTTTGAGGAATTGAAAGGAAGCTGGCGCCACCGCAGAGGACTGAACCAGAAGCGTTGTGTTGGATGAGGTGGGGAGGTAGGCAAAGGGAGGGCATTTCATCCATGTGGAGGAGCTGGCTCCTAATCCAGCCCCATGTAAGCCATTCGAAGGTTTTCGTGGCGGAGTGACATAACCCCATTTGCGGCTGCAGCGCAGAGATAAGATGGGGGAGGGGCAGAGCAGATGTAGAGAGATCAGTGAGGAGGCGCTGCAGAGGTCCAGATAAGAGTTAATGGTGGCTTGGACCAGTGAGGCATCAGCAGAGTTGAAGAGAAAGGTACAGATTAGAGAGGTGCTCTGGAGGTAAAATGAACAGGATTCTGGCTTGCCTATAGATGGACAGTGGGGCCACTGACTCAGACAGAGAACTCGAGAAAGGAATCAGGGAGTGAAGATCTGGTGGGAGATCTTGGGCATGCTGGGGCTGAGGTGCCCTTGGGACACAGGTGGAGATGTTGACTAGGCAGCTGGCTGGGCTCCTCCCCATCAAGGGCTTACACAAGAGGTTCCCTGGGTAAGAGTCATAAAGGTGTGAATCATCGGCAGATGGACAGTACTCAATGCTGTAGGCATGGATGAGATCACCAGGGACAGAGTCCACAGTAAGAAGGGGAAAGGCCAAGGCATGGGCGTCGAGGGACAGGAGCACTTGATGGATTGAGTGGAGGAGGATGACCCCGCCAAGGAGACTGAGAAGAAGACCAAGGAGTTAAGAGGCAAACCAGGAGAGTATGGTGTCAAGGGAGCCAAAGAAGTTAGGGTTTGAAGAATGCAGTAATCAAGAGGTCTAAGAAAATGAATACCGAAAAAAAAACTGGCCTTCAAATTTTAAGACATGGAGATCATAGCACAGACATTGTGTTTTGGGGAGATGTTGGGGGCAGAGATAGTAAAAGCCAGATTTGACCAAATGTTGGATGAAGTGAGTAGGAATGCCATAATGGCAAACAGAACACTCTTATGGAAGAAGAGGCTGGGGCCGGGCATGGTGGCTCACGCCTATAATCCCAGCAACTTTGGGAGGCCAAGGCGGACAGATCACTTGAGGCCAGGAGTTCAAGGCCAGCCTGGCCAACATGGCGAATCCCCTAAGTCTACTAAAGAAAAAAAAAAAAGGAAAAAAAAATTAGCCAGGCATGGTGCCATGCACCTGTGGTCCCAGCTACTCGGGAGGCTGAGGCACAAGAATCACCTGAACTCAGGAGGTGGAGGTTGCAGTGAGCCGAGATCGCATCACCCTGGGTGCCAAAGCGAGACTCTGTCAAAAAAAAAAAAAAAAAAAAAAAAGGAAGAAAGAAAGAAAGAAGAGAGGCCGGGAACTCAGGAATGGAAAACCAAATACCGTACATCCTCACTTAGAAGCAGGAGCTAAGCTGTGAGTACGCAAAGGCATACAGGTTGGTATAATGGACTTTAGAGGCTCAGAAGTGGGAGGATGGCGGTGGTAAGGGATACATATTGGGTACAATGTTCGATATTCAGATGACGGATGCACCAAAATCTCAGAATTCACCACTCTATAATTCGTCCATTAAAAATCACTTGTACTCCAAAAGCTATTGAAATTTTTTAAATGTGAAAGAAAGAAAAGGCCAGGTGCTGTGGTTCACATGTGTAATCCCAGCACTTTGGGAGGCCAAGGTGGAAGCATCATTAGAAGCCAGGAGCTCGAGACCAGCCTGGGCAATATAGTGAGACCCCACCTCTACAAAAAATAAAATAAATAAATAAAGTTGATGGAGAAATGGAGGAGAAAGTAAGCATGCAGGGAGTAGGTTTATGGATGGCTCCAGTTGAAGGTTGGGGGTGGTGCTCAGGGAAGGAGGGGACAATGGATAGGTGAGGGGCCTGAGAAGCAGGAGTGGGTAGGGAATCTAGGATTGGCAGAGACACTGGCCTGAGAGAGGAGGAGGGTGCTTCCTGTAAGGCAGCAGGAGAGAGGGCAGATGTGGGGAGGTGTGTGAATGTGCTAGTGGAGAGCCAGGAAAATTCTGTGGTGGCTTTAATCCTCTCTATAAAGATGTGGCAAGGTCCCATCTGACAGCGAGGGGAAAATGGGCTGGCTGAAGGTGTAAAGAGAATGGGGAGGGCTGGAATAGCCGTTACAGAGAGTGCGGTTCCAAGCCGACTGGAGAACTGCGCAGAGGGCCCCTATGTAGTCCCTGCTTTAAGGGAACATCTGTCTGACCTGTGGAGTCATGTGGTTGCTTGAGCACCGCCCTGTGACGGCAGACAGGAGGGCTCACTTGGAGCTGGCTTTTTGCCAGACAGATATGATAAAAAGGCAGAGAGGCCAAGAGGCTTGGGTTATTGACAAGAGTGTTATTAAAATGCTGGACCTTGGCATCTAAGTTGGACCAGGAGAAAAGTGAAAAGGAGAGAGCTGAGGAGAGCTCTCTAGGAGAACACGAGGTCAACAGCAGAGAGATCTGATGAGACGGAGCAGTGATCGCGAGGTAGAGGGAGCAAGGTGGGAGCAGGAGAGGAGCAGTTTTGGGAGAGGACAGGACCCAGCGTGGGATGCTTAGAAAGAGTAGGCTGGGCAGCCTTCAAGGGTCGGCCATTGTGATGAGAGGTCCAGGAGCTGTCTGTCTGCACCGGCACTGAAGTAACCCAGGCTGATGGCAGGAAGTAGCAAAGGCCACTGAGGAGTACACTAAGCTGGAAACAGAGGCCCAGCCATTAGCTTTGGCAAAATGGAGGGGAAGAGTCATTATATCAAGAGCAACATCAGGCCAGGCGTGGTGGCTCACGCCTGTAATCCCAGCATGTTGGGAGGCCGAGGCAGGCAGATTACTTGAGGTCAGGAGTTCAAGACCAACTCCTGGCCAATATGGTGAAACCCCGTCTCTACTAAAAAGACAAAAATTAGCTGGGCGTGGTGGCGGGCACCTGTAATCCCAGCTACTTGGAAGGGTGAAGCAGAAGAATCGCTTGAACCCAGGAGGTGGAGGTTGCAGTGAGCCGAGATGGCGCCACTGCCCTCCAGCCTAGACGACAGAGCAAGACTCAGTCTCAAAAAAAAAAAAAAAAAAAAAAAAAGAGCAACATCAGTGAAAGCCAGAAAGCAGGGTTGTGGTGGGTTGGGGAGCGAGCAGGAGATGGAGGAATAGAGGCGTCCTGTAGAAATGGCTTTTGGGTTTGTGGGGAAGGAGAACAGAGAGGCACTTGAGTCTCTCCCACTCTGGAGAGGCGTGTGGGGCCAAGGGAGGGAATTTTTTTTAGGATGGGAAAGACATGCGCATGGGCAGATGGGAATGCTATAGTGAAGAGGGTGCAGTGGACGGGGAATAGAGAGCAAAGCCTGGAGGCGCCGGAGCACCCTGAGCACAGGGGAGACAGAGCGGAAGGAGGAGAGGTGTGTGGGTTTGCGGATTTGGTAGTGGGAGATGAGGGAGTCCTCCTGTGGTGGCTTCTGTTTTCTCCGGGAAACATAAGCAGTGTTCATTGAGAAATTAACTCCTGTATCATTTCTCCCTGCCCATAGTGACTCAGCCGGAAGAAATGAAAGGCATTAGCCAGGGCCAGGCACTGCAGCTCATGGCTGCTGTAATCCCAGCGCTTTGGGAGGCTGAGGCTGGAGGATCTCCTGAGCCCAGGAGTTCGAGATCAGCCTGGGCAACATGATGAGATTTTGTCCCTACAAAAAAAATTTTTTTTTTTTAATTAAAAAAGCATTAGTCAAGCTTTTGTGTTCTAAGTCCTGGGCCTTTTTTCTCCCACCTCATACCTGAGAAAGTAAATAGGCCGTTTTGTAGTTCTTGTGTCTGAGCTAAGAGGGAGAATACCACTGTGTCTTGGGGAATTGATGCTTTGGCATGGAAGAGAGGGGCAGGGGAACAGGCATTCTCCATCCCACCCTGACCTGCCCCCAGAAGAAAGTGGCTGCATGCGATTCGAAAGCCAAGGACTAAGGGCTGCAACTGCGGGGGCCTGTGGGAGAGGTCCTCTTGAAAGAGCTGGGATGGAGGGAGTAGAGGGTTATCTTCCCAAGGACCAGGTTGGACAAGTGAGGCCCTGCAGATGGGCAAAAAATAGTGGAAGCCCTGTGACTGTGACCACTGATGTCTGCAACAGCAGCAGCAGCAGCCTGAAAAATCCTTCCACCTTTCTCTGCAAGGCTGTGGAGCACGGACTGACCATCTCTGGGATTGTGCAAACCCCTGGAGTTCATGGATGATCGGAGGGAGCTGAAGGGCAGCCATGAGTGATAGGGAAATCTTGCTGATCTGATGGGTAGAGACTCAAGCTGAATTTAATTTGGTTTAGACCAACTAAGGGATGACCAAAAGGTGTATTTACGTCATGAGTTGCAGAGAGTGTCCAGTTGGCCCAGGACCTGGACAAAGGGTGAGCAGTGAGTGGGAGCTGACATCTGGCTCTCTCCTCACCCTGCACCCTGGGGCTGGAACACAGCAGACACACAATGACCACATGGTGCCACTCGGCCTTCACAGATGAGCACAAGGACATCCCTCCCCGCCAGGCCCAGGAGCAGGGCAGCAGGGCAGCCCCACGTGGACCCCGTGCTCACAGTTTGGCAAACTGGACAGAGCCTTGGCTCTTCTCCTTCAGCAGCTATCACGCTCTCCCAGGCCCGGCCACCTGAGCTTCTCATCCATGTGGCTTTGGCACCTAGGCCTCTAGTTTCATTACCTTGGGTTTGTATCTAGTTCCAGATGGCGTACATGCAGAGATCTGGGCAGGCTGCTTACAGGCATTCTCTTGCCCTGCCTCGACAAACACTTTGCCACATGTGGGTGAATGAGAGGGCAGACGCCAATGGGTTAGGATTCTGAGACCCCTGTGTCCCTGTGGGGTTTGGAGCAAGAGACTGGTTGGCACAGCAGTGAGCACATCTGCTAACTTCAACCACAGGAAGCCAGGGGTCCCAGCTCACCTACCTTCCAGTACTGTGCTCAGTAGCCTTGACAATGCGGGGCAGAGGGAACAGGGCTGCCAGAGCTTCAGGACTACCAAGGCCCAGGCTAGCAGGCACACAGGCTAGCGAACACCACGAGCCCCTCTTCTAGTGCATGCCAGGGCTACAGAAGACTGGGGCTGGATGAGCTCTAAGACTTGGTCAGGGAGCTGTTCCCTCACTTAGTCATTTATGTCTGATGGTTCCTTGAGCACAGATAGGAAAGTCAATCTTCATTCTTTAACAAATATGTATCAAGTATCTATTGTGTGTGAGGACCCTGTGCTGGCCACTGGGATATGACAGGGAACAAGGTGGACTCATTTCTCCTGCCTGCAAGGAACTGCTGTCCACAGGTCAGGGAGATAGGCACAGATACAAACAGTGGTGACAGCCAGGATGGCTTCCTGGAGGAAACAATGGTTCCAAACAGGTACAGTTGGCTCTGAGGTGCCAAAACACACTAAAGGTAGAGCAAGTCTTTTATTTTATTTTATTTTTTAAAACAGAGTCTTGCTCTGTGGCCCAGGCTGGAGTGCAGTGGAGCAATCTCCACTGCAACCTCTGCCTTCCAGGTTCAAGCAATTCTCCTGCCCCAGCCTCCCAAGTAGCTGGAATTACAGGTGCACACCTGGCTAATTTTTGTATTTTTTTTTTCTTTTAGTAGAGATGGGGTTTCACCATGTTGGCCAGGCTGGTCTCGAACTCCTGACCTCGGGTGATCTGCCCGCCTCAGCCCCCCAAAGTGCTGGGATTGTAGGCGTAAGCCACCATGCCTGGCCAGTAGAGCAAGTCTTAAGGGGCATTATATTATAACTGCATGCAAGAGAAGTTAGGACCAGTTTGGCTTTGTGCGTGTGTGGACTGAAACCCAAAAGCCAGAAACTCTCTGCATGTGTCCCTCATGGAGCCATATGGTCTCTAGTCTCTGTTTTTCAAAATTTGCAGGACTGATGACTGATTGGACAGTGGTGCAGGAGGGAAGGTCTCTGCATGTCAGTGATTAAATTGCTGAAGATGCCACTGCCTGAGACGGGCAGTATTGAAGGTAAGCAGATCTGGGGTGGGCGGGACAGAGGAGGCTCTTAGTTATATGGATCTGGAGCTCACAGGAGCGGCCCAGACTGGAGATAGAGACTTGGAAGTCATCAGCATATGGTTGGTAGTGGTCAAGATGATCCAGAGAAAAGGGGCAGAGCAGGAGAAAAGAGGAGGCCTAGGACAGAGTCCCGGAAGAGCAGAAGACGAGGTGGTAAAGGAATCAGAGACAGTAGCCAGTGAGGAGAGGGTGGGCCAATGAAGCCAAGGAAAAGAACTGTTTTAATAACTCAGCAATGGGCAGGAATAATTGGCTGAAAAGTATACTTTTAAAATTTGGGGGCCGAGAGGGAATCTCTAAATCCTCAAAGTTCTGGAAAAAAAGGCAAAAATGCTTAAAGATGCATAAAATTTGCAATACCTCCCCCGTGGTGCACCAAAATTACCAATGGTGAAAAACCACTCACTGGAAATATTCATTTTTGATCCGTTTGTCATCCAAACCAAATTGTCCAGAATCACTGGAGCCAGTCCCATCCCCTCCTCATACGCCAGGGGGCGCACACGCACTGTTTGTGAATTCAAGTTCAGGACAAAAACAGGCAGTGAATCAGGTGGTTACCAGAACCTGATTCCTCAGCCCAGATCCCTGAACACCACAGCAACCATGCCCTGCACATTACCACGTGATCCCTGAATCCAGGCACCTCAACGATCTCCAAATTTTATTTCTCACCTGACTCCAAACTTACAGGGTTATCAGAAAGACCCCACAGAAGAAACCCCACAGAGGAGAAACCTCATCTCTTTTTCTGCTCAGTTACCTGACCCAGGGCAGTGGGGGTAGGTCCCCCATCCTTCATGGTGAAGCCTAGCAAGCGGCGGGGGGAGGAGGGGTGGGGTAGATAGGAAAGAGCTGGTGTGGCTTTGGCTGACTCTTAAGTGGTTTTAACACGGATTGCGTGGGGGCGGGGTCTGGAGGCAGGGGCGCTTGGATTGAAGCTCATCAAATCCCTCTGATCAGTAGGTCTTGGAATAAATCTTCAGGTAGGTTATTGGTTTCACCCAGAAATTTCTAGGGTCATTATTTGAGTTTGGTATGAGAAGTCAGAAACTCAGTACTGACATTTAAATTACATTTAGAGGGCATTATCATGTCTTTAATTCCGAGGCCAATGTAAGGTTCACAGCTGGAATTGGTATAATATTGGGGTATTAGTCAGTCTCTGCTTGGGGTTGACACTAGGTCAGAGAAGTGGAGGGTGAACATGAGGATGAAGGGGCTTTGTGTGGAGTTTCTGCAAAGCCAGTCTTATCTTGGGTTCCAAGATTATTATTAAAGCTGGGTTGGTTTAGGGTCCTAAATGGTCTCAAGTTTGGGTGGGGTTTCAGGTCAGTATCTGTGTTTGGGGGTCCTTTTATGGTGACCCAATCCCAACTCTGGAATTGAGAATCGAATTCAGAGTGCATTGGTGTTGATCTGGGAATGGGAGAGCAGTACTGGAGTTTTATGTAAGGCTTGGGGTTCAGAAGAGAGATAACTGGGGTCCATAGCAAGGTAGCTTTTGGACTTTAGGGTTCATTTAGGGACTGGGGGCTGAGCATTAGTACAGGGTTCCATTTAAGGTCCAGCGTTGGTGCTAGCGTCACTATCAAGGTTAGGGCAAGTAGAAGTAATAAAGAGATTTAGAGTCAGAATTGGTATTTGGGATCAGTATAGAGGTTCACAACAAAATTACTACTTGTGCTAATTTGGGGGCAGATTAAGGGCTTTGGACTCAATATTGGGTTTAGGGCAAGGTGTGGGCTCAGTATCAGGTTCAGATCTGTATGGGGAGGAAATGGGGTCCTAGAGTGGTATTAGGTTCATGCTAGGGCTGGGAGCCACTAGAAGGATCTGGATGTAGTATCAGAGTTTGGTCTGTCTATGTTCATTATTGGGGTTCGGGTTCAATATTGAGGTTCCGGTCGGTTTCGACTTGGCGTTGGGTTGTGGCCTGTCTGGGCCTCAGCGGCTCCGCGGCTCTACGAGCGAGAGTGCACGAGGGGAGGGGCGCCGCCGGGGGCGCGCACGGCAGGGGCAGGGGCGCGGGCGCGAGCGCGAGGGGAGCGCGCGGCTGGAGCTGGCGCGGGAGCGGCGGGAGCGGTGGCGGCGGCAGAGGCGGCGGCTCCAGCTTCGGCTCCGGCTCGGGCTCGGGCTCCGGCTCCGGCTCCGGCTCCGGCTCCAGCTCGGGTGGCGGTGGCGGGAGCGGGACCAGGTGGAGGCGGCGGCGGCAGAGGAGTGGGAGCAGCGGCCCTAGCGGCTTGCGGGGGGACATGCGGACCGACGGCCCCTGGATAGGCGGTGAGTGACCCCCCGGCCCCCCACCAGCCCCCTCCGCTCCCGTCCCTTCCCCGCTCTCCTTGCCCTCCCCGCTAGTCCACCCGGCGGAGCTGGGGGCGGTCCCGGGGGGGACGAGGGCGCCGCTGAGGCCGGGCCGCGCCCCCACCTGCCGCGCCCGCAGCCTCGGCGAAGCCCCCCCTCCACGCCCCAGCCTGGCGGCTCCTCCCCGCTCACCCCGCGGCAGACGCGCCCCCAGCGCTGCTGGCTGGCTCGCTCCCCGCCGCCCCTCGCCGCCTCCCTCCCTCTCCACCGCACCTTAGCCGCAGCCCGCCCCCCCCACCCAGCGCAAAGTTTCCCGTTTGCGTTCTTGCTCCCCCTCATCGGTCCCGCCTCGTCCCCCCTTCTAGCGCGGACGCGCTCCGGGGGCGGCCCTCAGACCCCCCAGCCCCGGGCTCCGGGCGGGTCCAGGCCGCGCCCCCGCCCCCGCCGCACAGGCGCCCCCTCCCAGCCGGCGGGGGATCCGCAGCCGGCGCGCCCGGGTCTCGCTCGCGGCCCCGGCGCACGTGCGGTCCCGGGCTGCGCCGGGCGCGAGTTTGAAGCCCCCCCACCCCCTTCGTTCGCGAGCACGGGATGGGGAGGGGCCGAACGGGCTGTACCCGCCCCCAACCGGGTGCAACGCCCTGGAGGCCCTGGAGCGACCTGTCCCGTGAGGACGTGGCCACTCGGACCCTCTCCGAAAGTTCACTCAGTGGCCGCCCCGCGTCCCGTCCCGTCCCGTCCCGGCTCCCCATCGCCGTGCCGGCGTCTCTGTCTCGGCTGCTTTCTGTTTTCCTCGGCGTCTCTGCCTCCCCGTGTCAGTGCCTCCCAATCTCACGCCCCTGCAATCCCAGGGTCTCTCCAGCTGTCTCCATTCTTTTTCCCCAGGTCACTCTGTTCTTTCTCCCCAGGTCTCTCGATTCTGTCTCCCTGGGTCGTCTTGTTCCCTGTCCCTGAGTCTGTTCTCTCCGCTTGGGTCTCTCTATTTCCTCTCCCTGGGTCTCTGTCTCCCTCCTTAAGTCTCTGCCTCTTGTCTCTCACCCATCTCTTGGTGTCTCTGCACTCTCTGTGCTAGGCGCCCCCCCATTTCCCTGGAATGCTGCCCCTCTGGTTCTTCCACCCCGGAGGGGGAGGGGCTAGACTTTCTCCCCATTTCAAGCCCCCCTGCCCCCCAGTGCACGGCCCCTGAGTTGGAGCAGGTTGGGGGTGGGGAGCGCTACCTGCCTGAGCTGTGAAATGGGAGAGGGAGGCTGCCCCAGCCTGGGGGTTGTCTGGATCTCCCTGAGGGGCCACAGGGCAGGGCCGGGAGGCTGGATTAGGTTGAGGAAGGCTCCACTTTTGAAGGAACAGGGGCAGGGATCCAGAGCGATCTGGTGTCGGATCTGGCCTGAGAAGCAGGGAAGTGCACTGGGGTGAGAGGCGTAGAAAAGGATGTGGGGTGGTGGTTCCAGGCGGGTGCTCATGGGGAGGAATCTGCTGAGAAGGGAAGATCTGGTGGGGAATCCTTTGGGAGGCTTCGGGGATCTGAGGGATCCAGAAGAGAGTTCTGACAGGCTATCTAAGGAAATTTCTGTGCTTAGCTCCTTATTAACTCTTGCTTCAGGGAGCATGAAAATCCCTGTTTTTTTACTGATTATATGAATGAGCCTAGGGCTTCAAGAAGGAGCAGGTGTAACTCCCCAAGTACAACCCCCTACATTCTCAGCCCCAGGCACAGGCCACACTTTCTCGTACCCTCTTGCCTTCATTTCCACACTCAGCTCACCCCCTCCACCCCCACACACACTCCCTATTCAGCTGCTTTCTTGCCCCCTCTCGCATACCTGGGCCCGCATGCCGGCCAGGGCTCAAGAAATCTGTGCCTGCACACTCTCGCAGCATACCTGTGCACATGCACAGTCATCCTTGTGTATTTTTGTATATGCACTTTCTTGCACATTTTACTTGCTCAGTCTCTTATTTGAAATGTCTTTATAGTGTTTTTTTTAGTTTCCTTTATAGTTTCCTTTTCCAGCTGCTCTTCCTCTTCCCTCTTTCTTTCCTTTAACAAGAAAATTGTTTTAACATAATTCCTTCCTTCCTTCCTCCCTTTCTTCCTTCTTCTTGCAACTACTGATACCTCCCCTTTATCCAGCTTTGTGTGCCCTGGGCGGGTTGGCTTGGTGTACAAGGCTGCCAAGAGAGGAGGGGGTGGTTGGGTGTTGGTGAAGGAATTTGGCGGGGCAGAGTTAGACTGCAGCAAACGGAAACTAGCTACACATCTTTTACTGGGAAGTGTATGGATACGCAGCAAAATACTAGCCCTGGCAGTTTGGGCACAGTCCACCCTTTTTTCCATCAGCCTGAACTATGGGAGTCTAGCTTTGAGGGTCCTCCCTGGGGGCGGGGAGGAGGGGACCCAGACCTCCTGCAGTAGAGGGGTTGTGATACACACCACGGCTCCTCCACTTTCCAGCTTCAGGCCTCAAAGAGGCCCCTTTCTCCCTGAGTCTCAATTTCACTCCCTGTAAAATGGGGTAGCTAATCCAACCCGGACTGGGTCCCAGGGCTGTTGTAAGAATCCAAGGGAACTGTGTGGCAGTGCATCGTCAGCAGTGGCAGTCACTTCCCTTGTGACTGACACTGCTGTGTGCTTGGTTCCAGCTTGCAGTCAGGGCCCTACCCTCGAGAAGCTCGTGGTCCTTGGGGGAGCAGGTTGCACCATGGGATTGCAAAAGCAATTCAGTTACCTGTCATTGATTGCTGACTGTGTGCCAGACCCCGGGGTAGGCGCTTTCGGCCCCGGCTGCCTTTCTTCCTTTGGGACTAACAGCTATGTAGAAGAGGCAGCCCACCCCTAAGGTTCAGGCATCTGCTCAACTAAAGCAGCTGCGGTTCTGAGTTGGGTTAGAACATTGCAAGAGTTCATCAAGAGACGGGGGAGAGTTCGGAGGTCAGGGTGAGGTGAGTCCCAGAGGAGACCAAGAAGAAGTGATGTGAACTAGGTTTGGAGGGATGAGTAGGAGTTTGAAGAAGAGAGAAAGGACTTGAGATAGATAAAAACCAGTATGAATAAAGACTGGGAGGTGTTGTCACTTGTGAAGTATTCAGAGATGTGGCAGATCACAGAGGGCATTGAATGCCCTGTTAAGTACCTGTAATTTTACTCTGAGAACCCAGAGAGAAAACACCAAAGGTTTAAAGCTTGGATAGGGAGGGTGGAGTGTGCTGTGGTCAGGTTTATGTTTCCAGAAAATGCTCTGTGGCTATGGGAAAAGGATGGAGACAGGATGCCCAGTGGGGCAAGAGGGTGCAGGTAAGTAAGGTGAGAGAAGATGCTGGCTTTGATAGGTGGTAGCATGGTGCCATCTTGAAGGTACACTTGTCAGGACAGAATGATTTATTGGATGTGGGAGTGAAGGAGAGGAAGAGGAAGGAGTCCAGGTTCCTCGGAGTGGTTGAGCGGGCCTTCACTGAAGGCCCTGAAGCTTCACTGTGTTAGGGACTTGGTGAGGAGGGGCAGAGAATAAGCTCTTAGTTGGACATGTGGCCCTTGAGGTACTTGGGACATTGGAGGCTCAGTGGGGGAGGCACATCAAGGAGGGGCTTTGGTGTGAGGGTATGGGAGAGAAATGTCGGTCGGACCAAGAGAAGCGAGAGCTGTATGAGAGACCATAGAGCTGTGCACCTCGAGAGAAAGTAACCTCCGACAGTGGTGAAGAGCTCGAGTTTTATACTGCTAGGATTGGACTCTGTTTACTAGCAGCGTGACTTTAAGCAAGTGGCTTAACCTCTCTGAATCCGCTTCCTCATTTGTCAAATGATTATAATAAAAACCCGTGCCTTATAAGGGTTGTTATGAGGATTAAAGATAGTATGCATAAAGTGTGTGTAGCACAGGGCTTGGCATCTAGTGAGTACTGTTGTCTGTGTTTGCAGTTACTGTAATCATCCTCAACTGGGATGGTGTAAACCCACCCTCCCATCAGGGGTCACATGAGGTTGCCTTTAATGAGAAGATAGACTGCTAAGGTTAGGGTCCCTGTCTGCCTAAGGTTGCTGCAATTCTGAGCTGAGATTAGCAGGTCAAGGAGCTCAACAAAGGGGGTGCCTGCCCCTATTGTTATCGATGGGATTGTTTGTGTTGCTCAGGTGTTTGACCTTCAGGTGGGTGGGCTTGAGAAGACTAGAGGTGAGGCCTGCAGAAGAGACTCCATGTTTGGGGTAGGTGGAAGGGAATTTTGAGAAGGGGCAGCCTTGGGGTATTGAGTTCTCCATTTCCTCCCACCCTCCCTGGGCCCTGGGCTTCTACTGAGGCTCTTTCTGCCACCATCTGCCTCTGTGGTCCAGATGCACCATGTCTCTGTGTGACCGTGACTTCTAGGTCTGAGAACTCTGGTTTTAGCTCCTTAGCAGTATTTTAGCTGCTGTTTCTGGGGACTGTTCCTGGTGCAGCCACAGGGGCATTCTGGGGGTTGCTCCAGAGGGCAGCTGTGCCTGCATTCCCCTAGGTATCATCGACTTGCTCCTGACCCACTGCCGGGCCAGGTTTCAGGCCTGGCAGATGATGGGGAACCCTACTGGGGCCAGCCCTGCGTTGGCCCCAAGGGCTTTCTTTCTTGATATTGGACATGACTGTGGACTTCACCCCTTCTGAGGCCTTCCTGGGTGCCAAGCAGTGTGATTTCTTTCTTTTTCTCTTTGGTTTGAAACAGAATCTCACTCTGTTGCCCAGGCTGGAGTGTAGTGGTGCAGTCGTGGCTCACTGCAGCCTCCACCTCCTGGGCTCAAGTGATCCTCCCACCTCAGCCTCCTGAGTAACTGAGACTACAGGTGTAGTCCCACCTGGCTAATTTTTGTATTTTTTTAGAGACAGGGTTTTGTCATGTTGTCCAGGCTGCTCTTGAACTCCTGGCTCAAGTGATCCACCTGCCTTGGCCTCCCAAAGTGCCGGGATTACAGGGGTGAGCCACTGTGACTGGCCAGCAGTGTGATTTCTAACTTGGGTCCTGAACCATTCAGGCCCTTTCTGAGTAGCTTTCTAGTCAACCTTCCAGATGTCAGCTCTGGCTCTGTTCTGGGGGTGTATCTGGTTGTCCTGGTTGTTCTGGGCTCTGTCCCAGTGTGAGTGTAGAGTGGGTTCTGGGAGCTGCAGTTGGTGAATCTGAGTCTTTATTTGGTTGCCTGATAGGTTGTTTTGAGGTCAGTTTGATCCCAGACTGACGTGGTTCAAAGTTACTGTTTGGCTTTTCTAGGATCCTGCCCTCATGCTGTTCTGTGTGCCTCAGGGTCTTTGCAAATGTTTAGTCTTCTAAAATGGCCCCTGGCCACTTTGGGTACACACCTCTTTCCAGGTGTGGCTTCTGCTCCATGTAGGGCCTGTCTCAGTCTCCAAGCACGAGACCCTGCTGTGGCTGGGTGTGGCAGCAGCGCCTGGCCAGCTTGGGGGGCCTTTCCCATTACCCAGTTCCCTGCCTTGGACTCTGCCCCTCTGCCCAGGGTCTCTGCACAATGGTGCAGCCAAAAACCTCACTTGAATACTGTGAGGCCCTGCGGGCATCTCTAGACAAATGGGCCTTTAAGTTTGGGGCCTGGAAGCTGGTTTGTCTGGCCAGACCTGCTGGGCAGCCTGTATGCTGGGAGCAGCAGCTGCTGGAAACTCAGCTTGGGGAGCGGGGAGGGAAGCATGCAGAGAGGGCTGCGGGTTCTGGTGCAGGTAGGTGGGGCAGTGGAGGCTGGGTCGCCAAGCTGGCGAGGGCCATCTTGGGTCAGTTGGGATGGCCTTCAGTCGGTGAGAGTACCCCCATATTGGCAGAGGTGGTTAGTGCAACTTGAGGGTAATTCCCAGGTGCAGAGGTGTGTCCTTGATTTCATGATGAGGGTCAGTCTTGGGCCGGTGAGGACATTCCCACGCACCACCCTCCCACTGTGGTTTCTTTGTGTCCGTTATAGGAGGAGCCAAGGTGGCAGAGTGGTGTGGGGTGGGGATCACTGTGCATGTGGGGGCTTGAGGTGAGAAGCCTGCTGCAAGGTGCAGCTTGCGTCGAGTAGGCCAAACAGCTGAGCTTCCGTGAAGTGGTGATGAGGTGGTATGGGTGTGTCTGACCCCCACCCCCACCCAGGATGGTACCCACGCTGGTGGGGACTCAATAATGGCTCTAGAAGGAAGGGGCTGGGCTCTGTCGCTGCATGTGTGCCAGCGGAGGAGGCATCCAGGGGCACGCCTTCATTTTAAAAATTATAGAGTAGAGAAAGTCAAAAATAAATATTGCTTCTGAAGCTTCTTTGAAGACTGGCATGTATGTTGGGGTGTGTTCTTCCAGGCTGGGCTGTTTTCTTTGAACTCATTCATGCGTTCATCCACTCATTCAGTGTATGCTGACTGAGCACCTACTATGTGCCAGCTGTCAGCCAGGCGCTGGGGATACGGAAATGAGCTGGGCAGCCACAGTCCATGCTCCTATCAAGCTTATGGTAGTGACTCAGTAATTGTAAAAATATATAAATAGTCATGTTTGTGGTCACGGCTCCAAGCCAAGGTCCAGGCAGGTAGTCTGGGACATTGTGGAAGGCTTCCCTGAGAAAGTGCCACTGGACTTGAGATCCGAGGGTAAGTTGGCCAGAAGAGCATGGGTAGCCTGTGCCAGGCAGTGGCATTCAGCACTGGCAAGGCTGGGAGACAGGAAGAAATTTGGCACATTTGAGGATCAGAAGAGGAAGTTCCCGTTCTGGCAGGAGGAGAGCATGGGCAGGTAGGGCTGCAGAGGTGGGAGGGGCCGACTCTGCTTGGCTCTGGGGTCATGCTGAGGAGCTGGGCCACAGAGTCTACTGCTGAGGTCAGGGACTTGGTCTGTGTGGCTCACAGCTATATGGCTGGTGCCTGGAAGGACGCCCAGCACATAGTAGGTGCTTAGGGAGTATCAAAATGAATGAGCGAGGGAGTGAAGGGAAAAGATGGGCATTTTTACCAGATGGGGATGGTTCTACATGAACATTTCCATAACCTGCTTTTTTTTCTGCATAAACAGCAAATTTTTAATGTCTTTCTGTGTCAATACATATGCTGTTGTGATGAAATTCTTGATGTTTTCTCATGCTTTCCTTTCTGTCCAGGAAGGAGTGGAGGCCCTGGTGCCCGGCCCTTGGTGCTGAGTATCCAGCAAGAGTGACCGGGGTGAAGAAGCAAAGACTCGGTGAGTGTGCCCCACAGAGTGGCCAGGAGCAGGGGTGCACAGGGGTCCTATGGACCAGGCTGAGCAGCTTGGATTTGATGCAGGGTCAGTGGAGAGCTATAGAGGGGGTGTCAGCAGGGGGCATGACATGATCCAGTGTGCACTGGTGAGAGATTGTGGAGGCCTGGACCAGGGAGGCAGTGACAGAAGTGGAGAGAAGGGATGTGAGTGCTATTTAGGGAGGTAGAGTAGACAGGACGTGGTGAAGGATTGAATGTGGGGCATGAAGGAGGGGAGGTGTCAAGGATGGTGCCTGAGTTTCTGGCTGGAGTGGATGATAGAGGTGGATGGGGAATGACATACAGCTCGTCAGCTACTGTAGGTGTGAAATAGGCTTCCGGGTGATGTCCTGGGACTTACACCAGGATCTTTCTTCTGCTTCTCCATTCGCCACGTTTCTGTAGAAAAGACTGTTCCCATCGACTGTAGGTTGTCGTAGAAAGAGCTTGGTGCCTGCAGGATCTGGGCATGTCCTCTGCATCTCTTTGATGTCCCCTTGTTCTCCTCTCTGTCTGTTAGAAGCACAGAATGGGTGGGCTGGAGTTGCAGGGAATGAGGTTGGTAAGTTGGTTTAGAGTCAGCATCATGGGCCTTGGATGTCAGGCTAAAGACTTTAGACTTTTTCCTGAGGGCAATACAGCAGCATTGAAGGTTCTTAAGCAGAGAAGCAATATCCATGTGTTGATCTGTCCATTGCCCATCCGTTCATTCTTTCACGGAACACTGTCTGAATGCCTGCTGTGAAATAAAGTGGCAAACAAAAGTGCAGATTTGCATTTTTATGTGCTGAAAGGTGGCACTGGTCTGTGTGCGGGATGGGTTGGGAGTGATTGAAGGCAGGAAGCCCACCAAAGAGGCAGGAAGTGATGAGGTCTTACTAACACAGTGGCAGTGAGGATGGAGGCAGGTCAGATTCAAACTTATTGATGGGTTAGATGTGTGGGATGAGGACAAGGGAGCATTTAAGGAGGGTTTGCGGGCTTGGTGACTGACAACATGGTGGTGCTGTCCCCAAGACTGGACACCCTGGAGGAGGAGTGGAATTGGGGCAGATGAGTTCTGGTTGGGCCATCCTGAGCCAAGAGCTCGGTGGGTCTGTTCACCCTCTGTAAGCTCCTCGAAGGCAGAGCCTGTGACTCTCTTGTTCATCACCCTGCCCACTGAACATCTGGACGGGTGGCTGAACTAACAAGGCTGTGGAAGAGATGGGTCTGGCCTGGGTAGGGGAAGGAAATGTGTATGTCCTGGGTGTCTCCTGGGGTCCAGACCCTACGTTTGGTGAGATGGGCACTGGGGTTATGTAGAGGGTGCAGCAAGAGGGGCTGTGTCACAGGCTGGAAAGGTCAGATGGGGAGGGTGGGTGTAGGGACACTATGTGTCCCTTTGCCTCTCCATCCTCAGATGATGGTCTGACCTAACTCGAAGTCCAGTCTTGCCAGAATAGGTACCTGAAGGTGGAGCCCTCTGTCCTCTCGGGAGGCCACTAGCTGATGGCATGTCTGGTGGGGTGCAGATGGGGTGTGCTATAGGACCTGACTTCTGGAGGCTGGGTAGGGCTGATGTGGGGGTACAGGGGAAGATACTCTGAGATCCTGAGGCCAGGCGCCAGCAAATACAGGAGTTAAGCCAGGTTGGAGCTTCCTTGGGTACAAGGCCCAGGGTGCCCACAGGGGATTGGGTTCTGGGGCAGGGGCCAGGTCAGGCTCTAGGCTCAATTGGCAAAGGATCTTGTTGTCTGTGTTGGGGTTTCTCAGCCTCAGCACCATTGACATTTTGGATCAGATAACCCTTATTGTGGGGGCAGGGCTTGTTATTGTAGGGTGTCTAGCAGCATCCCTGGTTTCTTCCCCCTAGATGCCAGTAGCATCTCCCCGCTTTCCCCAGTCTCGACAATCAAAAATGTCTCCAGTCGTTGCGTAATGTCCCATGGGGGCAAAATTACCCTGAATTGAGAACCTCTGGTCTACAGCCTCTTGCTGCTTTCACTATACTGTACAAACCTGGAAAATTGGGGAGGGTCAGTGGGGAAGATGGATAGTGATGGGCCACTTGAGCAGAGTTCTGAGGGGTGAGTGAGTGCTGGGGCAGGAGAAGGACATTTTTTTCCAATAGACAGAACGGCAGGTACAGAGGCTTGGAGGCACAAAGTTGGGAAACAGTAATCCAAGGGGGACCCCAGCCCCAGAGGAAGGGGCCTGGAGGCTTAGGGGTTACAGCCGCAGGAAGATACCTCTGCTGGTCCCCTTTGGTCATTTGCCTCCAGAGTTAGTCTCCTGCTGACCCTTTGCCGCCTCCAAGTCTCTGCGACACTCCTCCTAATCTCCCCCTCCACTCCTCAGTGAGATGGAGAAACTGAGAGCTGCAACAGGGTGGGACTCAGTCCAGCTGGTGGGAGCCCCGATACCAGCCGTGGGAGGGAGGGCTGTTCCTGGCTCTGCTCACGGATTCTGGCCAACTGGCTGGAGGAGGGAAGGCGGCCTCACCCTCTTCCCCACAGGCCCCTCCTTCCCTGGGTCAGGGGTCCTGGCTGAGACTATAATTTATTCCCGTCATAATCCAGTGGTTGGTTTGGTGAGAGCTGGAAACATGTTGGTTTTCCCTTCCCAAGTATAACAAGGCCTGTTTCCGCCTCCGCGGCCGCTGCTGCAGTGCCACGCGGTGAACTGTCCAGGACATGACAAAAGGGCTCGGTTAGCTGCCCGCTGGTTAGAAGATGAACGGCTCAGAGCTCTCCCTGCCGACAGGCTCTTCCCTTCCTGTTGCCCAAGTGCTGGCCTTTCCTCTTGGCCGTCTGCTCTGTAGGGCCCTGGATACCCCTCCTTCTGCTCATGTCCATTTCTGGGCCCCAGGGTCCTGGCCTGGGGAGGTGAGATGGGGGAGGCTACAGAAACAGGTGGTATTTGGAGACTAATTAATATTTGTGAATAATAATGCATGCCCAAGGAAAACAAATCAATCTGTGTTTGCGTATTTATGATGAGGACTCAGGAATGATCCCAGCTGTTCTCCAGCCAGGGAAGCCCCCATCACATGGTCCCTTGGGCCCCCACAGAGGCTGGCAGGGTGGTTAGGGTGGGCTGCATGGAGGTGACATGGCTTCTGTGTTTTGCAACGTGAATCTTCTGTGACGTTCATATGCGAATGCTGTGGCTTGGTCTAGTGCCTGCTTCTTCCTTTTCCCTCAAAGCAGTGATTCCCAGGCTCTTTGGTTTCACGAACCAATACAATTTCCAAAAGTACTCAAGAGCCAGACATGGGGTTGGCAATTTTTTATTTTGCCAAGTAAAGGCATTATAAAAAAACAACTGCTATCTGCTGTCCCCATCATTTCATACAGGAAAGAACATTTTAACACCAAGGACAATATTTGAGAATAAAGGACAGTTCTTCCCAAGAAAGGGCAGTTGGCAGCTTTACACTGACGTAGCAAAGGAAAAGGATATATTAAAACCATTCTGAATGTGGAAAAATTGTGTCCAATTATATTCTATAATATCATACCGTATGTAATTGTGTTCCTGCCCAAGTATGTCAGCTTGGCAGAACGGATGGTCCACAGTGCAATTCAGAGACGAGCTTGAGTGCCCCAGTGCTCCGGCCTTGTTTTTATCTCGGTTGTTGAAAGCCCAGGCTCACCCAGCCATGCTGGTGAAGTGGGTGTTCTGCTGTGAACACCGTTGC
Organism: Homo sapiens; assembly: GCF_000001405.40. Lineage (NCBI taxonomy): Eukaryota > Metazoa > Chordata > Mammalia > Primates > Hominidae > Homo > Homo sapiens. The sequence goes on from NC_000001.11 coordinate 43,541,998, forward strand.
ATGGATTCACAAGATGCTCAACCTCGCAACCGCAGTCAGGCTAGCAGCAGCCCTGCCCCTTGTTCCTCTCCCACCTTCTCCCCACAGGTGACCCTGGGACCCTGGGACTCTGGGGGCCAAGGTCTACTCTTGAGGCCAGGCCTGGGGATCCAGGGCTGCTCTGCTCTGATGAGGGAGGCCCTGGAGCTGGGAGTGGCCTGAACCGCCTGACACCAGGGCAGGCTCTGTGCCCGGAGTCTCAGGGCGGGAGGCAGCTTGCTCTCGCCAGGAGCTGGTGAGGGAGAGGCCCTGGCTCGTACAGCTGTGTGGCTGCCAGAGTAGTTGCCTGAGAATGTGTTTGTGTGTGTCCCTTGTGTTTCCCCATCTCCCTGGGCATCTGTGTCCTTGTGTCCATCATGGACCACTGGAAGAAGCTCTCTGTTCTACTTTCTGGATCTGAACAAAGTGTCCTGAGCACCCCAACCCAGATACACAGGGGGTTTCTGGAGGCCCCACGTTGGGGGTAGGGTTACCTGAGGCCCAAGTTCTCCAACACCCATGGCCAGACTCTCATCCAGGCTTGTACCACATGGGTGTCTATTCTGGGAGTTTTACCCCCATGATGGCTCTCCTGGGAGCTCTGCCCCCACCATGAAGTCTGTAACAGCACGTTACACCTCTGCTAATGTATGGGGAGTTGCACCCCTGTAATGTCCTTATCAGGCAGCTGCACTCCATGATGTCTGTACCCTCTGTGTCCGCCCACGTGATGTCTAGACCACACCATTACACCTCCATGATGTCTGCACCTGGGCGTTATACTGCTATGATTACTGCACCAAGGCGGCTACAGGGGATTAAGCCTCTGCTCATTGTACTGGGGAGCTATATCCCATGATGACGGTGCTGTGCATTTTATTTTCATAGCAGGGAGATATGCTCATGCTGGGGGCCTATGTCCCTATGAAGCCTGCCTGGCAGGGGTTGCATGCTTGGAATGCTTGTTCCTGGAAGTTAACCTCTGTGACTATTATATTGTTATACCCGATGATGCCGGTACGAGGCCACTGTGCCCTGTCCTTTGGTGCAACACAGCTGTTGAGTTATAAACTCATGTGTCTCATTCAGGGGCTCCAGGATGGTCCATCAGGGGACCATACCCCCATGATGACCTGGCCTGGCATAGGATACCAGATGTGTCCACAGGCCCAGGGAGGAAGAGCCACTCATAGTCCACCACCTGATGGCCGCTGGGAAGGTGCTCCATCGTTGGCTGCATGTGGCACCATAGCGCAAGCTCAGGCAGGGCCTTGGTGATGTGTGACCTCCATCCCACTGTGGCCTTGCAGGCGTCATTGTGGTCTCAGCCACCTCAGCTCTGGGATCGTGGAGCAGATCCATCCCCAGCTTGGTGTAAATGGGGCTGGACACCTATCAACGTTCTTACTTGAAGAACTGGTGTAAATGAAGGCTGGACACCCTTCACCGTTCTTACTTTGTTGTTCAGCTCCTGTCTCAGATTTTTGGTGGGATCCTGGGACAGGGGACAACTCTCACCCCTTTTCCTTTGTGTTTGGCCCCATCCCACTTTGCATTCCCACCTGCTTTGTCCAACACCTTTGCTCAACTGCTGCCTTCTGACCTCATGAACTTTGATTATCTCAGTTGAGACAAGGGTTCAAATTTCAGAAACGACTGGAGCACCTTTGAGCCCTGCCCATTCCTGGTCACCTGCCCTGTCACCTTGCAAATTCTCTTACTATTGTGGGTCAGCGGGGACCTGGGTCTGATCACAACTCCCCTATCAAAGTCCATGCGTATCACTGTGGGGCCCCAAGGCGTGTTCACCGTCATGCACTCTGCTCTGTTGCGTCTTCACAGCATTCATGAGGGATCGACCACGTCTCACCCCTCTGCCCAGAGCATGGTGTGATCAGAGCTTGTGGGCCCTTCCATACATCCCCTGGTGCCCCCCAGGTGAGGGGTATGGGAGAGAGACCCTGGGGAGCTCACCAGTGGGGCCAGGGAGTGATAGCAGCGTATCTCCCATGTATAGTGCGGCCATGCTAGAGGCTTCACCCAGGTGCCTGCAGGCACTTCAGGCCAGGAGCCTTGGAAGTAAAGGCCTAGGGGCATTCAGCCAGTCCCAGACGCTACTCAGTCTTTTTGTGCATAGCTTCCTGTCTCAAACATCAGCCCCTGAGGTTCACACCCCATCATCCCTACACTTGTTTGGCTCCGGGCTTCTGGGGCAAGGGCAGAAGAGATGTGAGGTTTGAATTCTAGGGTCTAACACCCCATTCCTGGCCACTGAGGCCTCCCTGTGGTTTCTCTGTGAAGTAGGAAGGTGCCATGGGAATGGGTAGGACGAGGGTGGCCAGGCAGGGCAGCAGCAGCTTGTCAAGAGCACGTCCTGGTGAGCACTGAGGGGTTGTGGCTTTGGCTGGAAGCCTCTGATACCTGGAGCCTGTCTTCTGCTAACAAGCCTGTGTTCAGGGGCCTGTGCTCAGCGTGCTCGTGGAGTCTGGCCTCCCACCTTCTCCCTCCCTGCTGGGGAGAGGAGGGGCAACAGAATTCTACCAGGGAGACTCCAGAGTCAGTTGGCTTTGCCCCTCACTGCTCCTTGTCACTGTCTTGTCTCTCTGTCCTCTGTCCCACGTAAGCGTCTCTCTGACCCTGTTTCCCTGTCCTCTTATGGGGGTGAGTTAGAAGCTCAAGGTTTGGACTGGAACACACTGTACATCCTCTGGTCTCACTCACTCCCTGTACCTCCTACTCAGGTTTAGAGAATGGCCCGAAGGCCTCCTGCGCTCTTTCTCCCTCCACCGTGACTGTTGGGCTGTCCTTGTGGGTGCTGGGGAATAAGTGAGGAGCTTGGGTGGTCACTGGGGTCAGAAGGTCTAGGTGGTCATTGCACAGCCCAAGTGGGGGGCTCTGTTGAACTAGGCTCTGGATGGTCAGTGAGGATGACTGGGGGTCAGAAAGCGTCAGGGGTGGGCATTAGGGACAGCAGTAAATACCAGCTAACTGGCTCTGCCCTTCTCTCCATTACAGGTTGATTGTCCTGGGCTGTGGCTGGCTGTGGAGCTAGAGCCCTGGATGGCCCCTGAGCCAGCCCCAGGGAGGACGATGGTGCCCCTTGTGCCTGCACTGGTGATGCTTGGTTTGGTGGCAGGCGCCCATGGTGACAGTAAGTCTGACCCCTCAAGGTACAGATCTCCCAGGTTGAAAGGTGGCATCCTTCCCAGCAGGACTCTGGGATGGGGACAGACCGGCTACTAGGAGAGACAGGGTGGCCAGAAACCCTTTAGACCTTCTGTCCTAGAGAGCCCCCACTGCTTGGAGAGCCTCCTTCTAAGGAATACCTGGGTACTTAGGAGCATCTTTAGGCACCAGAGCGGGGCAGTCGAATCGTGACCCTGTCTTATGGGGCTGGGGTGAGACCTGTCCTGGATTCATGTGGTCATTGTGTGATGTGCGCGTGTGTGTGCTGTGTGCACTGTTGCAGATCTGTGCTGAAGGCACAGTGTGAGCTACAGCCAGGGGTCGGCATGGGAATGGGGGGTGGCACGCAGGGCATGCGTATGGATGTGTGCCCAGGACGCGGGTGTGTCCATAGGCCCAAGGAGGGTCAAAAGCGGGAGCCACCCATAGCTCTTCCCCTACGCTGGACCCTCAGGATCCAAGTATGCAGATCTGAGCCCCTCCTTCTCCTTTCATGGGGACCTTCTAGGCAAAGGAGCATCCCCCCACCCCAGCTCCTCAGACCTGGAAATGGGGGGAAGATTGTGTTTGGCCGGCAGGAAGCTGAGCAACGCCCCTCTGTGTGTGTTTGTGTTGGAGGGAGGTGGAATTGTCCCCATCCAGATCCAACTCCGAACTTTGGTCCCTTTCCTGCTGCCCTTCCCCCTGCCTGGCACTATGAGACTGGCCTCAGCCCGCCCCATCGCCATGGTTACCACTCCTTGGTTACTGGTGGGAGGCGGGGCACAGGGCAGATTTAGCCAATCTGCAGGCTGAGGGGGAGGGGCGAGGTCGGAGCCAAGGTCCCTGGGGGAAGGGGCCGTTCCCAGCCTGTCCAGAGCCCAGGGGTGATCCAGGGCCAACCCTGGGGTCAGCCCACGGGTCACCAGGCCATAGGGCTCCCCCACCTGCCTCCGTATCTCTGGGTACAGATCTCTCCCCTTGCCCCACCAGGGCTCTTTCTCCTAATGGCTCATTAATTATTCAGGAACTGATTCTGGAGTGGGGTGGGACTGGTGTGGTCCCGCCCTTTGTCCTCAAGTGCTGGGTCCTGGGTGGAGCTAGAAGGGAAAGGAGAAGGGGCAGGCATTCCCAAGGGGTGGGGCAAAGGGTCATGGGAGCACCAGGTACCAAAGAGAGGGCTGGGCAGGTGAGAGCAAGGAAAAAAGACAGGTGGGGAATCACATGGGGAAGTGGGGCAGGGGATCTCCAGGCCTGGCTGGAACCTGCAGGGGCAGGTTGGAGTAGAAAGCCTTATCAGGTGTGACCCACATGGTTGGCAGGAAGGTGAAGGCTTGTCCACGTGTGGTCAGTAGCTCTTGGACATTGAAGTACTGTCCTTGCCCTCCCCGCCGACCCAACCCCAGGCACTTTCAGGGCCTTCAGACAGGAGCTCTAGGGCAGGGGAAGGATGGCCCAGTTGGGCTTCAACAGATAACACATCCTGGGAGAAGAGCTGCCCTCCTCCTCCTGCCTCAGACCCAACGCGCCCCAACCTGTACCCCTCACTCTCATCCCCCAGCCTGCTGTCTTCCCGTGTTCTCTCCCGTGAAAGGCATTACCACCCACCCGGTCACCCAAGTCAGAACCTGGGCCTCCTCCAGCCTCCTCCCTCCGTGATATCCCACATCTAATCCATCACCAAGCTCCGTTGCTTCTACCTTCTGAATATCTTTGGAATGCATCCACTTCTCTCTCTACCGCCTTCATCCAAGCCACCCTCGGCTCTTGGGCTTTTGCACGCAACAGCCTCCTGACGGTTTCCCTGCCTCCAGTCTTTTCCTTCCTAATCCATTCTGCATTCCAAAGGTAGAGTCGTGTCACAAGGTGAAAACATCATCCTGTCACTCTTCAGTTTAGAATCCTTCATTCCCTCCCACCCCCAGGCCCCCAGGGTCGTAACCCTTCTATAGGCCCTGCATTATCAAGCTTCTATCAACCTCATCCCTCGCTGTCCCTCCACCCACCCCACTCACCCACCACGCTGACTTCTTTCAGTGGTTCACCAATTCCCAGTAGTAATTGGTAGGGGCAAGGGGGAACAGTTTTTAAAGCAGAGAACCTCCATGCTGGTTCCTTAGGAACCAAAGCCCAAACACCAGGTCTTGACGGTAGAAAGCAGCTGAAGAAGCTGAAATCCTGCCTTCTTCAGGTAGGGGGTTCAGGGGACTCAGGCCTTCTCCCAGGCAGAGAGCCATGGGGCAGGAGCCTGGGCTGGGGGTCAGAGTGACCGAGCCGCAGGAGCCAGGGTCTGTCTTCCAGGCCTGTCTTACACTGCACACAGTTTTGGATCTCTCCCTGCACTGAGGCAGGGCTCAGGCTGAGCTTGGGCAACTACTAGCCAGGGGCAAGTGGCCATACACAGACAGGGCCACTGCAGAAGATAGGGTAGGCACCCCAGAGAATTGACAGCTGGGGCAGTGAAGCGCGGAGTGGACAAATGTGTTTCAATAGGCCTCTTAACGAGACAAATGAATGGGGGCCCTGGCCTCTGAGGGGAGTGGAGGGAAGCGGGTGGAGAAGCAGCTGCCAAGAGTTAGCCCAGAGGCCCCAGTGTCAGTGCCGCACGCGCAGCTCCAGTGGAGATTTGGGCACACATTGGGGTAGGATCTGCTGCAGCGCAGCTTCCCCAGCCAGGCTTTGTGGCTTCTCAGGAGGGGAGGTTGTGGGGCCAGAGGTGTCCTGAGCCAGGGCAGAGGTTTTTGCTGATCTCAAGTGCGTGTCGCGTGCCTGTCTTCAGGCAAGACCTGCAGTGTGGAGGCACAGGCTTGTGAGCAGTGACCACAGGGTGTGCTGGGTAGGTGGCACTGACACAGGCCATGGCAGAAGCATCTTGGGAGAGGAGTTGGGAGGCTTCCTGGAAGAGGGGAGCCCTGAAGGGTGAGTGGACATTTGCTAATGGGGGGGTATTGCATAATGAGGTGGGGTTGCGGGGAAGAAGCACGAATGTGGCTGGGCTTCTCTGTGGAATTCATGGGAGAGCCACAGTGAGAACCCGACAGCATGGGACAGAGGTGGGGTCCGAAGACCAGGTGGGAGTGAGACCCTGGTTATGGCCCATTTACCCAGAATCCTAGGAGCTCAGAGCAGGATGCGTGCTGGCTGGAGGGGTGGGTGGCGGGTGGGTTGACAGAGGTGGGCAGAGGCTGAGGAGCTGGGAGTGTGTCTGTTGTGTCATTTCCCTCCTCCCCAGAGCCTGTGGAGCACACAGGGTCTGTTGTCTGTCGTCATGCTCTCCCCCTCGTTCTATGGGTGGCCTGTCTAGACTCTGCTCCCTGTGGGACTTCCCGCAGATTCCGTTGCTTTCTCTCTCTGGGCCTGTTTTCCTATTGCACAATGGGGATAATCACTCCTACCTGGAAAGGTTAACTGAGGTCACATGGATGAGGTGCCTGGAACCTAGTATGTATTCCCCTTATCTGAGGCCATGACCTGGGGCTCTTGCTCTGTCCCTGGGAACCAGGCTTGTCTCTGAGTGGGCTCCAGGGGGGTACCAGGAACAGTCACAGGAGCTCACTGAGTCCCAGCTTAAGCTGCTCAGACCCAGGGATATCTGTCTCTCCAGAAGCTCCCTGCCCTGCCTTCGCCGGCCCTCATGGCCCTGCCTCCGTGTGTACATGTGTATGTGTATTCCATGGGAAAGGCACAAAATAGCAGTCAGTCTCTCCATAGAAGAGCCTTGATGGTGGCCCAGTTTGACTCTCCCTGGGGCTGGACCCCTACAGCCTCCCTGGGAGGTGGTTGCAGCCCCCTTCCTCCAGCCAGTTCCACTTACTCCTTTCTTAGGCCACTTCCTCCCACCCTGCATGGGCTTGGTGGCTCGAGAATGTTGCCGTCCATACCCCGGGAGCTGTGCTGAAAGGGCTGTGCGGCCCCCGACCACTGTGTGTGTCAGGGAGGGGGCACGCTCTCGTGGGGTGTCAGGCCAGGTGGCAGTGGGTAACTGGCAGAAAGGCCCTCCTGGTGTGCTCTGGTGGCACCCTGTTGACCCAGTCTCAGAAGTTGTGTTCCGACCCTCACTGAACACCAGCTGTGGGTCAGGCACGGGGCAGAGTAGTTCAAGTAGCTTGGTTTGCTGCCTGCCTGGGGACCTGACACTGTGGGATCTGGTCAGTGCTGGGATGGGAAGCTCTGGGCACCTCAGGCCATGGGACACAGAGCAGGCTCCTACAGCAGCTTGGCTGGGTGGGACATGAGAGAGGGGCTGGGCTGGGCACACTCAAAGGCAGGGAGGAGTCTGAGGGCCTGGCCTGTCAGGGTGGCCTAGGTGGTGGGTCCAAGCTGTGTGCTCTGCACAGTGCTAGGCCTGTACTATAGTAGGTGCTCAAAAAATACTTGTTGAAAGAGTAAAGAAGCCGGGTGTGGTGGCTCATACCCGTAATCCCAACACTTTGGGAGGCCAAGGCAGGTGGATCGCCAGAGCTCAGGAGTTTGAGACCAGCCTGGCAATGTGGTGAAACCCTGTCTTTACCAAAAATACAAAAAATTAGCCAGGCATGGTGGTGTGCACCTGTGGTCCCAGCTACTCGGGAGGCTGAGGTGGGAGGATTGCTTGAGCCTAGGAGGTGGAGGCGGAGGTTACAGTGAGCTGAGATTGTGCCACTTGTACTCCAACCTGGGTGACAAAGTGAGACCCCCCTCTCAAAAAAAAAAAAGACTAAAGAAAAGTGAGCCTGAGAGCTTAGGAGGAGCACATTTCAGAGGGGAACGGAGAGAGGAACATCAGGCCCGTTGGTAGCTGAGGAGAGGTGCGGTTAGATCTGTGCTCCCCAAAGATCCTCTGCTGAACATAAGGGGCAACGCCTTGTCTCCTGTGCTGTGTCCTGCGGGTGGAGGTGGATTGGAGGGAAGCGGAGGGCGAGGCCTGGTTGAGGGGCGGGGCCTGCCTGTCTGGTCCCCCGGGCTGCCTTGGGCCAGCTTGGCCTAGTCTGTTGGGTGGGCGGGCAGGGTGCAGGCTCCTCTCCAGCCTCCAAGGGAGGGGAGTTGTTCTGCCTCCTCGATAGCCCCAGGCCTTGGGCACAGCCCAGCCTCCCACGGCTCTTGGGCCCTCCTCCTTCCAGGCCGCCGGTGACCCACACCTGGCTCTCCTCCCCGGCGTCTCCTCTCCGCTTCTTTGTTTGGAGCGGAGGCCCCGCCCCACCCCGCCCCCAGGCGCACTCGCCCGGCCATTCCGGTTCAGCCGGTTCCAGCCCCCAGTTTCTGCCGCTGCAGGTCCCGGCAGGAGCTGGAGGGGCACTTTCTCCCTGGGTTTCTCTTCCCTGGTGCAGCAGGGGCCGCGGTCCTCATCCTCCTGGTTCCTCAGTTCGGTCCTTCTTTCATTCTCCACCCCTGGGTGCCAGGAACTGGGTCAGACACTGGGACAGGAATCCAGACAGGCATGCTATCTGCCCTGCCCAGGGTTATGTTCTAGGAGGGGAAGCAGCCATTAATCAAACACCAAAAATGTGGAAAAGTAATAATCTCACACGTGTGCATAATAAACTGTGAGTGAAAGTTATAAGCTCGGCAGGTAGGTAATAAGCTAGGAGCAGTGCTGTGGGAGGCAAGGGAGTTACCCGGGAGTTTCAAACTAGGAACTGAGCTCATAGGTTGGGGGCAGGGGGACTGGAGAAGGCAGTGATACTTAAATGGAGAGCAGAAGGATGAATGGAAGTTAGAGTGTATGGCGGAGGTTGGCAGAAGCAGCAGCTTATGCAAAGGCCCTGTGGCTGCAGGGAACATGACGTTGCTCTTTAGAGGAGCCAAAGCTGGGGCTCTGGGGAGAGCAGCTGGGTCAGACCCCGCGGCTTTGTCTGCCATAACAGGTGTTTGGAGAGTGATTCGGCAGGTCTTTGGAGGGTTTTGATAGGGCGGGGTGTCGGGGGAGGCTGTCAGCTCACTCTGGACACTGAGTAGAGAACAGACGGGAGGCGTGGGGCAGGCCTGGAGGCAGGGGCTTCCGCGTGTTAGGCCAGTGGAGTGCCAGTCAAGGGAAGGTGGTATCTGGACTAGGGTGTGGCAGCGCAGGTGGAGAACCCTGAGCTGCTTTGTGGAGGGCTTCAAGTGTGGGGGAAGAGTGCACGGTATGGGGGTGGGGGACAGGAGACACCCCCAGTGGAGCCTGAGCAGGAGAGTCGTGTCTGAGAGGGTCTGTCTGGAAGGCGCAACAGAGGCCAACTTTGCAGACAGCTGCAGTCGGGAGAGCCTGGAGCCTCCTTCAAAGGGCATTCAGGGGAAGGGCAAGGCACGCTGGGGGGTTCTGGACCTTCTGTGGTGTCTTCTTGTCTTTCTGGTCCCTACAGCCTCCCTGAGCTGGCTGCCCGAGCCTGCCCTAGGCACTCTAAGAACATAGTCAGTCCCAAGGTCTCCCTCCAGGGAAGGCCGTAGGTGAGCTTAGGAGTGAGAAGGCTGGATCAAAGCCTGGCTCCATGCCTGCATCCCTCTGACTTGCCAGTCATTTCACCCTCCGAGCCTCTATTTCCCCACCTCTTAAATGGGGATAATAATACTACCTACCTTATGGGATTGCGGTAAGACTGATAATGCTGGTACGAGTGACAGCTTCCCTCATGGAAGGCCCACCACGTAAAGCAGTTTACAGCCATCTCATTCCATCTATGACAGAATCCTGTGTCACTGTTTTGGAGATGGGAAAAAAGAGGCTCAGAGATGGTGAGTGACTTGCATAATAATTACATAAAACCCCCAGAGCCCCTGGCCCCTGGAGTTCTCAAAAGTTCCTTCTCTGTTGGTACCTGCAGCTGCCACTCCCTACCCCGCTCCCATAGACCCTCTCCTCCTTGGAGACTCTGCCCCATCTGCCGTCCCTTCTCTGCTGGATCAACACCTTTTCCCTCTCTGCTGGCTCCCATCAGTATTTAAACATTGCCTTTCATATCTGTCTTCAAGAAAAAAAGAAAAAAAAAATTCACAAACCTCCCTTCCCGCCTCATCCTTTCCAGCTGCTGGCTGTATAGTCACCTGTACTTCCCTCTCTCCCTCATCGCCTCCCAGTCATTCTTTGGCCTTCTTTGGTCTGGCTTTGGCCCCCACCCACCACTCCACTGACTCTGTTCTTGTCAAGGTCCCTGACAATCTTGTGTGAACTGTTTTGTACCAGGTGTTTGACAGTCAAACATGCCTGAATTCAGGTCCCAGATGTGCCCCTCACTGGCATGTGATCTTGGACAAGTGACTTGACCCCTCTGAGCCTGTAAACTGAGGATAATAGCAATGAAGGACTAAAGATAAAGAACCTGGTGCAGAGTGGGTGCTTGGCAAAGGATTGTCATCATCGCACACGTTTCTGTGCCAGGGACCAGGCTGGGCCTGGGCTCCTGGGGACCAAACAGGTGGTCTGAAAGGTCATTTCTCACAGCACTAGCCCTTTTTGGAGCTGTTCATTGGTCTGATTAATAGGAAATGGATCAGCTGTCAAGATTAACGAGCTATTGCTACAAGATTGTAGCAAATGGGTTGGGCTTCTCTGGGTTCATGACCCTAGGTGGTTGAATTCTTAGGGATAGGGGCTGTGGACTGGCCCTGGTATGTGTACTGAGGTGATGAGGGTGTGGCAGTGCCATGTCTGAGCCCCTACCTTTCTTCTCCTCCCTCTGCCTCCCTGTGGACACCTTGAGGAGACTGTCAGAAGGCAATAACTAAGTCGGGGGGGAGGGATGGGAGAGGCAGATTTACAGGAAAGCATTCACCTGGGAAGATATCCAGAGAGACTTAGGAACTGGACTGTCTAGGCCTTTGGGACTGCTGCTGGTATGTGGGGGCTGGGAGAGAGGGAGGAGTCTCGGTTCCTGGCCGGAGCCCCGGGGTGGATGGTGGTGCCATCACTGAGATGGAGAGCAGGGGGAGGGACAACTCTCAGGGAGAGCTGGAGCTCTTCCCAGCAGCTCTCCAGCACGCCTTTTTCCTGGAGCTTGGAATTGATGTGGGGCGGGCAACAGAAGGGTGCAGTGGTAGTGTGAACTCCAGACTTGGAACACCTGGGTTCAGATCTTAGCTCTACCACTTACCAGCTGTGTCATATGGGACAAATCCCTTAACCTCTCTGGGCCTCTAGAAACAGATACAGTTATAGCACTCACCTCATATGCTTAACAGAGTTAAAAAATGTTAAACTCTCTGAACAGTGCCTGGCACATACTAAGCGCTACATAAAGGTGAGGTGTCCTTGTTTTCTTTGTAGGTCTTTCTCTCTGCCCCCATGACTGCCACCTTCCTCACTGGCCATTCCTATAGTGACTGTGCTGTGGTGACTTGGTGTCTCCATCTCTTCCAGGCAAACCTGTCTTCATTAAAGTCCCTGAGGACCAGACTGGGCTGTCAGGAGGGGTAGCCTCCTTCGTGTGCCAAGCTACAGGAGAACCCAAGCCGCGCATCACATGGATGAAGAAGGGGAAGAAAGTCAGCTCCCAGCGCTTCGAGGTGCGTCTGTGGTGGGAAGGGGTCGGCAGGGCTCAGGGTCTGCCCACACTCTCTCCTTTCAGTGTCCCTCCTCATGGACCTTTTGGAGGTGGGAGGACAACTGACCCTGAGCAGGCTCCTGTGTCCTGAGTAGGCTGTGACCCCATGTCTGTCCTCTGACAGGTCATTGAGTTTGATGATGGGGCAGGGTCAGTGCTTCGGATCCAGCCATTGCGGGTGCAGCGAGATGAAGCCATCTATGAGTGTACAGCTACTAACAGCCTGGGTGAGATCAACACTAGTGCCAAGCTCTCAGTGCTCGAAGGTACGTGCTAGGGAGACGTGGCACGGTGGGCTGCCGGGCTGAGGCGTGGGAAGAGCCAGCCAGCCCTGATCCTGTCCTGGGCCCATGTGCATTTGGCAGAAAGGAGGACTGGCCACCTCGGGGTCAGTGAAAGTCAGTGGTGGACAGGGATAGTCATTGGATCTGGCCTGGATTGTGCGGCTTATGCTGAGGCCAGCCATGTGGGGCATGATGCCTTTGTATTCTCCTGCTGAGCCGGGTCGTTGGTTGGGTGGGGTCTGGGGTCTGACTTGAGGTGTGGAGCTGCAGCTGTGTATCCCTTGGGTTACGTGGTTATGGCTGTGGCTGTTTGGCAGTGAACCGGATTTCCATGTGGAGCCTGGCCGTAGGTGTCAGGCAGGTGTGTTCCTTGTTGCCCCTGTGAGCTGAGGGCTGGGGCTCTGTCCGTGGATTTTAGTGTCTTCTCTCACTTGGTGGCTTCTCCATTCATTCACAAACACTCCCTGGACCACCTTGAAGTCCTCTGAGCACCGAGGAGGAGGAAGCTGTGTCTAAGCCAAGTCTTGAGGACAGGTGGGAGTTGGGGGTGGCAGTTGGCAGCTAGGCAGGTGCCCAGGCCCAGAAGCAAGAGAGGATGGAGCTTTCAGAGAGCTCTGAGTAGTTCAATTTGGGTTTTCTGGAGGGCAGAGGGGGAGCTAGAGAGCACAGGAAGAAGGAGAAAGCAATTCAGCATGAGTCTGGAGAGGTTTGGAGGGCAGATTACACAGGATCTGGCTGAGAAATGAACACTCTCCTAGGGACATAGGAAGCCACAAACAAGGCGGGGGTGACATGATCAGACCCCAGCCACAACTGATTCATCAGTCTGAATGTGTTTATGTTTTCAAAATATAGCATCGATTGTTGCTTGCTTTTTTTTCTTTTCTTTCTTTCTTTCTTTTTTTTTTTTTGAGATGCAGTCTCACTCTTGTTGCCCAGGCTGGAGTGCAATGGTGTGATCTCAGCTCACTGCAACCTCTGCCTCCCGGGTTCAAGCGATTCTCCTGCCCGGCCTCCCAAGTAGCTGGGATTACAGGCATGCGCCACCATGCCTGGCTAATTTTGTATTATTAGTAGAGATGGAGTTTTACCATGTTGGTCAGGCTGGTCTCAAACTCCTGACCTCAGGTGATCCGCCTGCCTCAGCCTCCCAAACTGCTGGGATTACAGGTGTGAGCCACCGCACCCGGGCCGATTGTTGCTTTCTTTTTAAGAATGTGATGTCGATACCTGTTCCTTTTTGAAAAATTGGAAAGTATAGAATAGCACAGAGGAAAAAATTAAAATGTCTCAGTTTACCTCTAGTAATAACATTTGGTTACTTACTCGTGGCCCATTTTCTGTGCATACATATATATGTGTGTGTGTGAACAGAAATGGGACCACATACTGTCCGATGATTTGTAGACTGCTTTAAAAACAAACAAAAAAAAATATGGCTAACATCTTCCTTGCCACTAAATATTCTTCTGTATCATTATTCTTTTTTTTTTTTTTTTTTTTTGAGACGGAGTCTAGCTCTGTCACCCAGCCTGGAGTCCCGTGGTGCCATCTTGGCTCACTGCAGCCTCTGCCTCCTGGGTTCAAGCGATTCTCCTGGCTCAGCCTCCCGAGTAGCTGGGACTACAGGTGCGCACCACCACTCGTGACTAATTTTTGTATTTTTAGTAAAGACGGGGTTTCACCATATTGAACAGGCTGGTCTGGAACTCCTGACCTCGTGATCCGCCCACCTTGGCCTCCCAAAGTGCTGGGATTACAGGCGTGAGCCACCACGTCCAGCCTGTATCATTATCCTTAATGGCTATGGGTAAGCTGTCACATGCAAGTACCCTAATTTATTTAGCCATTCCCTTATTGTTGGACACATATGTTCTCAGTTTTTTCGTTTCTATAAATAAGGTGCCATACACGTCGTTGCAGATGGATGTGTTCACCTTCCTGATTATTCCCTTATTCTAGGTTCATGGAAGTGGAATTGCTGAGTCAAAGGGCACATGCATTTTTAAGCCTTTTGATATTTCCAGAAGATTGTGTCAATTCATACTCCTGCCAAGCAGGGCAGAAGAGGGCCTCTTTCCTGCACATCTTCCCCACTGTTGGGAAATATCTTCAAAAAAATATTTTTTGCCAAGTTAATAGGCAAAAAATGGCATCTCAATTTAATTTGCATTTCTTTGATTACAAGAACAGCTGCACATGTTTTCACATTGGCCATTTTTACGCTGTGGCTTTATCTGTTCACACACACATCTCCATTCAGTTACTCTTTTTGTTGTTGTTGTTGTTGTTTGGTTTTGGGGGGTTTTTTAGTTTTGTTTGAGACAGAGTCTCACTCTGTTGCCAGGCTGGAGTGCAGTGGTGAGATCTCGGCTCACTGCAACCTCCACCTCCCGAGTTCAAGTGATTGTCCTGCCTCAGCCTCCCAAGTAGCTGGGACTACTGGCAGGTGCCACCACGCCCAGCTAATGTTTGTATTTTTAGTAGAGACGGGGTTTCACCATGTTGGCCAGGCTGGTCTCGAACTCCTGACCTCGCCCGCCTTGGCCTCCCAAAGTGCTGGGATTACAGGCCTGAGGCACTGCGTCCAGTGTCGGTTACTGTTTTGCATCTGTGTCTTGTATGAGTCCGTGGGCTCTACAAGCTTAGAGGAGCCATAGAGGACAGTGGTTAAGACTCTGGACCACTCACTTCTCGTGTGTCTTTGGGTTAGTAACTATGCCTCTGACCCTCATTTGCTCCATCTGTAAATGGATATAATGCCTACCACCCAAGCTGGTTTGGAAGATTGAATGCTGTGTATGAAGCGCTTCCCAGGAGTGTGGTGGTGGTTGCTGTGGGGCTGGAAGCTGTACATCTTGAGGCCTCACCACGTGAGCTGAAGGTGGTTGGCCTCCGTGCTGCGTGGCATCATCCGGGTGATGCAGCTCCACTGCCTGCTCCCACGGGGGGACATACCTGTGCAATAGGAACTCAGAGAACAGGCCCTGGGCCAGCATCACTGATTGCTGAGTGTTCTCAGGCTCCTCCCTGCCACTTCTGACCTGTTTCCCCACTCGTGACCTGGGGGCAAGTATTTCAATGCTGCCCAGTCCTCCTATTGGCAGCTGTCCTAGCAGGGAGCCATCTGCCCTGCCCTGGCATTTGGGAGGTGGCTGAAGGACCAGAGGCCCCAGAGGGCTTCTTTTCAGGCTCTCAGATTGGGGAACAGGGCCTCCTTGTTAGTATTGAAAGAGGAGTCCTTCAAAAGCGCCTAAGCCCCAGGTCCTGGGTCAGGAGCCCTCTTACCTCTGCCACTGCCCTGGGCAGCCTTACCTTTCAAAGGGTTGAGGAGGATGGAGGTGGTCTTTCAGGCCTGGGGTGAGGAGGACGGACTTCAGACTGACAGGAGGGGCTGGGTGTGGTGGCTCACGCCTGTAATCCCAGCACTTTGGGAGGCAGAGGCCTGCACATCACTTGAGGTCAGGAGTTCGAGACCAGCCTGGCCAACATGGCAAAACCCCATCTCTACCAAAAAATACAAAATTAACTGGGCGTGGTGGCGCACGCCTGTAGTCCCAGCTACTTGGGAGGCTGAGGCAGGAGAATTGCTTGAACCCAGGAGGAGGAGGTTGCAGTGAGCTGAGATTGCGCCACTGCACTCCAGCCTGGGCGACAGGAGACTCCATCTCAAAAAAAAAAAAAAAAAAGAGGACCTGCAGGAGGTGCCTCCGTTTGGTTTCTCTACCAGGGGCCAGCAGTATATGTTTGCGCTTCTGGGGTGTGAGAAGTGTCTGATGAGGCTGGGGAGAGTGTGGCGCAAGTACCCAGACCCTGTCCATGCTCCGGGGAAGGGTGTGGAGCTGTGGGCCTGAGTGAGCCCCTCCTGCTTCTGAAACATAGCACCAGGAAGACAAAATGCTGACTTATCCTGCTGGTCTGTATAACCTTGGCCAGCATTGGGCTTGACAGAAAGGCGTGCCGCAGGAGGGCCAGAGGGAAGCAGCCCAGAGGGTGAACACCCGCCCCCTGCCCCGCCTCACCCCACCCCTCCCCTCCCTCCTAGGAGGATCAAGAAAGCTGGGTGCCTGCAGGAACTGGGTGAAAGGATGGTTGGACTTGGACTGGAGCTCTGGGGTGGGGCCGGCAGGAGCCAGGGCCATTCTTGGGAGGCCACCACAGGGTACGAGGAGGGCTGGGGAGGGGATGGAGCTAGTTGGGGTCGGGGAAGTAAGAGTCCTTCCTGAGTTGCACACAGCTCTCCCTGTGAGCTGGTCTCCTTGGAGAATGGCTGAGGGCTGTCTGGGGTGAACTGGCTCAGGTGAAGATCAGTGTGCCCCCAAAAAGGAGTCCAGGCCTGCAGTCTGTTCTGTGCCCTCTGCCTTTGCCTCATGTCACACCAGGCCCAACTGCTGTGGCTCCAGGGCCACTCCCACCACAGCCCGTGGGAGTGCCCCCCCAAATCCCCCACAGCCGTGCCCTTTGCACCTCGCATCTGAGCAGGATTGTTATTCCCAGTGTGGCCTCCCCTTGACACCCCCGCCAGGACTGCATACGAGGTGGGGGTGCCCAGCACAAGCTGGCCGGGGTGAGCCTGTCCTGGCTGTGATGAGCGTGGGGCCCGCCGCCCAGCGTTCCTGTCTGAGTGGTAATTGAAGCCATTAGCGCGCCAGCCTCTCCCTCGCCGGGTAATGGCAGGAAAAGCTCTTCTCGCTCCGCACTCTTGAGGCGGCGGCTGAATCACTCCCCCTCCAACCCGCCCGCTGCCGCCACTGAGACAGGGAATCTGACATTTTCCCTCACCAGGGAGGGGGAGCCCTGGGGGAGGGGAGGGAGGCAGGCCTGGATTCCTGGCCTTTCCCTCCAGGAGGTTGAGGGGCAGTGAAGGTCTTGGAGCTCAGTCTGTAAGTCATGGATTCACCTGGGGCCGCAGATTTCAGGCCTGGAAGGACTGGCCGGGAAAGCCCAGGAGGCCGCCAGACATTCAGTGGTGTGGGGAGGGCACTGATGACTTTGGGTAGGTTCTGGGAGGGACAAGGAGGCGGGGAGAAGAAAGAAGCTGTGGAGCAGAGATGAGCTGTTTTGGACTTCTCCTGGGGGGCTTAGCTCCAAGGGTTCTGAGTACAGGTAGCATTACTTGTCTTGGGGTCATTGATAGGGCAGATAACGTGCACTGTTCGTGTGGTGTGGGTGCCCTGTGTGCCATGTTTAAGGCAGTGTTTGTGTGAAGTGTGTGGTGCAGTGTGTGCAGCAGGGGTGCTGCCTTGCAAGCTGTGCGCACAGAACGGGGTGTGCAGCGGTCAGCGCACACGTTACCATCAGGCAGTGGGGAAGGGGCAGTGTGTGCAGGAGGCACTGCATGCTGTATGGGCTGTGTATGCAGCGCGCAGTGTTTGTGTGCACGTGTGTGCGTCAGGCAGTGCGTGGTGTGGTGGTAAGCAGGTAGTGAGTACCTTATGGGCTATGTATACAGCAAGGCATATGCATCAGGCAGTGTGTGGGCAGTAGGCAGTGTGTGTGTGTGTTATCAGGCAGTATATGTGTGCGGTGTGCCGTGCGGCAGGCTACCTGTGTTTATATCGGGTAGTGTGTGTGTGTTTATGTGCAGCAAGGGTGTGCAGTAGGTGTGCAGTAGACTGTGTGCAGCAGGCGTGTGTGTGTGTACAGCAGGTGGTGTGCAGCAGGCAGTGTGTGTATGTATCAGGCGGGGTGTGGTGTGTGTTTATGTGCAGCATGCGGCGAGTACTTTGTGTGGTGTACAGCAGGTGGTGTGCGGCAGGCTGTGTGTATGTATCAGGCTCTGTGTGTGTGTGTGTGTGTTTGTACAGCAGGTGGTGTGCAGCAGGCAGTGTGTTTATCAGGCAGTGTGTGGTGTGTGTGTGCATCTTTATGTGCAGCGAGTAGTTTGTGGGGTGTGCAGCAGGTGGTGTGTAGCAGGCTATGTATGTATCAGGCTGTGTGTGTGTGTGCGCGCGTGTGTACAGCAGGTGGTGTGTAGCAAGCTGTGTGTATGTGTCAGGCAGTGTGTTTATGTGTGTGTGTCCAGCAGGTGGTGTGTAGCAGGCTGTGTATGTATCAGGCAGTGTGTGTGTGCGCAGCGGGTAGTTTGCAGGGGTGTACAGCAAGCAGTGTGCATGGTATGTACAGCAGATGGTGTGCAGCAGGCAGTGTGTGTGTGTGTGTGTGTACAATAGGTGGCATGCAGTGGGCAGTGCATTTGTGTGCATGCAGCAGGCTGTGGTGTGTACAGCAGGTGGTGTGCAGCAGACTGTGTGTTTGTATGCATCAGGCCGTGTGTGTGTGCAGCAGGCAGTGTGTGTGTGTGTACATGCGCACACGCAACAGGCACTATATTTGTGCAGCAGGCCATGTGTGTGGTGCATACAGCAGGTGGTGTGCAGCAGGCTGTGTGCTTGTACATGCAGCACATAGTGTATGTGTGTTGATGTCAGACAATGCATGTGCATGTGTGTGGAGTGCACAGCAGGTGATGTGCAGCAGGCTGTGTGTGTAGGTGTGCCTCGGGAGTGTGTGGGGGTGGGAGTGGACAGCAGGTGGTGTGTGCCTTACAACCTGTGTGGGCAGCAGCAGGAGTGGGCAGCAAGCAGCCCGAGCTGAAGTGTGGTGGGGTCAGTCTGGCACTGGCAGGAGGTCGGAGATGCTGTGTCTGGGCTCATTGTCTCTGGGACCCCGCAGGATCCCTGTTTGGAGCTGTTGGTCCGCCAGGAAGTTCGACAGAGTTGGATGTGGCCAGAATGGTCTGGCTGAGCTGTTCTCAGCACCTGTTGTGGTCGACCTCAGCAGCTCCTCTGTAGCCAGGCCAGGAGGTGGGGTGCACCAGATAGGGATCCTGCCCAGACCTGCCTGCAGGAGGTCTTGGGACCCTTTCCTCTCCCTCCCCTACCCCACCAAGCCCACAGTCCCTTCTGTCTGTTCCCACCTGGCCTCAGTGTCCAGCCAGCACCATACCACCTATGCCATGCGGGCCAGGGAATCCAGGTGTCTCGATGGAGTGCCTGGTGTTGCCAGCCTTGGAGCAGGCTCTGGGGAAGGGCTGTCCGGCACATGAAGTAGTGACCAGGGTGGGGGCTAATCAGTGCTGTACTGGGCTTGGACCTCTGGGTTCTGCAGGAGCTCTGACCCTGGCTGGCTTTGGGGCTCGTGGGATGACGAAGGACCTCTTGATATACCCCCTGACCACTCCACAACACAGTCCTTTTGGAAATAGCCCTAGAGACAGAGGGTCAATGATAGACATATGACCCTGTCCTGAGGTATCCTGGGCTGGGCTGGAACTGGAGCAGAGCTGGTGAGGGAGCTTACATTTGCAAGATGGGTACATGTGTGTTTTCTCAAGGAGTCATCTCTCCCTGCTCCACCTCCTTCCCTGCTCCAAACCTGTATATTCCTTCCACCCATGGTGGAATGACTTGGCCCAGGCCTGACTTTGATGGCTGGGGAGTTGGGTAAAGGGCTATTGCAGGCACAAGATGGCTTCCCAAGTGGCAAGATGTGATCCCTTTCTATTGTCTACATGTGTGTCTGGGGTAACAGTCTGCTTTGGCAGAAGCTGGGGCTGTCAACTACCTGATTTGCAGCACAGAGGATGTAGAAGTGGCCCCAGAACCTGGAACCCAAGCCAGCTTCTACCTCTCCCTTAGCAACTGAGGCATGACCTGTATACCCCTGGTCCAGCTGCTGTAGTCCTCTGTGACCTGTCCTTACACCCCCATGACTGCAGTAGATTTCAGATCCACGCAGACATGAGGTTCTACAATCATTTCCTGGAGGTTCTAGGCCTCAGGGATGGGGATGGGAGAGGTATTAAGTAAGTTCTCCTGTTTTTATTAGCTGTGATCTGCCTTGAGGCGCCCAAGTGGATTCCCTTCCGAATGGGTGCTCCTGTTTAGTAGGTGGTACTCCTGCCTCTTCTGTTAGCCATGGACACTGGGCACTTCCCCTGTGCCCAGCCTGCCCCCCTGCCCCTATACTCACAGGTACTTGTAAGGCCCACTGTACGTGTTCCCTAGCCTCATGACCACGGTGGAGCCAATGGCTCTGGGAACAGGCTCACCAGGATGGCGGTTTAAATGCCCAAATGCCCTGTGCATGCACATTCTCCATCCTTGGTAAGGTGCTCCCTCCTACTGGTTTGCTTGCTGGGGAGAGAGGACTTGTTTTTTTTTTTGAGATGGTGTCTGACTCTGTGGCCCAGACTGGAGTGCGGTGGCACAATCTCAGCTCACTGCAACTTCCGCCTCCCGGGTTCAGATGATTCTCCTGCCTCAGCCTTCCGAGCAGCTGGGACTACAGGCACGCGCCACCACACCTGACTAATTTTTTGTATTTTTAGTAGAGATGGGGTTTCACCGTGTTAGCCAGGATGGTCTTGACCTCCTGACCTCATGATCCACCCGCCTCAGCCTCCCAAAGTGCTGGGATTATAGGCGTGAGCCACCGCGCCTGGCCCTGAGAGGACTTTTTTGAAACGGAGTCTCACTCTGCCACCCAGGCTGGAGTGCAGTGGCGTGATCTCGGCTCACTGCAACCTCTGCCTCCTGGGTTGAAGCAATTCTCATGTCTCAGCCTCCCGAATAGCTTGGGATTACAGGCATGGACCACCACGCCCGGCTAATTTTTTGTATTTTTAGTAGAGATGGGGTTTCACGAAACATGTTGGCCAGGCTGGTCTTGAACTCCTGACCTCAAGTGATTTGCCCGTTTTGGCCTCCCAGAGTGCTGGGATTACAGGCATGAGCCACTGCTCCTGGCCAAATTTTAATCAGAGCAATGACGTGATCAAACTTAAGCTTCAGAAAGGTCCGTGTGGGTGCATAGTGGGGGCTGGAAGGAAACCAATGACAGGTTGTTGCAGTCCAGGTGAGTGATGGCATTGGCGCAAATCTGGGTATGGGTAGGGGAAGATAGGGGAGCAGATCACTAGAAGGTTAGAAAGAGGCCGGGCACGGTGGATCATGCCTATAATCCCAGCGCTTTGGGAGGCCAAGGTGGGCAGATCACTTGAGGTCGGGAGTTCGAGACCAGCCTGGCCAACATAGTGAAACCCCGTCTCTACTAAAACTGTAAAAATTAGCTGGGTGTGGTGGCAGGAGCCTGTAATCCCAGCTACTCTGGAGGCTGAGGCATAAGAATTGCTTGAACCCGGGAGGCAGAGGTTGCAGTGATATGAGATGGCGCCACTGCACTTCAGCCTAGGCGACCAAGCGAGACTCCATCTCAAAAAAAAAAAAAAAAATAAGATTAGAAAGAGTAGAGGCCTGCCTGGCTACCTGTAGGATTGGGGAGGTGCAAGGCTCCAGGTTCCTGGCTCTGGGGCTGGGTAGGTGGGGGTGCCATTTCTAAGATTCATGTACTAGAGGAGGACCAGGTTTGAGGAGGCGAGTTGGTGAGTCCAGTTAGAAATCTGTTGAGCCAGGTGTGCGCAGGCATCCAGGGAGGTGTCAAAGAGGCCTCGTACACATTTGCCTGGCACTCCGGGGGACATCTGAAGTTGGAATCTTACAGGCTGAGAAATAGCAAATCTCAGGAGGCCAGAGCCAGGACAGAAGGAGCCCCAGGAACCGACTCTCCATGTTGGGAGGAGGTTCCTGAGAGACTGGAGGGAAACTGGGAGTGTGTGAGGTCAAGAAATGCCAAGAGAAAAAAGTGTGCGAAGGAGGAGGAGTGGTCAGCAGGGCGGGGTGCTGCCGAGAGGCCCGGCATGTGTCCTTAACAGTTAGTTCCGTGGAGCCATTGTTGGCTTTGGTGTTGGGAGACAGCAGGGCTGAGAAGTGAGAGGGAGGCTATCAGTGTCTGTAGTGACTGGAAGGGCCCGAACCTAGGGAGTGAATGGATGACAAGAGTCTCCCTGGAGTAGGACTGAGGTTGGGGAGCCACTGAAGGAGAGTCCAGTGTGGGCCCGAGTCTGGAACTCCAGTGTGGGTCGGGTGTATGCGCAGGGCATGGCCCCTGGGTTCTTGTGGTGGGGAGGCCTCAACTGGGTTGAGTAGGGCGATGTGGGGTGCCAGGGAAACCCGAGGAAGGAGGGGATGACTGGGAGGGGGACGCCGTGCCTGCCAACAGGCCCCAAACAGCTCAGATTGAAAAACAAAACAGGCTTTTAAGATGCCAAGTTTGATGAAATCTGAGTGCTGGAAGAGGTGGGAGTTTGCTCTTGGAAAAACAGCTGAAAATCGAGACTCAAAGCTGCGAAGGGAGATGGGCCCAAGGCTCCCCAGGCCCCCCTTACTGCCTGGAAGCCTGGGGGTGGGGCTGGGCTCTCTGGGAGAGTGTGGGAGCGTGCAGATCTGGCAGCCTTCGACTTTTGGAAGGCGTCTGGCTCTGGCCCTGCTGAGGATGGAGCTGCTGGAGGTGGCCTTGGCTTCTGTGGAGCGGCTGAAGGGCAGGGGGAGCCAGCAGCCCTGCCACCTACGAGGTTCCTTCATGTGTCTCGTCCCTGCATGTGTCTCCAGGCGCACGTGTTTTGGCATAGGTGTGTCTGGCTGTGCATGTCTCCACATGTGTGTTTGCGTGTCTCTGTGTGCACCGCCTCTGGATCTGCTTGCATGCGCCTGTTTCCACAGGTGCTAGTCACTGCAGGTGCCCCTCCACATGCACATGTAGGTTTCTATTTTTACACCTGTCTGTTTCTCCATGTATATTTCTGTGGGTTCCTGGCTGTGCATGTTTCTATGGTGTCTGTGTGTTGAGAGGCAGGGTGAGGCCAGGCCCAACACTCAAGCTTAGGGGAGGCGGTCAGGCTCACAGACGGTGCCACCCCAGGGGGCCTGTGTCTGTGTGTGCGGGTGCGTGCCTGCGTTTGCACGGAGACGCCACGAAGCTGGGTAAACATGGGTGAAAAGGTCATACTGACAGACGGTGCTGCCTGCCCCAGGACCCTGCAAGGCGTCTCCATCTGTCAGCTTCCCTGGTGCAGCCCCCTCCCTCTGGCCCAGAGACTCACCCTCAGGCGTCCAAGGCTGAGCTGGACAAAGAGACCTGTGTGTACTTTGTAGGGGGCCTCAGCAGCCTCCACCCCCATCTTAGGCTCCTCTGTCAGGACCCCAACACATGCCCCAGCTCCCACCAGACTCGCCTTGGTACTGTCATCCCACCACCTTCCCCCACAACAGCCTTTACAAAGGCAGTTTTCCCCTCCTCCCTGGAAAGCTTTCTGCCTCCCATGCTCATGTGTTTCCTGTTCTTGAATCTCCCTCCTCCAGGAAGCCACCAAGATAGCAAGTGAGCTGTGGAGTCAAACCGATCAGCTCCAACACTGCTGTGGGAGGTTAGCCAAGCGCTCATCCACTTCTGAACCTTGGATTCCCACCATCGACCCCCGACCCTCCCCTCGCTAGGGCTTGTCATCGTCTTCTGCCCATGGGGCAACCAAACCTCTCCACGGAAGGGGACAGGTCTCCTTGCTGCAGTGGGTAAAGGCCAGCGCAGTTAGGTGCAGGAGGCATTCACACACACGTGCACACTCCCCACCTTGCACACATATCTGCGTGAGCCGGGGAGACCCTAGGGAATGTGTGTGCATGTTGTCTATGCATGCGGGTAGAATCCGCAAACGGTGTGGAGACTCGGGCTCTTGGGTACCTCTGAAGGCCCCTGAAGTCCCCATGGGCTTCTCCTTCCGTCCAGGGCACCCTCTTATCAGGCCATGGCCCTGAGACGCGTAGTGCAGACGCCCCCGGCGCTGAGGCTGAGGAGGCAGATGGCCCCTCCCCGCACTGTGCAGGGCACCCGGTTGGGGGTGGAGGGGAGGGCCGCGTCGGTGAAGCGGGAAAGCCTAGTGGGAGGATTCCCTGGAGCTGAGGAGCCGGGGCCTGGGAAGGGGCGCAGAGGCTCCACCCAGGCGGGGGCGGGAAGGGCGGTGCCAGGGCGGACAGCGGACGCGCGCGCCTGCACGGACTCGGGCACACGCAGCCCTTCCGCGGCAGCGCCCGCCGCTCCACCGTCGCCATGGCTACCGGCTGGCCTGGAGCGGGGAGGGGCCCTTCCTCCCCTTCGGCGCCAACAGGAGGCGATTTGAGGGGACTCAGCGTGACTGGTGCATCCCGGGGTTGGAAAATGGGTGGGTGCTTGCGACTGTCCACGTGTGGGGGACCCTGGGGTTCGCTTTGCGGTAGATGCAAACGCCGCGGCGCGTGTGCGGGGCTCTGCAGTGGAGCCTGAGCCGTGCCGGCCGAGGCGTGGTGTGGGGGAGGCTGCCGGCCCTCTCGCGCGCGGGGTGTTCACGCCTAGAGCGCTGGGGCTGGGGGCCTACCACCCGGTCTCCTCCCAGCCCCACCTCCGATTTAGCTGTGTGACCTTGGGCAGGTGTCCAGATGTCTAGATCTCTCTCAGCCCCTGGTTGCCCATGTACCTCATAAGGGTTTGGTAAAGATTTAAGTCATTTTGTAAAGCATTTTAACATAGTACCTGGAACCTAGTAAATGCTTCATAAATCTTACTGTCCCTCATACCTGGGTCTCAGTTTTCCCAGTTGTTGATGGGTTTGGAGTGATCATGTGACATCATCTGAGGAGTTGCCCAGGTCCTCAGCCTGAGTGTTGAGGCTGCGGTAGACCCAGCTTCCGCGGGTGCCCGTGGGGGAAGGTGGTAAGTGTGCCAGTCTGGCTGATAGATCAGTTTACACCAGGATGCCCAGTGCTCAGCCAGGCCAGGCGCATGGTGGGCGTCAGGAAAGGGCTGCTGTACTTGGCTGAGTTGAATGTTCAGAGGCGCCTGGATGGGAGAGAAGGAAGAGGCAGCAGCAAGTCGCTCCTGAGGGGCTGGAGCCCTCCTGTAAGACCCACTTCCCTTCCCGGGTGGCAGAGTGGCAGACTTCCGAGTGCTGCCTAGAAGCCTAGTTGGCACAGGGGACTGGCTTTTGGGTCCCGCTGTTTTATGGACAGCTCTCCACACATTCTGGTTTTAGGCTCTGGCGGCAGTGCCTGAGGGATGATCTGAGCCAAGGACAGAGCCACTGAGGGCGTGATAATTGAGGGAGGAAAATTAATTGTCCTTAATTTGGCGTAAATCCCAAAGACCTTCCTCGTGTAAGGAATTCAGAGTAGATTCCGAGACACAGGGCTGCACACATTTGTACTTCCCTTCCCTTCCCTATCTGCGGGTGGAGATGAAGGCCACTTGACTCCTGGGCCCTGACTCTGGCAGGCCATGGCCACGTCTTCCCCATGAGCTGGGCAGGTAGGAATGAGGTCTTGAAAGAGTTAGACTGGTGCTCTGGAGGGCACCCAGGATGGCCCTAGCAGCCCCGAGTGTCCCCAGGTGTTGGGGAGGTGAGCCCTGCACCTCTGGTCCCCCTCAGGCCTTCCTATGGAAGCAAGCAGCAGCTGGGCCAAAGGAGGCTGATCCCCTGCCTGGTGCATCTCAGTCCTCTTCATTTCCGTCCTCCTTCCCTTCTCTTGCCACTGTTGAACATTTTACTTTTAAAAATCTGAAAGGGCACTGTGGGATCATATTTACAGCCAAGGAGACACTGGGTTTATATCCAGAACTTCTAGGGCTGCAGGTGGGGAAACGTACAGCCAGGTCCCAGGAAAGGCTGGGGCGGCAAGGCCGTGCTGGGAATCCTATTGCTCTCTAGCCTGAGACCTCTGCTCCTCATGGGCCACAGTCCCTTTGGGATGTCCCTGGCAGCTAGAGCCTTGGGGAGCATCCCCTGGGACTGGCAGCAGATAGATAGGTATCTTGCTCCTGCCTGTTGGGGCTCGTCCAACTCCCTCTTCTACCCGCCCCCCAGTCGCTCTCCCTGGGTCTCCAAGAGGCTCCAGGGAGGGCTAGTTTCTGCCAGCCTTTACCTTCTTCATGTCTGAGGATGCCATGTGCCTTTACTCTGGCATAGAAGCCTGACTTCCCTTGGCACATGTTCCCATACACCCATCTTGTGCTGGGCTTGTGGAAAGGAGGTAGAGTGGTGCTGGTCTCCCCCACCATGAGCCCAGCTCCCCGCCTTCCCCAGGAGACAGACAAAGAACACACATTCCCCTTGCCCCACATTGGGTGTGTCTGGCATCCACACTGGGAGAGACACTCTGCTGAGGCCTTGAAAATTGGTGGTTTGGGATGGGGCCTGGTGGCTCACAGCTGTAATCCCAGCACTTTGGGAGGCCGAGGCGGGTAGATCACCAGAGGTCAGAAGTTCGAGCCCAGCCTGGCCAACATGGTGAAACCCCGTCTCTACTAAAAATACAAAATTTGCCGGGCGTGGTGGTGGGCGCTTGTAATCCCAGCTACTCGGGAGGCTGAGACAGGAGAATTGCTTGAACCCAGGAGGCGGAGGTTGCGGTGAGCTGAGATCGCACCACTGCACTCCAGCCTGGGCAGCAGAGTGAGACTCCATCTCAAAAAAAAAAAAAAAGAAAAAGAAAATTGGTGGTTTGGTCCTAGTGGGAAGGGCCTCTCACCAGCCTAGAGTGGAAAAGGGAGTTCCCGACTCTAGTCTCAATACCTGTCTGCCCCAGTGGCTCAGCCCTTACTAGTTACACCAGCTAATATTCACTGGGAGTGAATTCCGCATCAGATGCTCCGCAACACCTTGCATGCATGATCAGATACAGACCTCACAGTAGCCTTACCATCAAGGTGGGCACTTGAACCCTGTGTACAGATAAAGGAGACAAAGAATGAGTAACATGCCAGGCCCTAAAGCTAGTTCGTGGTGAACGTGGGAGTCCCATTTGATCTATACTAGTCCTGAGCCTGTCCTGGACTTGTGCTTCCAAGGGGTGGAGAGTAGATAGCCTTGCCCTGCAGCCCCTCGGGGCTGATATGGGAGCCCATGTACAGTGGGAGTGGGTTTGCTGCTGACATCTGTTCCTCTTACTCTATGCTAGTGACTCCTCTGTGTGCCGCCAACCCCTAGCAAGCTGGGAGAAGGCAGCCAGGAGGGAGTTTTTTCTCCCCCTACCAACTTTTTGTGTCTTTAGAGCTTTTTTATCTCCTTTGCCTCCACACACTCAGGCATGGTCTGCAGCCCTGACCGTGACTCCCAGGGTCAGGACTAAGTGAGGGAGAAAGCTCAAGGTCAAGGCTGCAGTAACGAATAGGTCAAGGTCAGGATCGGAGTTAGAAGGGGATCATTGGTAGGGCTGGGGGTGCCCCGGGTCAGGGCTAGAGACCAGGCGGTGACCTGGGGCTCTGCCATGTGATAGAGCTGAAGGCTGGATGAAGGGAACACTGTGTGTGCGGACAGGGGAGAGGGGGCTGGACAGCACAGAGGCCTTCAGGCTGAGCTGTGGCTGTTGGATGCTGCGCGAGCTCCCTGCTAGCCCCCCCCCCCACCCCCTGCAGCCCCAGCATTCATGCAGTGCTTTCTGCTGTGACCAGCAGAGCATTGATTCTCGTTCTTCTCAGGGCCTGGAGAGATAAGTGCTGACGCCTTCAGTCTGAGGCGTTGCCTCTCAGACCTGGAAACTCCCTGACAGGGCAGGGGTGGGCCCCACTGCAGCCTCTGCCCTGCCAAAGAGACTTAGGACCCTGGTTCCTCAAATCGGGGTATGCTTCATGCTTAGAAGTCAAGGAAAGGGGAGGGGAGTCTTGAGGGCCCTGGCCAACCTGCAGTTGGGGAGGTTACCCCCAGAGGGGTCATAGGGGGCAGGCAGAGCCAGCCCTAATACACACATTGCTGTTTGTCTGCAGAGGAACAGCTGCCCCCTGGGTTCCCTTCCATCGACATGGGGCCTCAGCTGAAGGTGGTGGAGAAGGCACGCACAGCCACCATGCTATGTGCCGCAGGCGGAAATCCAGACCCTGAGATTTCTTGGTTCAAGGACTTCCTTCCTGTAGACCCTGCCACGAGCAACGGCCGCATCAAGCAGCTGCGTTCAGGTGAGCAGAGGGCAGGGGTCAAGGGGCCATGCAGACCTCAGAACAAGCGTCTTGTCAGATCCCAGCACAGCCTACTCCCTTGGGCCTGGGCACCTCCAGGGCTGAGCGGAGGGTACCTGGTGGGGTGGGCTGGGTCTTACTGCAGGTGTGCCTGGCTCAGGGAAGAGAGCTCGTGGTTGGCTGTGCCGTTACCTTCTTCGGATTGTCAGACTCCAGACTTTGGGCCAGTTCTGCCCCTCCCAGCACATGTGATGTGCCAGTGTGGTGGACTCTTCAAGGGTGCTCTATGGATGTTCACCCTCCTCCTTCCCTGTAGCCTGGCCTGAGACAGGGCCTGGATGATGCTTCTCTTTGCTTCCTCAGATGGCAGGGCTTAGCTGGGAAAAGAGGCTAAAGGTGCCTGATTCATCAGGCTTCAAAAGGCTGGATCTCAGGGGCCTGGAACTAAGGGGACTTGCTGTTGTCCCTCGACCACCAGAGCCACCTGTCTCCTCTGGATGTCTCCGTCGAGCCAGCTCGGAGCCCTGGGAGCAAGGATGCCATCGTGCAGGAGGGAGGTGTCACCCCATTGATCGATCTGCCTGTGAGGCTCCTGCCAGGATAATTGATTCAGTTTTTGTGGGAACAGAGCAGGCGGGAAAAGAGGCTCAGAATCAGCTTGGCTGCATTCTGCATCTGCTGCCAGCACGGCCTGGACCAATAGTCTTTGCTTCAGAAGCCCTCCTGCTAGCTATGGGATGGTTGGCCTCGGGCAGGATGGCCAGTGCCGGCCAGAGCCCCTTCTGCCTGTCAGTTGTGATGTCAATGATGAAAAGGAGGACATGACTCTTGCCCCTTTCAGGGGCCTGCAGGCTTCAGAGGTGCCCTCCCACTCCCTGGGATGCCAGCCCCTCCCCATCAATTCCCACCAGCCTCACAGCCCCTTGGTGCCCAGCAGGAGGAGGGAGAGACAAGCTGCCCAGCAGGGCAAGATTCTGGCCCCAGCCACGGCCGCCTGAGACAGCCCACGAAGTGTTAGCTCATTTAATTTAATTAAAACTCAACAAGATGGAGGCAGCTGTAGCGCAGTTAATTAAAACAGCCATAATCAAGGCAGCAAACGGCCGGCAGTGTTTGTGGCCGCTGCCCAGCGCAGCACAGCGGCCAGCACGGTTCGGCTCCTCTGCATTTTCTCATAGTTCCTCCAGGCAGGCTCCCCAAGCAGCCAGACGCTCCTCCCTGCTGGCCTGGGCCCCTCCACAGAACCACATGGACTTGTCTGGCAGCAGCTCTGGGAAGGCTCGCTCACACATTGGTTCATCTAGTATTTATATAGTGCTTGGGGTGCCCGGCCCTGGGCCACCCCTTCCTTGCCTATCACTCCACTGGATGCCACTCAGGCCCCATCCTCCTTGTCCTCTCGGCAGCAGCTAACATTCCTCCCTCCTTCCCAACCACACTCCCATTTTTCCCTAGCCTTTCAGGGCTCTGTCTCTTGCGACTTCCCTCTTCCTAGTGCCCCTTCCCTGCAGCAGCATCTTCCCTTCCACCAAGCCCTGCCTTTGCCCTATGGACACAGCCTTGCCCTGGACGAGCTCACCCCCTCCTAAAGCTCCAACTGCCATCTCCTCACCTGCAACTCTAGCTTTAGTCTTTCCAGCCCAAACCTCTTACCTGAGCTCTAGATCCAAAATTCGACCTGCCTTCTGGTCACCCTGACCAGTGGTGATCAGTGATGAGTGATGACCTTCTTTTCAGACAGCTGTACCCTCTTTCCATAAGTGGCACCCTCCAACCTGGAACATGGGTCTCAAGTTGGTTTGAGAGCTCTCAAATGTACCACCCTCGTGGCTCTCAAATTGGCCCCCTTCTCCCCTCCTGCTGCGTCAGTCCTATCCCAGGCACCAGACACTGCTTTCCCTGCCTCCGGGCCCTCCCGAGAATCCATCATCCTGTAGGTCAGGTTTGCTGCTCATACCTTCCTGTGCCTCAGTGGTGTCTCCTTGCCTACCTGGTCAAGTGACGCTCCCAAGCAAGGCTTAGAGGGCCCTTCTTGGTCTTCCCCTGCCCGTGTCTCATCGGGTCCTGGCTACACCACTTACCAGCTCTCTGGCATTGGTTAACTTTTTCGTGTGTCAGTTTTCTCATGTTTGAAAAGGAGTTACAGTAAGCAGTGAGTGAGTCAATGGCAGTCAAACCTTGAGTTGATGGCCTGGCCTCTGGTAAGGGCTTCATGGAGCTCTTTCTACTTTCTGTGCCCTTGACCCTCCTAACACTGAGCTGTGCTGACCCGTCCTTGGTCCTTGCCCACCTCCGGCCCTCTGCTCACCTTCCGGCTGCTCCACTTGAAAACCTCCACCCTGCTCAGCCTCTGGCTGCTGCCTCAGGCCTCACCTTGCTTTACATTGTCACCATCTGGCTCCAGTTCTGCTCAGCTAGGCCTTGCAGGGAGGGCCTGGGTCTGATCACACTTGGTGAGGTCAGCTGTAGGACAGGTCTTCTCTGAGCCCTTGTCAAGTGAATGATTTCATGAACTTGACCTTTGGCACTTGTCCCTGTAGGCTAATATCTGCTCTAATGTTCACTCCTCCTTCTGCTTTCCAGGTCCAAGGAAGACTTCCTTATTTGTCTTCCTGCCACCTGGAAGTTGTGACCTCAGGGTCGTGGGCCCAGGGTCCAGCTCCTGGGATGGAGCCAGATGGCACCTAAGGGGCCTCAACCATCCCACCTCTGCAGTAATAACTGGGCTCTCTCCCCTCCCTGCCTGACCTGGCCTGGGACCGTTGGCCTCAGTTGTTGCTGGCCTTATCCCATTACCATTTAGAAGGGTGCTAAGGCTATTCCGTGCACATTTTTCAGGGACAGCCCTTCATGGAGTGGACTCAGGCCCCTGAGCACTCAGCTGTTTACCGGGACCTTTACGGTTTACGCATCACCGACAGTTTACAACAGAGCTTTCCCCGCTTTTGTTGCAGCTGATTCTCTTGCAGCCCTGTGAAGTAGGACAGGCTGTGATTACCATGCCCCCTTCACAGCTGAGTTAAGGGAGTCACTTGGGGTCACACATCGAGACTCGGCCTAGGAGCTCCCCTGTGAGATCACCTCAGGACCTAGTATCACAATAGCAAACCTGGGGACCTGAGGAGCAGCTGGACCCTTCTGGGGCTTCAGAGCTGCACATTCCCAGCTTCTCCAGACCCCAGGCCCCCACTGACCAGTACCCAGAAGTCCTCCACCATCTGCAACCTGAGCCACAGCACATCTAACCAGGGCATGACCCCCCAAGTAGGAGCTGGACAGGAGGTAGCTGACGGCATGCGCTGCCCAGATGTGAGCTCTGCTCAGCAGGCCTTTTCTTCTCTGTAGTGATGTGACATGCTGCCAAAACCACCTCCTGGAGAATTGGAACTTGAGACCGGGGTAGGCCCAGGAGGAACAGGAACAAGCTTATAGAGTGGAAATGGAGTTGTGAGCAGGGGCTCAGAGCCCCTGCTGGGTCCTGAGAGGAGCTGTTGGCCTGCAGGCTGTGCCGAGCCTGGACAGGGCTTGAGGAGATTCCCGCACTCCTGCTGTGGCCTGAACATATGAGCTGCCATCCTTTGTCGTAGAGGACAGCCTAACTCACTAAGTCCATGTGCTCATCCAGAGAGCAGTCTCTTCCCCACCCCCAGCACCCTGAGGCGAAACCTGGGGGTCTTAAGAAGAGATGCAGCATCTGGCTGCAGGAGGAGGCCCGTGGGTGGGACGCAGAGGGCTTGCAGCCCCTCACCCTGCTGGCTGGCCCCAGCTCTGGCTGGAAGAGCCTGTCCCCACCCCACTCTGCTCTGCCATCTGCGGGGCCTGCCAGGAAGGCACACTGCCAGTGCATGCTCACAATTTCCCTTTGGCCCAGAGCTCCCTGGCACCTCTTGGACACGAATACACCCCTAAGGATGCTGACTTCTGGGCCCCTTCAGTCCCCCACACCCATCTTGTGAAATGGAAAAGTCAGATTCTCTGTTTGGTGGGGAAATTACTGTTAGATTCTTTCAGAATAGGTTAGGTTCTGGAAGAGCTGAGGCCAGGAGCGAGGGATGCCAGCCCTGGACCATATCCACTGCTCCCACCCCCACCAAGTCCTGGCGTGGATGACAGGAGATCAGCAATGTCAACTTTTTGGTCTCAGGACCTCTACTTGTAAATATCAGAGAACCTCAAAGAGGGTTTGCTTGTGTGGGTTCTTTTTTTTTTTTTTTTTTTTTTTTTTTTTTTTTTTTGAGACAGAGTTTCGCTCTTGGTACCTAGGCTGGAGTGCAATGGCGCGATCTCGGCTCATCGCAACCTCTGCCTCCCAGGTTCAAGCAATTCTCCTGCCTCATACTCCTGAGTAGCTGGGATTACAAGCATGAGTCACCACGCCTGGGTAATTTTGTATTTTTAGTAGAGACAGGGTTTCACCATGTTGGTCAGACTGGTCTTGAACTCCGAACCTCGGGTGATCCGCCCGCCTCAGCCTCCCAAAGTGCTGGGATTACAGGGGTGAGCCACCGTGCCCAGCCATTGTGTGGGTTATTTCTATTGATGTTTACCATATTAGATATTAAGACTGAGATTATTTTAAAATATTTATTAATGCATTTTAAAATAATAAAAACCTATTATATATTAGCATAAATAACATTTTTAAGGAAAAATAGTTATTTTTTTAAAACAAAAATATTTACCAAGAGGGACAACATTGGTTTACCCTTATTACAAATCTCTTTAATTTGGGACTTATATAGAAGGCAGCTGGATTTTCTAGCTACTTTTGCATTAGGGCAATTGTGATAGCACATGTCATGTAGCCTCTGAAAAACTCTACGTTCATGAGAGAAAGTGTATAAAGCAAATAATTTCTTAGTATTATGAAAACAGTTTTGACCTTGCAGACCTCCTTATGGACCTCCTGAAAGGGTCTCTTGGAGAGAGAGAATCATTGTGCGGATTCTTCCCACATAACCCTCACTCCCAGGTCCCAGCCTTTGCCCTCTCCCCTGCCTCTGCATCTGCAGGACTGGCAGCCTCATCCTGTGGGCAGGCTATGAGTTAGATGGACCTTGTCAAGTCCTTCCACTTCACTCACAAGCTGGTGTGACCTTGGGCTTTGAGTAATTCCCTGAATGTCTCTTGGCCTCTGTTTTCTCATTTGAACTTAGAGATGAAGAATTCCTCTAGGTGCTGTTGTCAAGTTCCATGAAACGGATTGGTGTTGATTTTTCTGCACACTTCCCAATCCCCAGACGTGGGCAGGAAGCAGGCAGCAGGGCAGGGTAGACGTGGGCTGGACCTGGGCCCATCTGTGGGCTCCTCACTCCTCTGGGGAAGGCAGTGGTTGCACAGGGGGCTTGAGCCTCAGAGAAGGTACCTGTTGGGGATGAAACCCGCTCAAATCTCCTAATAGGCCTGGATATGGAGGGTGAACGCCTGGCCCTCTGGGTTACCAACCCTCAGGGTTATGAGGTGCTAGACAGGAAAAGGGTGGGCCCTGATCTCTGCCTCTCGCCAGCCAGGCCAAATTGGGGAAGTTCAGTAGTCCCCCAGTTTTTAGCAGGGTTGAGTGGGCTTTCTAGGGACTCTGTCTCTGGGCTGTGAGTTTGCTGAGTCCTGCTGCCCGTTCCTCTCGGCTGGGCTGCGTGTTGTGGGAGGCCCAGTGTGCTAGTAGCCCATGGCAAGCCCTCCCTTTAGCCTGTGTCCTGTCTGCCTTAACACCAGGCTTTGTTTTGGTAAGTGCTTTGTTTTGGAATCTTACCCACCGGTGGGATTTGGGTGGCCCTGTGGGGTGGGGTTACTACCTCTTTTCTTCACCTTCCCCCTCCATTGGCCCCAGCCAGTGGGGTCTGCAGGAGTCCTGACTCACCTCCCTGATTCTCGTCACCCCCAGCCCCACTGAGCCCCCTCCTCCTCCCCAGAGCAGAGCCAGTGACCTGGGACACAGCTTCACTGACACTCAGTCTGGCTCTGCCTGCTTGCTCACACACTGTCCGTGTCGGCCTAACTCAGGCCTCAATTTCTCCATGTATTTAAGGCCCTTTCTTGTGTTTTATTTTACCTGATTTGGCTTTGTGTGGCTTTCCTTCCTTTTATACTAATGCTTCTCTCTGATCTTATTTGCATTCAAATTACCTCGCCAGGTGGTTCACCAATCAGAGGTAAGAATGCTGTCCGTGCCTCTCGCCACACCACGCCTTGCCACTGCCGTCACCTCCACTCCATCCCGTCCAGTCTGTCACCTCCCCATCCCCATCCCAACCTCTTCAGCCTCCTCATCTCCAGCTCCAGCACCCCCAACACCACCGGCCACCACACACATCCACTCTCAGTCATTCCCTCCTGTGGACTCATCCATTGCAAGTCTGAATTGTGAAGATACTCGCCGGGCCCCGCCTAGGACAGCAAGCCCTGCTGCCCAGGCCTTCCAGGCCATCCCCACAGAAGGGACCCCATCAGCTCCTACTGTGAAACTTAGCCTGTCCCCCGGCTTCCCTAGACAGAAGAGCTTCCCTTGAGGTTGAGGAGTGTGACCAAGCCTTGCCTTTTCTCTTGACAGTCTCTTTTGGGGGGACCTCAATTATTACTTGACTTTCCCTTTAGTATCCCGGCTCTGTACCGTGGTAGAATGAGGATCATCCCTTCAGCCTGGCAAGGATTAGGAGGAATGTTCACTTAAGAGTTCTGTGTAGGTGCTAGGATGACAACAGGGAGGTAAACAGGCTCGTGCGTAACTCCATCACCTGACCTGTCAGCTCGGAGTCCCCGCTAGGCTGCCTCCACGCAGCAGGGCCCTGCAGCCTAAGAGTTAAAAGCACAGATTCTGGACTCAGGAAGATCCAGGTTCAAATCTGACTTACCACCTATGTGATCTTCAGAAACTCAGTTCATCTCTCAGAAGTGTATTTCCTCTTTAAATTGGGTCACGGCCACCTGCCGCACAGGGTCATGAGAATTAGAGGAGAGGAGGATGTGTAGTGTCTGGCGCAGAGCAGACACCTGTAAAATGGTGGCTTGTCTATTCACATCATTTTCTCTCCAGTTCTCTCAGTGTCTGGGCACATCTAGACCTTCAGAGCTCAGGACCAGGATGGTCTCAGGCAAGAGCAGCTGCCTTCCTGGGTGCTATCTTGCCCATCACCCGGAGGCTGGCTCTTGCTTCACCTGGGAGCCCCCCAATCCCCCTGCCCATCTACTCAGCCTGTGGTGACTCTTTGTTGTCCCTGCTCCTGGGTCCTGGTGTTGGTTCCAGATTTGGGGATTTCTGTATGCAAATAGGCACCCAGTCTCTGTTAGGCCCCCTGACCACTCTTAGGCTCTTGTTGCAGAGGAACCTCCTATTTTCTGGGTCAGAAATTTCACCCAGGAACCACTTTCTGCCCCAAGCCTGTGGCACCAGCCACCAGGTCTCCCTCACCCCACCCACACCCCCCTGCCTCACTCAGGTGACCTTAGGGCAGCCTCGACCCCTCAGCGGCCTGAACCCGACCTGCTTGAAGGAACATTTTCTGTACTAGTGTCCATCCATCCCATCAGCATGACCTGTTGGGTGCCCATCAGGGCTGCTCTTAAAGGAGATGGTATTTGGCATGTGCACTGGGCCCTGGTGCTCCCTGGCATCTGGTGGGGAGGGCTGAGGCCAGCACCAAAGAGGCAGGCTGGTCCTGTGTCCTGCATTGGTGGCCTCCCCTCTTCCTTCACCTCCAGCTGCCAGCCCCCTGGGGGTTCCCAGTCCCTCCTGCTGCCCTGGGTTAGATGGTGGAAGAGGGACATCAGGTAGTGAGGTGGCTATAGGTCAGACCCAGGGTGGTACCCCTTTGGGCCCCAACCGTGAGAGCATGACTTGGAACTCTTCCTCTGGCTCCTGTCCAGTCCAGGCAGGGGGGGCCCGGCAGCTTCTGTCCATGTCCTGTGTGGGTGTGATTGTCCATCAGCCTGGGCCCTGGGAAGGTGGGGGCTGTCAGGTTAGGCTGGCTGTTCTGTGCAGGAGGTGGTTTTGTCAGACTGTGTCCTGTGGGGGTTCTTAACTGTTGGACCGTCCTGTGTGGGTGTAATTGTCTGTTGGATTGTTCCAGGGAGGGGTGTGCTGCCTGTGCCCGGGGGTGTGTCTGTCACAGACAGCTTGCCCAGTGTGCTTTCACAAGCAGTTTTTTCAAGTGTTTATTGGTGGGGCCAGGGGACGGCCAAGTCCAGTGGATCCACCCCCACCTTGCCGCTCTGCCTTGGCCTCCCCCGCCAGGACCTGTCAGAACTGGCCTCAAGCCCAAGATTCCTCCACCCTTTCTGAGGGTCCTTTTGCTACCCACCCCGATCCTGGCTCCTGTCTGTCCGTCTGCGGCCAGAGCAGCCCCTCAGGGCACTGGCCCGAGTGAGAGCTCCAACCTCCATTAGCCTCTTGAATTATGCAGGAGCCGTGGTGGGTCGAAGCACTTTAGCAGGACCGGGCTGAGGAGTGGAGCTGGAATGGGTGGGGCTGGCGGGGAGGGGGTGGAGTAGGAGGGGAAGATGGTGCTGGGAGCAGAGGCTGCTGGGCACCAGGCCCCCAGGGCAAACCCATTCCTTCCTGGTGGGCGGCAAATTCTCAAGCTCCAGCCTGATGAGGGCATGGCGTGCTTGTGAATCCCAGGCCCGCCAGTCTGCAGGCTGCTCCCACACCTGGCTCTGACTGGCTTAGTGGGGCTGCGGGGCCAGGAACACTAACAGGGATGTTGATTGGGAAATAGGCTCCAGTACTGGCAAGAGTGTGGCAGAAACTGAATGGAGCTGGGGGTTGGGGTACAGTCCCTGGCAGAGCAAAGGTGGGTCTTGCTGGACTGTGGGGAGCATGAGATTGTGCTCCAAAGCACAACCGTTGGTTCTAGACAGGAGGCCACTGGGCTCTTCAGGGAGAGCTTCCTGGAAGCAGCAGGGGTGCCAGGGTGTGGCCTGGATGAGCTTCGACATCTGGTCAACATCAGCCACAGATGCTGTCGAGACCTCTCACCGTGTTCCAGGCCACACTCGACATGGGCCGTGCCTGACCTCTCGCTTCGTGTACCCACAGGTGCCTTGCAGATAGAGAGCAGTGAGGAATCCGACCAAGGCAAGTACGAGTGTGTGGCGACCAACTCGGCAGGCACACGTTACTCAGCCCCTGCGAACCTGTATGTGCGAGGTAAGGACTCAGGCAGTGCCTGGCCCCTGTCACCACAGAGCTGTGCTGCACCTGCCGGGCTCTCTGCCCAGAGCCCTTGGTGCAGACACGCAAGGGACTGCCATGGGCCCAGTCTCTTCTCCTTCCTGCTTCTTTCTGCAGCAGCAGCAACAGCTCCCACTGGGCAAGTTCCTGGCGTCTGCCACTACTTCGCCTTCCTTCCTTGCAGGCCCATGGGGAAGCAGCCACTCTTGGGAGCATTTGTATCTTTTGTAGGTCTTGCCGCATGGGCCCGGAGCCCCATGGGAATTTGGAGCCATCCAATCCGACTTCTTGGTGTATGTGCATGTGTGTGTGCACACACGGGCACACTTATCTGTGTGTAAATGCATGCATACCTGGCCTGGCTTTCCTTCAGTACATCCTCCTGCCTGCCGCAGCATGGTGGGCTCCAGAACCACCATGGCTCTGGGCTTTGGGGTAGTAAGGCCTCAGGAACGGACCAGGCCAGGTGAGCCTATCCTCTGGCCAGGTCTTCCTGGAGCCTTCCTGGAGGAACCCTTGTGTTCAGCTGTGAGCCCCTGTGGTTATGTTGCCTCGGGTGAGCACCTGGTGTGTTCCAGATGTTCTTTGCTGGGAGCGAGTGGACAGTGTGCTTTCTGGAAGTCCAAGTTCCCAGCAGAGAGGAACCTGGGGACTGTTTTGGGGTTTCCAATCTCTGCTATGCTCACAGCCTAGGGGTGACTAAAGCTGGCCACCTTGCCCTTTCCTGAGAACACACTGGGTCTGGTATACATGTGCCCAGAAGGGGCCCTGAGAGCCCCTTCTACCCTCATACTGTCCCCTCACCTAGCCTTCTTGTACAGATGGATGTCATTAAAAGTTAAACTGTTGACCGGGTGTGGTGGCTCACGCCTGTAATCCCAGCACTTTGGGAGGCTGAGGCAGGCAGATCACGAGGTCAGGAGATCGAGACCATCCTGGCCAACATGGTGAAACCCCGTCTCTACTAAAACTACAAAAATTAGCTGGGCGTGGTGGCGCGTGCCTGTAATCCCAGCTACTCAGGAGGCTGAGGTAGGAAAATCGCTTGAACCAGAGGTTGCAGTGAGCCAAGGTCGCGCCACTGCACTCCAGCTTGGTGAAAGAGCAAGACTCCATCTCAAAAAAAAAAAAAAAGTACAACTGTCTCCACCCAGGGGATTGTAAAGGAAAGCGGACATGGCTCCTTGCAGTGATGATTCCATCACGCCAAGTGCTTAGCGCGGCTTCCTGAGGGGTGTCGTCTGACTCTCCACCCAGTGCACGTGGTGGGTGATGGCGGTGGCCTGTCCGACTCTTTGGGGCCATGTGGTCAGACTTGCTTACTCAGAGCAGAGAGAATTAGGCTGTCAAGGCTGTCAACCAAAATACACTTATCAAGGAGTTGCTGTCTGTCATGGGAGAGGGTGGTTCTGGAGAGGCCACAGGCTGCCAGCCCATTCGGTGACCAGTTGAGCTGCAGAGGAACTATTTGTGGTGGGCAAATTGTGCTTCAGAGACTATTAAAGATGCTTCATGAGAGTTGGGGGCATGGGATGGGAGGTCCCCTAGCTTACTGTCAGGTGTCTTACTCCTCAAGGCTCAGGCCTCAGGTCAGCTTGTCTGTCTTCAGGAACAAGAGCCTGAAAACTTCCCAAATGGCCTAGAGGAGTGGAGTTGTAAGCGGCACAGCCTTGGCCCCACCCTGCCCCAGGCAGAGTGTCTGGCAGGCATTGGGGCTGGCGAGTCCACTCCAACAGAGGAGCAGCTGGAATGACCCTTCTCAAAGATCTGCCTCCTCCCACCCTGACTATCGCAAATGCTGTGCTCTCTAGAGCTCTGCTCACAAGACTGTAGGGTCGAGAGTGGCAGTTCCAGGCCTCAGCAAGAAAGCCTTTGCATGTGGCTGCACCAGGGAGAGGAGAGGCCCAGTAGAGCCACTGTAAACCCAAGCCAGCTGCAAGGGCGTGGCCTATGGGCACATTTCCCAGGGCACAGCTACAGGAGGCAGTGCTGAGGCAGAAGAAGGCCCAGAGGTGGATGGACCCCCGCATTGTCCTCTTGACTAGGCAGCATTCTCTGAAGTCACTGTTACACTGGCCCCAGCCCTGGAGGCAGAGCAGTGGGTCTCTTTGGAGATCGACTGAGCTCAGCTGCTGTAGCTGGCAGCTCAGTCACTGCCCAGGGAGCTCTTATGTGCAGCCCCTTGGAGCATCCCTGTCTGTGGGGCTCCCTGTTTACACATGGTAGACTCAGGCAGGGCCCTGACTGGCTCTTGCCATGGCCCAACCCCTAACTCTACCAGCTCTTCTTGAATCTACCCTTCTGGCTCCATCCCCACATGCCTTTTGGTAGGAAATACGGGGGTTCCTTTAGTTCCAGCCCCACTTGCCAGGGACTCCAAAACAGCCAAACCTGACTTCTGTTGTCTCTCTCACACACACATACGACGTTCCTCTAGGCCCTGATGTCTCAGGACCGTTTCTAAGCTCTGTCCCCAGGACCTGCCTCATGTAGACCCTAATTGAATCTACACCACCCTGCTTTGCCAAGAGCAACCTGCCCCATAGGCCCTACTGTCCTACTGACAGGACTTAGGCACACCTGAAAGGCCCTGCTCCCTGGGTGCCTTGCCTCTGGTGCCCCCACTGCTCGTCATCTCATGGTTGGCAAAACCCCTGCCTTCTGCCCTCAGCAGTACTAGGGGCCCTTCAGCCCCAGCGCCTGGGGACAGCCTGTACTGGGCTGACCACCAGCTCTGCATCCTGAGCCCTGCTTGTGGGTGGATGGCCGTGGAGGAGTCCCCAGTGCCAGCCTGCTTTCTGGCCTGCACCCCGTCCCATCTCCCAGCAGAGAGGCTTCGAGGTTTCCTCCCACAGCAGGCTCCTGAGCCTCAGACGGCTTGATGTGGGCTCTAGCCCTGAACTTCTCAGCCGCAGCACTGTTGACATTTTGGGCTGGACGATTCTTAGTTGTGAGGGGCCATCCTGTGCATTGGAGGGTGTTTAGCAGCATCTCTAGCTCACTAGATGCCAGTGGCACCCCTCAGTCAAAACAAACGTTGCAACGTGTCACCTGGGGGAAATTACTGATGGCTTCCCACTGCCATTGTCTCCACCCATCTGACTCTCTTCACCTGTGTCCACTGGCCGCAAGGCTTCGTCTCCTCATCAGACTTGGCTTCGGTGTCTACCTCACATCTCCCTTCTGTCCCCCAAATTCTCAGGGCTCCCAGTGTCGCTCTCTGAGGCCACGCGACTGCTACATTTAATGGGACAGTACACGTGAAGCACCAGGCACATTGCCAGGCACACAGGAAGCACTTGCTAGTCAGTAGCCTCTGCAGCTAGCACTCGGCTACTAGTCAGTAGCCTCTCGGATAGCACTGTGGGGGGATGTGTCATCCAGTTACATCTGACTTTGTTCACAGTTGCCTGCAGCTCCACCCACAGTCTAGCAGGCCCAGGCATGCTGGGTGGGCCAGAGCCTTTCTCCTTCACCACCTGACTCTCCCTGAGTGACTCATTCTCTCCTTCCATCTACAGCTCTCTGGGTGTACAGCTGCTGGGGCCAGGGTGGAGCCCTGCCCTCCTCAGAGCCTGGCCTACCTGTGCCAGGACTACCAGCCTTCCCCCTTTCTCTAGGGACCTGGCTGCGGGCCACAGCTGTCTAAAACAGGGACAGTGCCTTTTTCCCCACAGGTGCCCAGACATGCTCCTTACACCGGTGGTGTGTGTGGGGGTGGCTTCTAGTGGCTCCTGTACCTTGGCAGGTTTGTGGGCTGGGTGGGCCTTGACCCCAGAGCCCGGTCCACAGGGTCTGTCTGAGCTGTGGGGTGCGTGTGAGGCATGGGGGCCTGCCTGTGCCCCATTTTCACCTGCCCCGGCCCCACCCTCGGCCTCCCTGGCGCCTGCTGGCGGGCCTCAGCCCTGTCCACCATGTCCTCCATGAGTCCTGAGTCTTTTGTGAGTGATGTGGTTCGTGTGCACCTGTGTGCATGTGTGTGTGCGAGGGGGCACAGGAGTCTCGTCTCGTCTCCGTGCTGTGTGGGCAGATGAAGGTTGGCCTGTTTTTACTCTCTCTGTGTTTCTCCTTGTCTTTTTTTTATTCCCTCCTCATCTTCATCGCACTCTGCCATCAACCCAAACTCTCATCTCTCAGATCAGCGAGAAGGTTGGTCCTTTTCACTTCTTATCCATCTACAGTTCGCCCATCGATGGGACACGCCTGTCAGTAGGGCCCAGCGGGCTCGGTCAGCTCCCTCAGGCTCACTGCGCCGTGCCTGCCTGCCAGTCTCTGTTGTTTGGGCCGGCGGGCAGGCAGGACCAGGGATGGGTGGGCAGACCCCTGACCTGCATGTTCCTGCTGCTTGGGTCCCTGGTGCACCACGTGTCTGCATGTCCCCTTAGCCTGGTTCCCCTGCAAGGGTGGTGGGGTGGGCATGCTGCATGGCATGAAACTGTACCCCACCTTTGCACCCAGGCCGGGCCAGCTGTCTGATCCAGGCGGTGCTCAGGAATGGTTGTGGGGGGCTGTGGTCAGAGAGAGGTGTAAGACCTGTAGCGCTTTGTGTGCACCTGTGGGACCTTTCACCGCCCTCCTCGCCTAGAGACCCAGGCTCAGCCGAAACTACTGGAACATTAAGGCGAGAGGCTAGAGCAGGCTGTCCTCCCAGTATCCTGCAGCACAGGGCAAAAGTCCTGCAGTGTGTACCCTGTCCTTGAGGCCCTCAGGTCCCCCACCAGGGCTTAATGGGGCAGTCAGCCCTGGTCTGCCTCAGGGAGCTTGGTGTCCATGGCGCAGGGTGAGTAGCGTCATCTTGGCACCCTGAGGAAGTCTCCCATAAGGTTGTCTTTTCCTTCTCCAGCCAGATCCAAATTAAGATCCTCCTACCTGCCCCAGGCCCCTCTGCCCAAGCTTCCCAGCTAGCTCCCGTGTCTGTTTGAGGGTGGAATTTAGCCCACCAGCCAGCTAACTGACATTCCTTAGCTTGATGCTTTGCATTCAGACTCAAGTTGCTTCTACCTGGAGTAACTGAACGGTCAGCTGCAACTTAGCAGGATCCATATGGGAGCCTGGAAGTGGCCCCTGACTCAGCCACAGGTTAGGAAGGGTTTCCTGGAGACTGTCCTTGAGCCCATTCCAGAGCAGGTCTGTTTGGGGCTTGGTTTTCCGCCCCACCCTTGGAGCCAGACCCCCACCACTGATGCTGGGGTTGGCAGCAGGGGCTAGTGGTCATTCATGTATCACATGGTCTGTGTGGTCAGAGGAGACTCACCTGTCCATTGGGTTTTGGGGGTTCAGGATAGCAGTGTAGGACAGGCTGAGCCTCAGGGAGCAAACCCAGGCCATCCTCGTTCCCTCTGCCACATCCTCCGTGGCTTGAGTTTCCTCTGTGAGGGTGAGGGAGCCGGTCGAGAGGAGGGCTATAGCCTAGGCTCAGATATCAGCCCTGAGCATCCATCCATATGCACAGCTGAGCACTGGGGCATTTCTGTTACACCATTTTGCTGACCGGGCAGATCTGCGAGGGCGTCCAGAAAACAGTCATCAGCAGAGACAGCCCAGCCCAGAGTGGCTCCTTCCATGCCCCTTCCTCTACCCTCCTGGTCCCTCGTCCCCTCCCTTCCCCCACCCCACCCTATGGTCCCACCAAAAATAAGCACATGGACAAATATTTAGCGGGAAGGCAGACATGAGTTTCTAAATATTCCAGGGGGATTTGCCGGGCTGGTAATTTGTTTGGTGCTGATAATTGCATCTTACATTTTTCCAGCTTTACTTAAAACTGTGTGCCGGGTTTGCCGGCATTTAATTACTGCTCTGCGGCAGCCACAAGGTTATTTATTAAAGAGTTATTTTATCTTGATACAGTGGATCCTGCCCCTCATCCCCTCCTTAATGTTGTGTTATTTTCATCAGAGAAATTTCTCTGAGTGAATGCAGATTGCGGGGCTGCCTCCCCCTGCGATTAGGCTGTCACTCTACTGAATGCTGATGCCTCTGGGCGCCGCACCGCCCTATTATAGGGGGTTGTCAGCGCAAATAATTAGACTTAAAAGTTACAGCTGAAATATAATCCAGAAATGGCAGGGCCCTGTTTTGGAAATTGTCTATAAAATGTCAGCACTAAGGATGCACAGGGAACGGTAATATACTGGCATTGTTGGAGCCTAAGATTAGACCCTGAGTGCATTTTTCCCAGCTCCAGTTTTTCTTTCCCTGCTGTTGCTTCTGTCAATAGACTGTCCAGGGTGAGGCCTGTTCCTTTTTGGAGGCCCTGTGCCTGCAGCAGTGGGTGGAGGATGGTTGGGGCTGCTGCAGTGAGATGCCAGCCACTCCAGCTGTTGGCATGGGGGTGGCTGTCTGGGCAGGTCTAGGATGCGGGTCCCTGTTGGCACTTGGAATACAAGGAGGTTGTCCCTTGCCTGTTTCCCCCACCCTTCCTCTGTAGACATACCCTGACCTCCCTCACATGGAAAATGTCTCAGTCTCAGTAACGTTTCTGCGTGGCTGAAGCCCAGTGTCCTTGTGAGAGTGAAGGTGGTGTGCCCAGGAGCCTCTGGACCTGAGGCCCTTGCTTGGTGTTGCAGGTGACCCTAAAGGCCACTGTTGACCTCTCACACTTATGCCTAGCCCCTAGAGCTCTCCCTGCCCCCTGCATCTAGGAGGGAAAAAATAAACACAACTCTTCTGTGAAGCGCCTCAATTTCCTGACAGCCGCAGGAGTTGGAGGCTTTAGAAGACGTGGCTCAGGGCGTTGGCCTGACCTCCAGGGCTGATCCATGAAGTCCGCCTTTTGGCCTGAAGACCCTGTCCTCCAGGGACAATTTGGGGGTAAAGTCCAGTCAAGTTTCTAGGTTGGTGCCCAAGGTTTATTGGCCAAGGACCTACTTCCTTCTGCTGGGGCTCTTTGTCCTGGTATCCAACGACGTGATTAGGCCCCATGATTCCACCACCGACTGGGGTCAAGCCTGCAATCATGACCTCTCCCTGGCACAGGCTGTCTAAACCCATCCTTACGCCCGCTGGAGCAGCGTCCTCTCCTGCCAGCCTCTGCTAATTCTGATGCTTCTCCCCAGAGCCTTCTGGGTCTTTTTTCAGGCCTGTCAGCTAGGGCTCGAAAGGGTGACAGTTTTTCATCACACAGACCTACTCCTACTACGTATATAAACTTGGTCATGTGGCTTGGTTTTAAAACAGTTCCCTTGACTGTAATTGGCAGGTGATAGCATCTACAGCATGGAAACCTGCACCTAGTAGGTGCTTAAGCATAGCTTCCCTTCCCATGAAGAGGAGGAGACAGGGCACCCACTGGCCGAGAGGACAGGAGAGATTTAGTTCATTAAGGCTGCTCCTCTGTGCTGCCCCCACCCCGCTTCTGTGGCAGGCCTGGACCTGATCTGCAAACAGACTTGCCTGCCTGTGCCTGTCCCTGAGGCCCATCTCCAGAGCAGAGGGAGGGCATGCACCGCTGGGCTGGGTGGTGGTCCTGGCTGAGCCTCCTGCTCTCACCTTGGACCATTTGAGGTGCGTGCTCAGAGAGTCCTTTGTTGCCATGAGACACTTGCCAGCCATGCCCCGGGATCCACCTGTTCTGCCACAAGAACTGTGTCTGTGACATGCTGTCATCATTGGTAGAGACTCCTGGCACTAGAACAGATGACAGAAACCCACTTATACCAGCGTAAGCAAAACAAGGAAGTCCTGTGTTACAAATCTGAAAAGTGTAGTAGATTTGGTGCTGGGCAGGGCTAGATCCAGGTACTTAAACAGGTTGGCCAGTCATTTGTCTGTCTGTTTCTGAGCTCTCCTCTCCTCTGTCGACATCTTTGTTCTCAAGCAGCTTTTCCTGTGTGTTGGGAGAAGCCATCCCCAGCTGCTCTAAGCTTAGCTACCTCAGTAGAGAGAGAAGGTCGCTTTTCTAATAGTTTCTGCGGAAGTCCAAAGGCTGTTTCTCCATAGTC
This sequence comes from Homo sapiens, assembly GCF_000001405.40. Taxonomy (NCBI): domain Eukaryota; kingdom Metazoa; phylum Chordata; class Mammalia; order Primates; family Hominidae; genus Homo; species Homo sapiens. Next base: position 43,586,888 of record NC_000001.11, read on the forward strand.
AGATCTGGGTCACACACCCCATGTATGAAGAATGCAGGTAGAAGTGGTTTCCTTAAAGACAATGGGAATGCTCATTGATTTGAGGAGAAAGCAGAACCCTGAATGTCTACAAGATACTCTCATGCCCTAGGTGAACCTGGGGACACAGATCCAGCCCACCAGCACCTGTCAGGCCTGGTCTCTGGGGCTGCCAGGGTTTGGGTTCTGTCTGGAGCACCAGAGTAAGGCAGGCTGTGGAAGGAGTTGAAGCAAGTGCTAAATTAGGTAGGGTCTCTTGGGCTGGGCAGAGGAGTCACTGGGAGCCATGCAGGAGCTTGTTAAACAGGGAGTGGCATCAGATTTGTGCCAGCTGTTTGTGGAGGGCCCGTGAGCAGGAATTGGGGCAGTGGACAACAAGGCAGGAGGACTGACGCAGAACACATTGCAGCAACTCAGGGAAGGATGATGATGGCTTGGACTTTGGTGGTGGCAGTTGCCTGTGTGTATGGAGAGAAATACATGGATTTGGAAGATATGTTATGCCACGCTGTTGACAGGACCTGGTGACTTGCTGAATGTCTGATCTCTGGGTCTAAGTTTTGACCCCTGTATGGTGAGGTCAGACGTTGGACCGGGAGGTCTCTGAAGTTGCTTCTAGCTCTAGTTCTGTGATTTGGGGCTGTGTGAGCAGCATAGTCTGGTGCTTATAGTGGAGATGCTCCTTATGTGGTGCTGTGGGGTCTTTGCATGCCTGGGCCCCCCAGCGAGGGTCCTCAGAGACCAGTGCTCTCAGCAGTGCTCTTGGGTACTGACTAGCCTGCTGCCTGCCGCCTTTGGCCCTGCGTGTGAGAGTGCCCGTGTAGGACACACCCTGGCCTCTGCTCACCAGCTGCATGGCCCATCTGCATGCCAGACATGCCTGCCCACGGCTGGGTTTCATCACCTCCCTTCCCTCTGCATGCTCCTGTGTCTGTGTCAAGCTTCCAACTTCGGGGGCGGGTGGTTCTAGGCTGTACCCTGGACTGAGAAGCTCAGAACAGCTTCTGGTCAGGGGAGTCCAAGGCTGGAGGTCGTGGCCAGGCACAGCCACAGCCACCCCTCCCCTTGAGACCCTTGTTTGTTGGCGCAGGAAGCCGTCTGTTCGGCGCCCTCATCATGTTACTGCCATCGTCATGCCCATCCTGCCCGCAGACCATGTCCCTGGCCTGCCCTGACCCCTGCCCCTCCCCAGTCCTCCTGAGGGCAGCCCTTTTGCTTGGGTTCCCAGGTTGTGCCCTGAGCATGGCTGAGACCCTGGCAGGCGGCCCTGCTGCTTGCCTTATTTCTTCCCCTCAGGCCATGGCCTGGAGGTGGAGGCAGTGACTCCACGGCAGGTGGCTGTGTCCCTCTGGACTGGCCTTCTGCTCTGCCCAGCCATGCTCTGAGGACCCTCCACCCTAGGGCCTGCTTTCTCTCCTTGGTGCTCCAGCCAGGAGCAGGCAGAGATAGGCCCTGGAGAACACCCTGGGTTGTGGTCCTGACCAGGCCTGGACCTTGTACTGAGTCCCTGTGTGACCCTGGGCAGACAGGACCTTCCTGACAGGCCTCAGTTTCCTAGGCTATAAAATGGGAGCTTGGTTGCAAGATCTCTCATTGAGTAAGTCATCGTGCTCCAGACAGTCCCTGAGTGTGGGGGCCACTTCTAGGCTGGAAGTGGGTGGGGTGGGAGTGGATGATGAGCTGGGGTCTGGCGGTGCCACCCCTCCTGTCTCTGAGCATGGGTTTGGCTCTGACCAGAGGGGCTTCCTGAATGAGGGGCCCCTGCCCTTCCATGCAGTCGTGTGTCCTGCCCGGCCTGTGAGTGCCTCTCTCCCTCCTCCTGCAGTGCGCCGCGTGGCTCCTCGTTTCTCCATCCCTCCCAGCAGCCAGGAGGTGATGCCAGGCGGCAGCGTGAACCTGACATGCGTGGCAGTGGGTGCACCCATGCCCTACGTGAAGTGGATGATGGGGGCCGAGGAGCTCACCAAGGAGGATGAGATGCCAGTTGGCCGCAACGTCCTGGAGCTCAGCAATGTCGTACGCTCTGCCAACTACACCTGTGTGGCCATCTCCTCGCTGGGCATGATCGAGGCCACAGCCCAGGTCACAGTGAAAGGTGAGTGTGGCAGGTGCTGTAACCAGTGCCCTCCCTGTCATCTGGGAGGTCCTGGTGGTGGGCGAATGTGAGCTGGCTGCCATGGGCACAGGCATGGCTGAGGGATTCTTGCCCTTTCCTGGGTGTCCCTGCCCTGGGGTCCTCCAGCCCTTAGAGGGAGGGAGGGATTTCTGTTATTAGCCGGCTTAATGATAATAGTTAAGGCATATTGAGTTTCTTGGTGGGAGACATCATGCTAGCAAGCACAGTTGATTTTGTTTTTTTCTGTTTTACCCTGGGAGATAGGTGCTCTTATTATTTCCATTTTTGAAACGAGGGAACCGAGGCACAGAGAGGGTGTATCACTTGCCCCAGGGTCACATAAAAATAAATGACAGAGCAGGGACTTAAACCCAGTGTGGTCTGAATCCATATCTCACCCTCACCACTACATAGTACCAGACCTTCAGGTTTAATAGCCTCCCAGCAAGAAGGGTGTGGTAAAATAGTAGGGGAAAGTGTGTTCTCTCTGCCCTGATACCTGGGGACAGGCACACATGTATTACACATATGTCACATATATGTAACCGATTCTGGCCAGGCACGGTGGCTCATTCCTGTAAGCCTAGCGCTTTGGGAGGCCAAGTTGGAAGGATTGCTTGAGCTCAGGAGTTTGAGACCAGCCCAGTTAACGTAGTGAGACCCCCATCTCTACGAAAAAAAAAAAAAAAAAAAAACTGGGCATGGTGGCACACACCTGTGGCCCAGCTACTTGGGAGGGCTGAGACAGGAGGATCACTTGAGCCCAGGAGGGTGAGGCTACAGTGACGCAGTGAGCCATGATCACACCACTGCACTCCAGCCTGAGTGACAGAGCGAGACCCTATGAAAAAAAAAAAAACCAGATTCCTTCCTGGTCTCCCCGCTGCAATTCTCAACAGCCTCTGATCCATTATCTGTTTTGCAGCTTGAGTGATCTTTAAAAAATGTAATTCAGGATCAAGTGACTCCCTTTTAGGAAAGGGAGAAACACCTTCCAGTGGCTTCCCGTTGTTTTAGGATACAGATCAGGATCCTCACTGTGGTCTCCCAGGGCCACTGGCTTCCCACCCTGTCACGCGCCAGCTGTCCAGACACATGCTGCTTTCCGTTTGCCGTGCTCCTTGCCTGGCCCCTTCTGTCACTGGCTCCATGTACCCTTCCAGGCCTCAGCTTGGTGATGCTTTCCTTCCCTCATCACCGCATCCAAGGAGATTCCCTGGATCTTACTCCACCTCAGCACCCTGATTCCTGCTGTCCTTGCACATGGCAGAATCATGAGTACGATCGACTTGTTTATTGATTCTCTCTTGTACTGAGGTGTAAACTCCATGAGAGCAGGGATGTGACTGTGTGGCATTGTAGCCCCAGCACAATGTCTGGCATTGAGTGGGTGCTTGTTAATTATTTGTTGAATGACTGTGGACTCAGGACCTTTCCACTTCAATTTGAGCCAAGCTGCAGGGTCTGTGGGGCCAGCAGCCCCATCACTCTTTCTATCCGGGCCAGTCCCTAAGGAAATATCTCCCCTTCCCCTGCCTATTACACATACTTTCCACCAGGTGGGCTCAGGTGACCTGCAGAGGCACATAGCTGCTACCCAGTCTGGGTGTCTTTCATCTACATGGGACTGCAAGGGTCACATCACCTCCAGGTCTGTTTGTTAGATGAGTCTGGTGTGCTGATGGGAGGGTCCAGTGAATCCCACAGTTGATATGTGTACATACTAAATGACCCAAGGCCCTGGGTGGGGCACTGACAGGCCTGGCCACTGTCCCTCACTTGTGCCTTCAGAGGTCACCATAAGCTTTTCCAGCCATTTTTCAAGGTAGGCTGTGGGTATCAGCCACACTCAGGTGACCCCACCAGATATCCTGGATAATCCCCAAGTCTAGGGTTGGTTCCTAAGGATCTTGACCTCGGGCAGCTTTGAGCCTTCCACTTTGTCTCCAGCTCTTCCAAAGCCTCCGATTGATCTTGTGGTGACAGAGACAACTGCCACCAGTGTCACCCTCACCTGGGACTCTGGGAACTCGGAGCCTGTAACCTACTATGGCATCCAGTACCGCGCAGCGGGCACGGAGGGCCCCTTTCAGGAGGTGGATGGTGTGGCCACCACCCGCTACAGCATTGGCGGCCTCAGCCCTTTCTCGGAATATGCCTTCCGCGTGCTGGCGGTGAACAGCATCGGGCGAGGGCCGCCCAGCGAGGCAGTGCGGGCACGCACGGGAGAACAGGCGCCCTCCAGCCCACCGCGCCGCGTGCAGGCACGCATGCTGAGCGCCAGCACCATGCTGGTGCAGTGGGAGCCTCCCGAGGAGCCCAACGGCCTGGTGCGGGGATACCGCGTCTACTATACTCCGGACTCCCGCCGCCCCCCGAACGCCTGGCACAAGCACAACACCGACGCGGGGCTCCTCACGACCGTGGGCAGCCTGCTGCCTGGCATCACCTACAGCCTGCGCGTGCTTGCCTTCACCGCCGTGGGCGATGGCCCTCCCAGCCCCACCATCCAGGTCAAGACGCAGCAGGGAGGTAGGTGGGGGCATGCCGGCTGGGCAGCCAACAGCAGAGAAGGGGAGGCTGAGGTTGTGGCGGTGCCTTTCCCCCTCCCTCGGCTGTGAGGCTGGGGGCTCTTGGGAGGATCAAGGTGCCGTATTCCATAGATGTGTGGTCAGTTGGGATGTAGGATAAGGGTGTGAGGTTAGGACCTGACTTCCTCGGCTCCCTCCTCCCTGGGCACCCCTGACCTCACGCAGATGAGGCTGACCTGCCTGGTGTGGGGTGTTGCAGTGCCTGCCCAGCCCGCGGACTTCCAGGCCGAGGTGGAGTCGGACACCAGGATCCAGCTCTCGTGGCTGCTGCCCCCTCAGGAGCGGATCATCATGTATGAACTGGTGTACTGGGCGGCAGAGGACGAAGACCAACAGGTGTGCAGCGGGCAGAGAAGCACTGAGGGGGTCTCCTGGTCCCTGAGGGTCTGTGATGGGCTTAACCCAGGAGGGTATTTTCTGGATTCTGTGGCTTATGTGGGCACAGCCTCTAAGGTTTCTGCTGGAGGCTTAGTGGTGCATGCGTGTCATGTGGCCCGCACAGCCTGTATGAATCTGGAGTCATTGTCACCCTGTGCTAGGGGCAAAGTCCCCAGGGTCTGCCTTGGGTTTCCTAGGCTCTGTGGCTCATATGACTGGCAGAGCCCTGAAGTTTCCCCAGAAGCCATGCGTCCCAGATGGCTCCTGTGGTCCATGTGGTCTGTGAGGTGTCTGTGGCATGGGCTAAGCCCTGAGTTCCTTTTGTGCTCCATGTGGCCTTATGGTGTGGAGCCAGTCCTGGAGCCGTGGTGGGTCCAGAGGTGTCACATTGCAGCCCATGTTGGGGAACAACCTGTGAGTGACTTTGAGCTCAGAGCTGTCAGTGAGTGCTCCCTGCTCTTCCCAGCACAAGGTGACCTTCGACCCAACCTCCTCCTACACACTAGAGGACCTGAAGCCTGACACACTCTACCGCTTCCAGCTGGCTGCACGCTCGGATATGGGGGTGGGCGTCTTCACCCCCACCATTGAGGCCCGCACAGCCCAGTCCAGTAAGTGTCTCCCAAGTCCGCTGCCTGTTACACCTGGGCTGGGACACACACACACACATGCACACACATCCTTCCCCCTCGACCAGGCAGGTGGGGTGGTCAGGTCTGCTGGCCAAACCGAACTCTGGCCTGGGCTCTGAGTCTGGGCCTCGGGAGAGGGCCAGGTAAGTGCCTCCCAGTCTGTCCAGTCCAGGCGGCTGCTGCCCTCCCTGCTCCCTGCCCAGCCTCCTGCCCCTCCTCCCGCCCATGCCCCACACACTGCCCAGGTAAGTTCTGTGTCTGTGCCTCATCTCCGCCCCCACTCTGTGCTGGTCACACTAGCTTAGCTGATGGGCCATCCTCGGTGGGTCTGCCATGTCCCAGACCTGCTTTGGCGGCTGTTTCTCCTCCCTATGGCCCCGCATCTCGTCTCCCCATCACCCACATTCCCTTCCTCATACTCCCCATGAAAGTTACCTGAGAGCCATGTGATCACCCTGAGCTGACTGCACTCGGGGACAGGTCTGAGAATGCGGCCATGTGACCCAGCCTGCCCACGTGTGCCTTGAATTGTGACCACGTGGCCGTGCAGGGGACTGTCTGCAAGGCTGTCTGTGTGAGACTCTGGTGTTGTGTGTGAGAGACTCCGATGCTGCAGCTGTGGGAGTGGCACTGCCCATGAGTGTGAGTGTGTGACCACACCTGACCAGCTGGCTGTGCAGCACCTGTGTATGTGCATCAGTGGATCTTGGGCATGACCCTTGTCTTTGTGGGCGACTCTGGCCTGATCCTGTAACCGTATTTGTGGGTCTCGGTAGCCCCCCAGACAGTAGACTGTGTGTGTGTGTGACTCTGTGGTTGCTGCTGGGCGTCCTGTGTGTGGTCACACAGCCACAGTCAGCTGCTGCGTGAGACTCTGTGTGATAGGGTGTCATGGATGTGACTGGCTGGGTAGCATTGTGGGATTGAGATGGTGACCACATCTGATGTGGCCATGTGATGACCAGAAACATGGCGGTGTCTGAAGTGGTCCTTATGAAGTGGGTTATGGTCACAAGGTAAGCCACCGTGCCTGGCTCTTCCATCCTACTTTACACAAATGTCATTAAAAGCTCATTTGGAGGCCAGGCACGGTGGCTCACACCTGTAATCCCAGCACTTTGGGGAGGCCAAGGTGGGCGGATCACCTGAGGTCAGGAGTTAGAGACCAGCCTGGCCAACATGGTGAAACTTTGTCTTTACTAAAAATACAAAAATTAGCCAGGCGTGGTGGTGGTTGCCTGCAATCCCACATACTCGGGAGGCTGAGGCAGGAGAATCACTTGACCCCAGCAGGCAGAGGTTGCAGTGAGCCGAGATGGTGCCATTGTACTGCAGCCTGGGTGACGAGCAAAACTCCGTCTTGAAAAATAAATAAAATAAAAAAGCTCATTTGGGTAATTACAGGTGCAATGTCTGTCTGCCCTGCTGGAATGCAGGATCCCCATGGGCAGACACCATGTGTCTGGTCATGCTGCCAGCCCTGTACCGTGCATGGGGCCTGGCCCCCAGCTGCAGCACAGCAGGTGCTTCTGGAATGAATCCATGAATACAAGGTCACACACAGCCTCTTGACATCACTGGTACATGCACATGTACCCTGCTCCTGTTCATTTACCAGTTGGCTCCCACCCTTCCTTCAGGCCTTGGGAAAGTGTCACCTCCCCAAGGCCTGAAGGAAGGGTGGGAGCCAACTGGTAAATGAACAGGAGCAGGGAGCACACAGGCCTCCGGGAGAGTCTGCAGGCCTGAAGGCCTTCCAGCTGCAAGGCACATGGTTATGGTCACAAGGTAAGCAGCAGGCCAGTGTGGCTGCAGTAGCTGCCGGATCTATGGCAGTCAGGGCCTTGGGGACACAGGGTAGGCAGGAGAGCTGACTCTGGCTGCTCTGTGAGAATGGACAGGGCAGCCTGTGAGGAAGCAGAGACCGGTTAGGAGGCTTTGTAGCGGTCCAGGGAAAAGATGGTGGCGCAGGTGAGGTGATGGCGGTGGATCTGAGAACTGTCAGGGATGCTGACTGGTCAGACTTGGTAATGGGTTATGAATAGGGGCCCAGGGGGAGGGAAGTGGAGGTGAATCTTGTTTCTGGTGTATTAACCTGGGAGGAGAGTGGTGCTGGCGTAGAATGGGAAATGGGGCAGAGGCAGGTGTGAAAACTACAGCTGGTCTCAGACACCCAAGTTCAAGATGCCGTGTGCCATCTACATGGCAGTGCTCGGCAGGCTGTGGGAATCCAGGGCTGGGCTGGAGCTAAAGGACCCTGAGAAGAAAGACTGCAGATGAGAGGAAATCAGGGGAGGGGAGCGACTTGGAGGTTGGAAGGAGAGAAAGTTTCAAGAACTAGACGAGATGCTGCTGAGCGGTCAGGAGTACCTGTTGGACCGAGCAACATGGACGAGTGGCCCTGGAGATGAAGCTTGGTGCATGGTAGGACCAAAGCTGGTGGATGTTTCATGAGGCCTGTGTGGGTGCTGAGAATGTGGAGGCAGCAAGCCTAGACGTTGCCAGAAAGTGTAGCTCTGAACAAGGGGACCACTATGGCTAGAGAGGGCCGTGGAGCTGAGGGTGGGATTTTGTTTTGTTTTGTTTTGTTTTGTTTTTGTTTTTTTGAGACAAAGTGTTGCTCTGTCTCCCAGGCTGGAGTGCAGTGGCATGATCTTGGCTCACTGCAACCTCCGTCCACCTCCTGGGTTCAGGTGATTCTCCTGCCTCAGCCTCCCGAGTAGCTGGGTTTATAGGCGTGCCCGCCACCACACCCAGCTAATTTTTTTTTTGTAATTTTAGTAGAGACAGTGTTTCACCGTGTTAGCCAGGGTGGTCTGGATCTCCTGACCTCGTGATCCGCCCGCCTCGACCTCCCAAGGTGCTGGGATTACAGGCGTGAGCCACCGCGCCCGGCCTGGGATTTTTCTTTTAAGATGGGAAAATTTCAAGCATATTTAAATGCTATTGGAAACAGTCAATAGGAAAAAAAGAAACCGTGGAAAAGAGGGTAACTGGTGGAGCCTTGGGAGGTGGAGAGAAGGGGAACAGTATGGGTGGTGAGAGAGCTTAGCCTTGGACAGGGTGGCTCAACTCTCCATTCTCATGGGTGGAAAGGAGAGAATTGCTGCAGATGCAAGTACGGTGGGGGGGTTGTAGCAAGAGATGGAGGGAGCTGCTGTGAAAGCCTGGTCTTCTCTGCAGTGTGGGAGACATGGTCATGCGCCAAGAGGAGGCAGGCAAAGGGAGCTGGAGGTCTGGGGAGCATGGAGGAGGGGGACTGTTTCATGTGAGGTGGCAGAGCGAGCCAGGCAGGGGGCAGAAACAGGCAGCATGGAGAGTCCTGGAGGATGAGGCCTCTAGGGACGTGTGCATAGGACGCCAGCCTGCCTCAGTGCCGCTGTAGAGAAGGAGGGGGAGAGCTGGATTCATCTAGGGCTTGGCAGCGGCCAGGAAGGAGCATGGAAAGATCAGGAGGCGAGGGACCTTGCGATATTGGTGAGAGTGTGGTAGGTGGTAGACCGTGGAAGCTGAACATGGAGGGTGGGAAGGACAAGGTTGATGGACAGGCATCCTGAGGAGCTGGCGAGCAGGCTCAGTGCCCGGGGCCTGGAGTGACTGAGCAAGAACAAGGGGGTGGGGTCTGCAAGGGGATGTGAGAGCCCGTGATTCTGGAGGGAGGGCCATCCCCAGTACTGGCAGCCTCCAGGGCATGACCACAGCTGTGCAGGGGAGGAGAAAGTCCTGGAGATGAGGGGCTCTGGGGCCAGTGGGTCAAGGGGCTGCTGAAGTCCCCATGGCAGGGGGTGGTGACAGAACTTGAAGAGGAAACCTGTGCATTGCAGCAGAGTCCTCGGTGGGCGTGGAGTCTGGACACATCACTGGACACAAGGAGACACGTGTCTGCCTCCTAATTCCCAAAGAAGCTGTTGAGTGAGGGCACCTCTGTTGGTGGGTACTTTTTCTCCACGCCAGGGGCTGTTGGCCTTCATGTTCGGCCTCCTGTTGGTGATTACCTGTGGCACTGGCAAAGAGACTGTTTCCAGGCAGGCACAGGTGAAGGCTGCCTTATGCCAAAAGGGCCACTGGGGCCACTCTTCCTCGGAAGAGCAGAACCGTGGGCACAGCAGATGTGAAGCAGTTCTCCATATGTGGCTGTGTGTGCGGGTGGCAGTGGGATGGCCACGTGCTTGTGTGTATGTGATATCGTGTATGTTTTGTGTGAGACAGCATATGTGTGGGAGAGACCTCGTGTGAGAGATGCTGTGTCAGAACTCTAAGACATTGTGTGTGAGAGTGTGTGTCAGATGCCATGTGTGAGACACCAAGACACGGGTATGTGATACTCTGTGTATATGTGAGTCTGTGTGAGAGACACTGATACTCCAAGACATTGTGTGTGTGTGACACTGTGAGACACCAAGACAGTATATGTGCGAGACAGCCTATGTATGTGACAGTGTGTGTGTGAGACACCATGAGAGACTGTGTATTTACTGTGAGAGACTGTGTGAGAGACACGTGTGAGACACTGTGTATATGACACTATGTATACGTGAGACTGTGAGACACTATGTGTATGTGACACTGTATATGTGTGAGACCGTATGAGACAGTGTATATGACACTGTATATGTGTGAGACTGTGTGTGTGAAACACTATATGACACTGTATATGTGTGACACTGTATATGACACTATATGTGGAGACTATGTGTGAGACACTATGTATATGTGACACTATGTATGTGTGTGACACTGTGAGAGACACTGTGAGACACCAAGACAGTATATGTATGAGACACCCTGTGTGTGTGACACAGCGTGTGACTGTGTGAGACGTGTGTGAGGCACTGAGACTGACACTGTGTGTGAGGCTGTGTGAGAGTCAGTGTGTGTGATAACTGTGTGTGTATCACCGTGTGTGTGTGTGAGAGAGGGAAGGAGAGAGAGGGAGGCAGGTCAGAGGGAGTCAGGTGTCCTTGGCGAGAGTGGCAGCAGCCTGCCTGGAGGGACCCTGGGATGGCCATTTCAGCACCTAAGGGGTAGCCTGCCCGGGTGAGTCTCCAGTCCACTGTGACTCAGTCATTGTGCCTGTGATCCCCACCCTCCATCTGCTTGCTTCCCCCCCATTTGTCTTCCCCAGCCCCCTCCGCCCCTCCCCAGAAGGTGATGTGTGTGAGCATGGGCTCCACCACGGTCCGGGTAAGTTGGGTCCCGCCGCCTGCCGACAGCCGCAACGGCGTTATCACCCAGTACTCCGTGGCCTACGAGGCGGTGGACGGCGAGGACCGCGGGCGGCATGTGGTGGATGGCATCAGCCGTGAGCACTCCAGCTGGGACCTGGTGGGCCTGGAGAAGTGGACGGAGTACCGGGTGTGGGTGCGGGCACACACAGACGTGGGCCCCGGCCCCGAGAGCAGCCCGGTGCTGGTGCGCACCGATGAGGACGGTAGGCAGTGCCACCGGGGCGGGAGGGGAGGCGTTCTGCCTCAGACACCACCCACCAAGCTCCCCAGGGCCTTCCTTTCCTGAACACAGGCCCAGGTCAACTCATCTTTCTGGTTCAGGTGTAATGGCCTAAAGTGGGGGGATGTCACTTACGGGATAACTGAGGCCCAAATCCCAGCCTTTGGGGCTGTCTCCAAAGCAGCTGAAACCTTCACAGGCTAAGATGGGAGAAGCAGCCCTGTCTAAGATTTGAAAGGTCAAGATTGGGCAGATTGGTGTAAAAGATACTCAAAGTAGAATCAGCAAGACTCCACGTTGGCTGGACATTGGCATGATTGGGGCCTAGGAGGAGTCAGGACAGGTTGTGCTGACTAGGGGTGGTCAAAGACCTGGTGCCCCACCTCCACCTGTTCCCCCATGTCGACCCTCCCCACCAAGTGAGAGGCCTGGGCCAGAGGGGTGGGCAGGGCCAGTCCTGGGCTCTTACCCGTGGCGGGCAGAGGGAGCCTTCCGTGTGCCTCACCAGGGACAGATGATCTAAGGAAACTGTATCAGGGCCTTTCCTGGGGGAGTGGGGTGCTGAGGCAGGACCCTCAAGTTTGCTGTGCCCACCTGAGCTAGGGTTGATACCTCCAGGCCTGACTTCCTTCTCTACCTGACCCCCCAGTGCCCAGCGGGCCTCCGCGGAAGGTGGAGGTGGAGCCACTGAACTCCACTGCTGTGCATGTCTACTGGAAGCTGCCTGTCCCCAGCAAGCAGCATGGCCAGATCCGCGGCTACCAGGTCACCTACGTGCGGCTGGAGAATGGCGAGCCCCGTGGACTCCCCATCATCCAAGACGTCATGCTAGCCGAGGCCCAGGTGCAGCATTGGGTGGTGGTGGGGTGGCAGGGTGAGCACAGACCAGCATGCACAAGCTCCCTTTTGGGGCCCAGATATGTCCCTCTTCCCCTGCCTGCCCTCAGCAGTGCTGTGACTGCCTTTCCTTGGTTGTGAGACCCGAGATGCTTTGCAGCATCAGGGGTTAGGCTGGGGTTTTTTGGGTGTGGGTTTTTTGTTTGTTTGTTTGTTTTGAGATAGAGCTTCACTCTTGTCGCCTAGGCTGGAGTGCCTCCTGGGTTCAAGCAATTCTCCTTCCTCAGCCTCCCGAGTAGCTGGGATTACAGGCGTCTGCCACTGCGCCTAGCCAATTTTCGTATTTTTAGTAGAGACAGGGTTTCACCATATTGGCCAGGCTGGTCTCGAACTCCTGACCTCAGGTGATCCGCCTGCCTCAGTCTCCCAGAGTGCTGAGAATACAGGTGTTAGCCACTGTGCCCCACCAGGTCGGGGTTTTGAGATGTGCCTTTCCCCTAGACAGTGCTGGGCTGGCATCCACTCTTCCCACAGAAAGGGTAGAGAGAGTGCTCCAGGGCTGTCTTACCCCACTGGCGGCCATGGGTCCGTGGTTGCTGCAAAGCTCTGTGAGTAGCCAAGTAGAGTGTTGCCCTGCTCCTGGCCCTGCAGGGAACGATTCAGCCCCTGATGTTCACCCTCAAGAGCTAGGCCTGCTGGCCAGCCTCACACCTCCCTCTGTGCACATCTGTCTTCCTGGGAGGATGGTCCTGCCCTTGAGCTTGGGGTGAGGTCCCTGGGGTATTCTGAACACTGGTTGCTATTCAGATGAAGAACTTGGAATGCTGGGGGGTTATGAGAGTGGTATGGAATTATTCAGCAAGTAGGTGGCTGCTGCGCTTGGATGAGAAGCCATGTCTGTGGACCCCTAGGAAAGGGCCACAGTTGCTGTCATGAGCCCCCTCCCAAAAGACCCTGCTGGAGAGTCACAACACCTGGTGTGGTGCTCTCAAGGTCTCCCTATCCAGGAGCAGGGCCTCCCCATTGAGCCTCTCACCTCTGCCTGGGTGGAGAGCAGGGGTGCGTGTACCACTCAATGCTGTACACACTGTGCAGAGGGGTGGGGTCACCCACACAGACAGGAGCCTTATTCCTCCAGCTGGGCTCAGCCATCTGAAGCAAAATTCTTTCTGCCCAGAGGGTGCTCTCTTCCCCCTCTCAGCCTGCCCAGTGCTAAGGCATCCGGGGTGGAGGAGGCAGGCATGTGCACCCACCTGCATTCCTGGGGCAGGTTGAGGGCTCCTTGTGGAGCCTCAGTGAACACACCTACCCAGAAACATCCCAGGAATGGGTTCCCCTAGCCCCTCCTCTCTGAGGGGGCCAGTGGCCACAGCTGTGGCCAGTGGGGTTCCAGAGAAGCCACTTCAAGTGCCCCCTTCTGGTCCCAAGAGGTTCGGAAGGGAGCTGGGCCAGAGGCTCAGGGACGCTGCCCATTTAGTCTCAGACATCCCATCATGGGGGCGGTAACTCGAGTCTGGGCTCCCGGAGGACACTGAAGATGGAGGCCTGCTCCGTAGCCCTCTCAGGACTGGGTCATTCTGTTCCTCGCCAGTGGGAGAGCAGTGGGGCCTGGTCCCGAGCGTGGCCACAGGGCCCAGCTGTCCCTGTGCTTCTGTCAAGGGCGGCACATTCTGTCCTTCACGCAACAGCACCATCCCCTCAGCTCATCCCCCATCATGCCTGAAGGAACTATGTGGTGCAGGTTCCCACCCCCAGCCTGGAAGTGTGGAGCCAGACCTGTCTCCTTTTACGTCAGATTCCATCTCCCTGCCTCCCTTTTTCCCCTCTCGTGGCCTGCATTTCTCTCTCCTTCTTGGAGTCTCTGTTTTTGTCTTGCTCTTTCTCTTCTCTCTCCTCCTTCCTTCCCTCCTCCCCCTGCCATTCCTCTGACCCCTTTCCTTCATCTCCATTTGGTTTCATCCTCCGTCCTTCCCTTCTTTCTTGCTCTGCCTCTAGCGCAGGACAGGGTCCATGTGATGTGAGAACCTCCACGCCAAGGCTTGGTTGGGACAGCCCAGGTCTCCCCGCAGGCAAGGAGACTGGAAGGGACGTGGGCCCAGCCACACCCTATAAAGTGGCCATGCACTAAGGACCTGTCCAGAGTCTCCTCTCATATTCTGTTCCATGCTTCTTGCAAGGACTTTCCAACAGAGTGTCCCAGGACAGGAGGAACTTAGGCCACCCAGCATGGAGGCCAGTGGACAGAGGCCAGACCGGCACTGTGGGGGTGCTTGGGCTGGAGGACCCCAGGTACTTCCGGCTTGGAGACATCCTGGACCATCTCCCTGTGATGTTTCATGGGGCCTCAGAATGGAGACCTCACAGTCCCTCCACCTGTCCATCTAGAATATCTACATGCACCAAAGGCCCGCAACACTGCCAGCCCCGAAACATTCCTTCCTACCTTAATCCTCAGACACCCCGAGGAAGGAACGGGTATAGGTGATTTCCCGTGCCTGTGGGCTACAGCCCAGGCTCTGAGCTTGGCACTCACAGCCTTCATAGTCTTGCTGACTGGCTTGCCCTTGGGCCCACCCTGGCCATGTGCCCTGTTCACCCCCAACTCTTACTGTTGTGGGACACTTCTCATGCCTGGGGTGATTGTGTAATGTATGATCACATCTGGGATGCTTTGGCGGGTGGAAGGAGACACTGAATAGTCAATTCCATGGCAACAAGCACAGGCCAGGACTGTCCGAGGCAAACCAGGGCATATGGGCACCCCATTCACCCCTCAGTGTCTTCCTTTCCCTTGGCCTGAGCTGTTGAACCCACCCTTCTTGTCTGGCAGCCTCTCCCTCCCAGCAAGCCCAAAATTGTCAGAGCATCTGTAGCTGCTTTGTGTTCTTAGGGCCTTCTGTCAGCGGGTCCTCTCCCTGCAGGCTGCCTGCCCTCCCTGTCTCCCTACCCTCCTCAGCCCTGGCACACCCAGTTGGTGCTCAGTGAGGCAGGGATTCAAATCTTTGAACCGGGAGTTGTTCTGGGGTGCTACCCCCATGGGTACTTTGAGGCCCAAAAGCCCTCCCTCTGTCCTCCCTGGGCAAGGTCCCTTCCAGGCCAGGCCCTCTCCAGGTCAGAGTCCTTCACCATCCTGTCTCCCTTTCTCTCCCTCTCCCGCGGTCAGTGGCGGCCAGAGGAGTCCGAGGACTATGTAAGTAACAGGTGTGCGAACGCGGACAAGACATGGGTCAAGCTGGGCTCGTGGGACGCTCCTCCTCTCCCTCCTTTCCTGCTAGCCTGCACTGCCAAGATCCACAGGGCTCTAGCCACATCAGGAGAAAATTGGCGTTTAGACACAAGCACTGAGCTGAGCAGCGATTGGCATTTCCTCTAATCCTTACTTCTTGCCTGTCGAGCAGCAATTTGAGGCCAGTGTTCATGATCGACCAGGGCCTGGCCCCTGCCCCGGCCAGACAGGGATGGAGTTAAATCCAATCCTGATCGTTAGGCCTTATTGATCCCTGGAGTGAAAAATCACCTGCTTTAGGGCCCAGGCTGGGAGGGCTGTCTGGAGAGTCGGATTCTGGCATTGGTGCATTCTGGAGCCCCAGCCCTGGGAGACCCTCCAGCTGTGGCAGGAGGGGTCCATGAGGGGGTGGTGGCAGCTGCAGGGGCCCCACTCAAGGCCAGAGCTGGAGGGATACCAGGGTTGATGACGGCTCTGTTCCCACTGCACGGTGGTCCCTGCCCTGCTTCCCACTCTTCTCTCTGTGTGGTGTGGCTTGACCTCCCATGGTGTTTCTCCGCATGTCCAGAGATGATGCCTTTGCTGCAGATGGGTATATGGGCAGGGTCTGCCAAGCGGGGAGGACATTGCCCTGGCTGCTGTCTCAGGCATCACTGAGAACAGATGTGGAAGCCAGTTCCCCAGGTGTGGAGGTTTTCTTATTCTCCTAGCCCCTCCCCTGCCTTTCTCAAGAGGTATTGCAGGGTATAGACATTCACAGAGTTAGTGGCCTATATGGGGGCAGCGGAGTCCTGACTGGGTCCTATAGGATGGCACCTTAGCCCATCCTGCCACCTTGCTCTGTCTGTGCATGCATGCACTGGTGTCCACAGGCAGCCTTACGCCTGCTTATGCAGGAGCTGTAGGCTGTGTGCGTGTGGCTGCCAAGAGCCACGCAAGGTGCTGGGTGCGTGCGAGGCTGTGCCCTGTTGATATCCTCAGTCTCCGTTCACAGCACAGTGGAGTGAGGGAAACAGTCTGGCCCTTTGTTCTTGTCTGAAAAGAATAATGAGCTGTCTGCCCCAGGCGTGCGGCTCCTGGGATGGGCGGGGTCCTCCCAGGCCTGCATCCTACCTGCCTGCTTCCTCTCCAGCAGAGGCCACCATTGTATAGCCCCACCTTCCACAACCCCTGGCCTTGTGTGCCCCGGGGCTCCCCTCAGGCTAGGGTCCTGAGGTCCCTGACAAGGTCTGGCCTCTCCCTGCATTCTTGTGATGGGAACGAACCCCTCCTCCTCCCTCAGGAAACCACTATCAGCGGCCTGACCCCGGAGACCACCTACTCCGTTACTGTTGCTGCCTATACCACCAAGGGGGATGGTGCCCGCAGCAAGCCCAAAATTGTCACTACAACAGGTGCAGGTGAGTGAGGGGTCAGGACGGACCTGAGGGTGGGGCAGCAGGAGGGCAGCGCCAGAGCCCAGCCCGTGGTCCTTCAGTCCCAGGCCGGCCCACCATGATGATCAGCACCACGGCCATGAACACTGCGCTGCTCCAGTGGCACCCACCCAAGGAACTGCCTGGCGAGCTGCTGGGCTACCGGCTGCAGTACTGCCGGGCCGACGAGGCGCGGCCCAACACCATAGATTTCGGCAAGGATGACCAGCACTTCACAGTCACCGGCCTGCACAAGGGGACCACCTACATCTTCCGGCTTGCTGCCAAGAACCGGGCTGGCTTGGGTGAGGAGTTCGAGAAGGAGATCAGGACCCCCGAGGACCTGCCCAGCGGCTTCCCCCAAAACCTGCATGTGACAGGACTGACCACGTCTACCACAGAACTGGCCTGGGACCCGCCAGTGCTGGCGGAGAGGAACGGGCGCATCATCAGCTACACCGTGGTGTTCCGAGACATCAACAGCCAACAGGAGCTGCAGAACATCACGACAGACACCCGCTTTACCCTTACTGGCCTCAAGCCAGACACCACTTACGACATCAAGGTCCGCGCATGGACCAGCAAAGGCTCTGGCCCACTCAGCCCCAGCATCCAGTCCCGGACCATGCCGGTGGAGCAAGGTGTGTGCTGTGGACATGGCATCCCTTCCCGAGTGTGGCTGCATCTGGGGGTCTCTGCTCTCCTTGAGCCACTGACCTCTGGCGACTGTGATCCACCAGCCTCTGGTGTGTGACCTCCAATCTCTCATGACTGTGACCACTAACCTCTAGTGAATGGGCACCACATTCTTGATGCCTGACCTCTGCTGTCCTTAACCTACTGACCTCTGCTGTATGACCTTCTGATCTCTTGTGACCTTGACCCACTGATCTCTTTTGACTGTGTCACTATTCTTGGGTGTGCAACCTCCTGATCTTTGGTGTGTGACACTAATCTCTTGGGGCCATGACCCACCGACCTCTAGTGAACATGCTCCACCACGCTCTGGTGTGTGGCCACATGCTTCTCATGACCGAAACCCACTGACCCTCTGATCACTCTGGCCTGGTGTCCATCGGCTCAAGCTTTTACACTCGCGTTTCTGGAGATTCTGACCCTGGTTGCTGTGGCATCCCCCGCCCTGTTTGGTGCTCACTGTGGAAGAGCTTGGGCTGGGAGTTCAACTGTGCCGTTTGAAGCTGGCTGGGAGTGGGGCGCTTGGTACTCTGCAGCCATCCTTCAACCCCCTGTTCCCCAACCAGTGTCTCATCCTGGCCATTCACCTTCCACCCTTCCAGCCCATTCACCCCACCTCATATACCCAGCAGAGCTGACTCTCTCTATGCCTTTGCAGTGTTTGCCAAGAACTTCCGGGTGGCGGCTGCAATGAAGACGTCTGTGCTGCTCAGCTGGGAGGTTCCCGACTCCTATAAGTCAGCTGTGCCCTTTAAGGTGAGTAAGGGCCACGGCCAGCTGAGCCTGGCACACACACAGGCCTGCTGGGTGCTGTCTTTCCAGTCCTAACCCATGTGCATCCGGCTGTGGAGCAGGAATGTGGTTGTGTATCCGTGCACTGTGCCTTGCAGCCCGTGGTAGGGAACCTCACCCAAAGGCATTGATTGCCCCTCCCGTCCCCCACAGATTCTGTACAATGGGCAGAGTGTGGAGGTGGACGGGCACTCGATGCGGAAGCTGATCGCAGACCTGCAGCCCAACACAGAGTACTCGTTTGTGCTGATGAACCGTGGCAGCAGCGCAGGGGGCCTGCAGCACCTGGTGTCCATCCGCACAGCCCCCGACCTCCTGCCTCACAAGCCGCTGCCTGCCTCTGCCTACATAGAGGACGGCCGCTTCGATCTCTCCATGCCCCATGTGCAAGACCCCTCGCTTGTCAGGTGTGCACACGAGGTATCGGGGGAGGCGGGGCAGGGCTGGAGGTAACCAGCAGTGACAGTCCTGATTCCTGCCCTGCCCACCCAGGTGGTTCTACATTGTTGTGGTGCCCATTGACCGTGTGGGCGGGAGCATGCTGACGCCAAGGTGGAGCACACCCGAGGAACTGGAGCTGGACGAGGTACCTGGGGAGGGGATGGGGACACTGACAGCCCCATTGCAGTGGTCAGCTGTGGCCTTCCTGCCCTGAGCACTGTCCCAGTGACTCTCAGATTCACTCCCCAAATTGAAATCTCTCTTCTGGCTGGCAGCCCGCCCCTCTCTGGAGAGAGGGACTCTGAGGAAACCATCTGGGAGTATTCACAGAACTCCCGGAGGGCTTACGAAGAATCCCTGGGGTGGGATGTCGTGGAGATGCCTCTGCAGGTCTAGAGAATGCCAAGCCCTGTAGACACTGCAGAGCCTCGCAGATCTAGAAGCTATGGAGGGCTTAGTGAGCCTTATAGCCAGGAGTCCCTGAATGTTTGAAATCCTTCAGTCCTTTCTCATAGCCAGTGTGGCAACAGCCTGGTTAGGGTGGGGCAGCTTACACACAGGGCTGCTTCTCATGGGCTGGTGGGGAGGAGTGGCTTCACGGTGTCTGTTACTCTGTAGGGGCAGTGGGTTGGGCAGGTGTGGGCTCTGACACGGAAGGTGAGCCTTGATCTCGGCCCAGGGAGCTGACATCCCAGGCCACAGCCTCAGGGCTGGCCGGCATGCTCCAAGGCCCCTCATGACCCCCATGCTCTGCTCTGCCAGCTTCTAGAAGCCATCGAGCAAGGCGGAGAGGAGCAGCGGCGGCGGCGGCGGCAGGCAGAACGTCTGAAGCCATATGTGGCTGCTCAACTGGATGTGCTCCCGGAGACCTTTACCTTGGGGGACAAGAAGAACTACCGGGGCTTCTACAACCGGCCCCTGTCTCCGGACTTGAGCTACCAGTGCTTTGTGCTTGCCTCCTTGAAGGAACCCATGGACCAGGTCTGCCTGAGCCGGCTTGGCTGTCAGCACCCTGATTCCCTGGGCCTGGCCTGAGACGATGCCAGTCTCAAACACCACAAGACCCCAGGTCTTTATCAGTTTGGGGGCTTCGAGATCCTGGGGCAGCACTAAAGACCCAAGATCTGTCCCGGGGATCCTAAGACGCGGCCCTGGGACCCAGAGGCCAGACCTAATGTGGCTCCAGGGACCCAGTCCTGCCAGGTCCACCTTGTAGGGTCTGGGAGACCAGGCCCAGGGTAACCCAGACCCAGAGCCCTTTCTCCAGGATTAATAGGCAGAGGGTGGGGGGTTCTCACGCTGAGCTCACAGCCTGCTGTTCTCCACCGGGCCACAGAAGCGCTATGCCTCCAGCCCCTACTCGGATGAGATCGTGGTCCAGGTGACACCAGCCCAGCAGCAGGAGGAGCCGGAGATGCTGTGGGTGACGGGTCCCGTGCTGGCAGTCATCCTCATCATCCTCATTGTCATCGCCATCCTCTTGTTCAAAAGGTGAGCACTGCCCTCAGAGCTCCGGGAACGGCCACCTGCCCCTCGCCTTTCAGGCCCTCTCCGGGTGTGGTGCCTGTGGAGAGCGTGCAGCCTTGCATCCTGGACCCTGAGCCTCAGGCTCAGCAGGAAGGCAGGAAGGGCAGGAGCAGTGTGTGTGCCTACCTGTGTCTGCAGGCCTGCATCTGTCAGGTGAGGGAGCCTCTGCAGCAGCCTGGGCGTGAGGAACTAAAGCCTCAGAGGGTTGTCTCATGTGCATCCCTGGCACGTCTGTCTGTCTCTGTGTTTCTGTGGATAAGAGTGCGTCTGTCTCCTCTTCAGTTTTAAGACACCGCCATCTCCTGAGCTCCTACCTCGAGTCCTTTCCTTCTGCCACCATTCCTGGATGATTCCCCAGCCCTACTCTCCTGCTTAGGCCTAGAGAGGTCGAGCTGGAGGCCCACAGGCCATGGATGCTCACTAACAGACATGACTGATGGCCTGCTGTGCCCGTGCCATCCGCAGCGGCCTCAGCCTCAGTGTGTCTTTCCCACTCAGTTCTCTATCGGCAGTGGCCACCACCTGCCCTAGGAGTCTCCCTTCCTATCCGTGCACCTTCCAGCCTGAAAGGGATTTCCAAAGATTTAACTTTGTCACTCTCAGTTTAAAACCTTTTGATGGCTGCCCACGTAAAGCCCACCCTCTTTAGCCTGACAGCCAAACACCTGGCTAATCTGACCCCTGCCACACTCCTGACATTGCGACACTGAACTCATTCAGTGTTCAGGCCCACACAGGGTGTGCCCTCTGCGGATCTCCCTCCCCCTGCCCACTTGGCAACAGCAATCTCATCGTTCAGGACTCAAGTCCATGCTCTGGTGCCTGCAAGGCCTTGCCTGGCCCCTACCCCTTCCTTGCACAGCTGTCCCCTGTGATGCTCCACTGCAAACGCAGCTGGGCCTGTGTGCCAAGCCTTCAGCCCCCAGCACTGGGCTGAGCCCACAGGCATGTCAGTGAGCACCTGGCAGATGAAGATATGCTAGTCTGTGTGTCTGAGCACATCTCTGCACCATGCAGGAGAGCCTGTATCCTGTGTGCCTACCCTGGACCCACTGTTCCTTCCTAAAGAGTCCACTCCTTCCTCCCAGGGTGGATGGACCTGTGGGCGGGTCCCTAAGGAGTGTCCCACAGATGCACTCATCCTTCCCACTTCCACCTGCATTCTGGGTCTGTCCAGAGAGGTAGACCCCCTCCCTGTGAATGTCATGTGGGTGCCATATAAGGGGCCTGCAGGGTCCCCATGTCATTAGAGGGCTGAGTGCTTGGTGGAAACTGTGACCGTTCCTTTCTTCTGTCCTTGCTTGTCTTTCGGGACCTAGTAAACAAGAAAGGTAGGAGTTGTTCCTTCTCTCTTCACACACCTCCCCCTCTACTTCTAATCCTTGGGCCAGCAGGGAGGGATGACGCTTTGACCAGAAGTCCCCTGGCCTATGGCTTTAAGCAGCAAACTGTCCAGTCAGCTCAGCAGGCTCCCTGGTTCAGGACTGAGTCCTCATTGGTGTGAGGAGGCAGTTTCTGTCTCACTCTTGCCAGTTCAACTCTGCAGAGGATGCTTCTTCTCTGGGGCACATACATAATACAGACTGCATTGCTTTCCCTGAGCGTACAGAGCTCACCAGAACCATCACCCGGCTCCCAGTTCTCTGAGAAGTTGCCTAAGTGCTGCGAGAGACAGTCTCGCACAGAGCAAAGAGCAGTCACTGTGTGGAACAGCAGAGAGGCATGTCCTTGTACCCACCTGAGCACACTCACTCAAATTCTTCTTTCCGAAGCACATGCGTCTGCAGACCACAAGTAGCCTCTGGCTATTTGTTGGCAGCTGAATCCTATGGTCTGTCTCTGACCCTGTCCTTGTAGATGGGAAAACTGAGGCCAGTGAGAGAGGACTCTGCCCAGCTAGGGTGACGCCTTTCCCGTCCCTCCCCTGCTGCCCTGGGCATTTACCCTGATACTCTGAGGGCCAAAAAGCTGGGGCCCTGTCTCCTGTGCTGTTTGTGTATTTTATGTGTCATTTGCATGTTTGTTCCCGGTGGTTCCTGCTACTCAGCTGGGTGGCCTTGGAGATAGCAGTCACTGTCCTGCAGTGACCTGCCTTCTATCCAAAGGAGCTGCTCGCCCCTGCAACCCCTTCCTCCCTGCTGCACTGCCCCTCTGCTCACGCCACACTCCTGCTCTCCCTACCCCCTCCCTGCCCTGTGTTCTCTCATGTCAAGGCTGTTCTGGCCCTGGCTCCTCCGCGCTCAGAGATCCTGGGAAGAGGTGGGGCAGTAGGAGGACAGAGCCGTGGACATGGGGGCTCCTTGGCAGCCAGCCATGCCATGTGTCACTGTCTCAGCCTGGACCTCAGGTTCTCACCAGCCTCCCTTCTGTCTCTCTAGGAAAAGGACCCACTCTCCGTCCTCTAAGGATGAGCAGTCGATCGGACTGAAGGACTCCTTGCTGGCCCACTCCTCTGACCCTGTGGAGATGCGGAGGCTCAACTACCAGACCCCAGGTAGGGCACTCCTATGGCCTGTGTGCCCCCAGCCCAGACCTAGCAGGCCTGTGGGTCTGTTCTGCAGGTCTCAGGGTCGCCACTGAAGTTCCTGGGCCGCATGCACTTGTTCCTGCTCCTTTTCTTCCTTTCTGCCCTTCTCCCTGTGCTCATCCACTTTGGTTGGAATGACTGGGGAGCCCCCATATCCTGCAGCTGGACAGGTGCCCCAGGCCAGGACCCTCTTAGGTGGCAAAGCCACTTAGCCACTGCCTTGTCTTCAGTCAAGGCCTCTGAATATGGGCTGAGGACCTCCCAGAGCCCACGTCTCTGCCACAGGGTGGCCAGTGTCTGGCGCACGCTCTGACGCCTCCACATGAAAGAGGGGCATGTTAGCAGTGGGAGATGCCTCACCAGACATCTGTGGGGAGATGAAGTGCCTGCACCTGAGCCTTCCTGGAGGCCGACCCCAGGTTTACCATACCACGTACCTGCCCCTTCTCCTAGCCACTCTCATGGGGCTGTCCACCTCTTCCTTCTACCTGAAATGTTACTCCTCCCAACACCCAGCAGACACAGCTCAGACCTCTCCTCTTGCCCACACCCCCACAGGGTTAGGTGTCTCTTCTTGGCTCCAGGAACCTCCCTCCTTCTTCCTTTTGACGCCTCTCACAGTGAGCTGGGATTACCTCAGTGACAGTCTCTGAGCTCTGTGGTGCCAGGAACTGTGTCTTGTCATCCCCCATCCCTTGTATTCAGCGCACGATGGGTTCTTGTTGAATGCCTGTGAAATGAACACACAGACAAATGAAGGAATGAGTGAACTAATGCATACACACAGGGTTTGTGTATGTATGAGCTGGTTATTCTGCATGTCAAATTACCCCAAAACTTAGTGGCTTAAAACAACAATAATTATGTATTATCTGTCACAGTTTTTGTGAGGCAGGAATTCAGACAGGGGCACAGCAGGAACAGCTTGTCTTTATTCCAGAAAGTCTGGGCCCTCAGCCGGAAGACTTGAAGGCTGGGAGCTAGAGTCATTTAAAGCAGGGGTTGGCAGACTATGGCCCGTGGCCAAGTACAGCCCACCACCTGTTTTTGTAAATAAATTTTTACTGGCTGGGCGTGGTGGCTCATGCCTGTGATCCCAGCACTTTGGGAGGCTGAGCCGGGTGGATCACCTGAGGTCAGGAGTTCGAGACCAGCTAATGAAATCCCATCTCTACTAAAAGTACAAAAATTAGCCAGGTGTGTGGCCCCTGTCATCCCAGCTACTCAGGAGGCTGAGGCAGGAGAATCACTTGAACCCAGGAGGTAGAGGTTGCGTGAGCCAAGATCGTACCATCGCATTCCAGCCTGGGTGACAAGAGCAAAACCCCATCTCAAAAATAAACAAATAAATAAAATTCTACTGGAACAGACACACCCATTTATTTATATGCTACCTACCTATGGTTGCTTTTGCACTGTAAAGGCACCATTAAATAGATGCAGTAGATACCAGATGTCCACAAAGCCTAAACTATTTACGCTCTGGCCTGTTATGGATACCAAGTTTGCCAACCCCTGGACTCTAAAGCCTCTTTCATCCATGTGACTGGTGGTTGATGAGCCAGCTCTGAGCCTTGCTGTGGCTGTCAGCTGGGACACCCAACATGAGGCTTCTTCAGGTGGCCTGGGCTTCCTCACAACATGGTGACTGAGTTTCATGAGCATGTGTCTGGAGAGTGTGCCAGGCAGACCTAGCAGGCTGTTGCAACCCAGCATGATTAGATCTCTGAAGAATCAAGCACCAGGATGCTGGGACCTGGAGTGCAGAGAAGCCTCTTCGGGGATGGGATGCTGAGCCATGTGGTTATTGGTCTGGAAAAGAAGGATGGGAGAGAGCTCCTCAGTGGAAGCATGTGCAGAAGCTTGGGCAGATTGCATGTGCGTCAAATTATGAGCACCTGAGGGTTTCTGCAGCATGAGAGTTAGGGGCTTGGGGAATACTGAGCCAAGAGAAGACTGGAGGGCTAGGCAGAGGTCCAGTCAAAAGGACCTTGAATGTCAGGCTAAGGGGCTTAGACTTCCTCTTCAGGATGCCAGGGAGGTAGGTATTAAAGGTTTTCAGCGGGGGAGCCAGGTGGTCAGAACCATGCTTTAGAAATGTCACTCTGGCTCCTTGAGGAGACTGGATTAGAGAGGAGAAATTGAGGCAGGGAGACCATTTAAAAGGCCAGCAACCAAGTGAAAGGTGGCAGTGGGAACAGAGGGGACAGACTTGGGAAACGTGAAGGAGGTGAGGACAGCAGAGTCCGGGCTTAAGCCCACTTGGGGAGAGGTAAGGGTGGCTCTGCAGTTGCTGGCTGAATGAGCAGGGGGTAGGGGTGTCCTGGGGCTGGTGGGTCTGTGGGTCTGAGGACTTCTGAGCTGACATCAGGGCTGAAGCCCTGTGGGAGGGGCCAAGGAGCATGTGGTAGTCAAAGCCTGAGAATAGATGGGCTCTCCCAGGGTGAGGGCCAGAAGGAGACCGGGACCAAAAAGCCCAGGGCAGGGAAGGTGGTGCAGCATTAAGGAAAGATGGATGGAGAGCAGCTAGGGAGATTGAGAAGGAGCAGCCACAGCCAGACGAGAGCAGGAGCGCAGTGTCCCTGATGCCAGGGTTGGGGGAGTTGTGCAAGGGACGAGAGGACTTAATGAGGTAGGGCAGTGGGGACACCCAGTGGGAGGACCGTTGGCTTTGGCAGATGGGGCCTTGAAGAGAGGGTGGTGGCCACGTCCTGTGGGCAGAAGTGTTGCAGTGAGCAGCGTGGCAAGTGGGGGCTGAGAAAGTGGAGAAACCCCTTTCAAAGATCCTGGGAAGATACCTGGGAAGGAGGCAATGAGCAGGGCACAGTGGGAGAGTAGAGGGTGTGGGATCTGAGAAGGAGGGCTCTTTTTTCCAACGTGGAAATCATCTGAAAATCGCCAAGGGCAAATTTTGGTATCAAAAGGGGCAGGGCTGGTTTGGACTTAAGTATTTAGTCATAGAGCCCCCCAAGGCTGCCGAGCCACCAGGGTTTAGAAGTGCTCGCCTCTGGGGGTGGGACACCCAGTCTGTATTAACTGGGAGACAGAAGGAGCCTTGACGGAACTTGTCCGCAGCCCCAGCCCCTCACCGCCCCCTCCTCTTCTCCGCCAGCCCCTCGCAAGCCCGCTCGGCACCTCCACTGTGTGTGATGGTGCTGTAAGCAGAAAAAGTTAACGGGCTTTCTTTTCTTGCCCCGTTGTTTTTTTCGTTTGTTTGTTTGTTTTTTTCTCTGCAGGTTCCAGTGTCCCCAGTTGCCCGAATACCTCAAGTTAGTTTTCAAAGTTCCCGTGTTTGGGGGATACTTTGGCTTCTGTGTCTGTTTCCACTCCTTACTTTTGTTTACCCCATCGCCTCCATCCTTCCTTGAATTCTTCTCTCCCCTTCCCTTTCTTCTCCCCCAATCCCACTGTCTCCTAACCTTTTTCCTTCCCTACCCTCCCCTCTGCCCACCTTGCTTCCTCCAGGCCTGTTTTCTCTCCCACCGGCCCCGTCTCTGTTCTGCCTCTCTGGCCTCCAGTCCCGGCCTGACACCCTTCCTTCTGCGTGCCTCTACCTCTCATCTCCTCTCCTCTGTCTCACACCCCCCTCCTGGTCTCTGCTTCTCTCTCTATTGTGTCTGTACTTCATGACCACTCCATCTACACACTTGGTGCCCGGGATGACGATGGCTGTGAGTCTCCCATGGTGACTGCCACCGGTGAGGGGCAGGAGGGCTGTCTGCAGGCAGATGCGATGGAGCCCAGCTCCTGTCACGTCTGCTGCCACCGACCTGGGCGTCCCACCCCTCCTGGGAGGAAGGAAGCCTCTCTTCCATCTTGAGAGACCTGCCAGGCAGGGCCTAGTGCCCCCACTCAGCACCCCGCCACCAAAACAGGCTCCACATGCTCATGGCACAACACCGCCCTCTGTCCTCTCCCACCCTCCGCCATCCCTGTCGCCGCATGTGCTGCTGTCTCCATGCCACCAGTTCCAAGTGCTCCATGGTCACACATGTTCACATGTGCACATACATGCGTTGGGGCTTTCTCTGCCACACTGCTCAAGCCTCACACTAATGCTGCCTGTGTATGCCCTACCTCCCCTAGGTATGCGAGACCACCCACCCATCCCCATCACCGACCTGGCGGACAACATCGAGCGCCTCAAAGCCAACGATGGCCTCAAGTTCTCCCAGGAGTATGAGGTGAGATGTTCCCGCCCCCTACCATGTGCCTGGCCCAGGCCTACCCAAACCAGCTCCTGTCCTGTCCTAGGTCCCAGCTGTGGTGGGTGAGGAAGCAGGGGTCCAGCTTTTTCAGGAGCACAGAGAGGAGGGTTGGCAGTGGTAAGGGTCAGCTGGGAACCGGGTGCCTCAGATGCTGGGTCTGGCCATAGCCTGGCCCAGCACCTTCTTGGGGTCACCCTTAGGAGATGGTTTCAAAAGGCTGTGAGTGACACCAGGGTCTGGACACTCAGACACGTGCTCAAGTGCTCACAGGCAGACACAAGGCCACAGGCATACAGACATAGATCAGTGATAACAGCCACAGTAGCTGGCATCTATCAAGAGCATCCTGCAGGCCAGCACCGGTCTGGGCACTTGGCATGCATTATCTCTTTTGGTTCCCCCACAGTCTTCAGAAATGGGGACTGTTATTATCCCATCTTCCAGGTGAGGAAGCGGGGGCTCAGAGAGGGGAAGTGACTTGCCCAAGTCAAACAGCTGATGAGTAGTGGAGCCAGGATTCAAACCCAGGCCTGCCTGCTGCCCTGTGCTCTGCACATGCATGTGCTCACGTGTGTACTCCGATGCCACAGCTCACGGGGAGTCGGGGCCTCGAGACTGGCTGCTCAGGCTGTACAAGTCCCGCTTGGAGCCCTCCACACGTTCATCTTGTTCTGGACTTAACTCCTAGGAGCCTGCTGGGGGCTGAGCCTTCAAGAGTCTGAGGGTTTCCCACCCACAGATGGTGTCGGGGTGACTCTGAGCATCCCCAGGCTGCCCATCTAGGAAGGGGATTTGTTAGAGAAGGAGGTGATTTAAAGACAAGACTCCTGGCCAGGCGCAGTCGCTCACGCCTGTAATCCCAGCACTTTGGGAGGCCGAGGCGGGTGGATCACCTGAGGTCGAGAGTTTGAGACCAGCCTGGCCACCGTGGCGAAACTGCATCTCTACTATAAATACAAAAATTAGCCAGCTGTGGTGGCACATGCCTGTAGTCCCAGCTATTTGTGAGGGCTGAGGCAGGAGAATCGTTTGAACCCGGGAGGCGGAGGTTGCGTTGAGCCAAGGTCATGCCATTGCGCTCCAGCCTGGGTGACAGAGTGAGACTCCCTCTCAAAAAATATAAAATAAAAAAAACTCTTAAAAAAGAGTATTTTTACTTAAAAAAGAGAGAGAGAGACCTCCTCCTCTTCCACCTCCTCCAAGCAGCAGCCTGTGCTTGTCGTTCTGCCTTGTCCACAGCTGTTTCCTCAGCACCTGGCACTGGCCTCAGTAGATGGTTGGTGGACAGGCAATTGAGGGGTTGGCTGAGCCTAACCTGTGAGTTTGCGCCCCTTCTGATGTCCACCCTCAGCTGTGTTTGGGGGATGCATCCTAGGGCTCAAAGATTGCCTTTCCCAAGGGCTGTGGGCCAGGTTTCTGAAGAGAAAGCTGGGCTTGGCAGGCAAATGGATGAGTATGTCTGCGGCACAGCAACCGTGCTGCCTCTGCCTATAGGGCCCCCCTGGGGCCCTGCTCCACACAAGGCTGGGCTTTGGGTCACGGAGCCCGTAAGGTGGGCTCCCTGCCTCCCATGGCCTCCACCCACACTCATCTGTACCATGTCCTACACCTGCCCTTCCTTCCAGCGCAGCCCTGCTTCCCCATCTGGGCTCGTGGGGCCTCTGTTCACAGTAGTCCCCTTCCATCTTCTACCTGCTTCCCTCCTCTGATCAGAGCTTTCCTTACAAGACCCTCCTCCTCCAGGAAGCCTTCTCAGGCTCCCCAAGGCTGCCGTGGGCTCTCCCTCAGCCAGGACCCCATAGCTCTGTTGTCTTTTTTTTTTTTTTTTTTTTTTTTTTTTTTCTTTTTTGGAAGTCTCGCTCCGTCATCCAGGCTGGAGTGCAGTGGCGTGATCTCGGCTCAGTGCAAGCTCTGCCTCCTGGGTTCACGCCATTCTCCTGCCTCAGCCTCCCGAGTAGCTGGGACTACAGGTGCCCGCTACCACACCCGGCTAATTTTTTTTATTTTTAGTAGAGATGGGGTTTCACCGTGTTAGCCAGGATGGTCTCGATCTCCTGACCTCGTGATCCGCCCACCTTGGCCTCCCAAGTGCTGGGATTACAGGCGTGAGCCACTGCACCAGGCCTGCTCTGTTGTCTTTAACGTTCAGTCAGTCATTGATCACACATTTTCCATGTGCCAGTCCCCGTGCTGGGGATGTGGAGACACATGCCCTCAGGGAACCCAGTCGTGGGGAGCATGTGCAGACAGATAATCAGCATTGAATATGTGACTCTGACAGCATGCCCTGGTGTTGAATAGTACCGACAGGCGTGCAAAAGGTGGGCTGACAGCACCAGAGCAGCCTGAGGTGTGGGGTGTGCTGCGGGGTCTCACGGAAGCAGTGACGCGGTCCTGTGGAGAGTAATGAGGCTGGGGACAACATATGGAGGACATTGCGTGCTATGCTGAGAACTTCAGATAGTATCCATCTGGAAAATGTGAAGATAATAATGGAACCTATCTCGTATGAGAATTTGAGGAGGGAATACATGCAAAGTGCTCACAGCGGTGCCAGGCACACTGTGGGTCCTCACTAACGCTTCGCTATTATCATTATTGCTCTCCGAGGTGAAGAAGAGCCACAGAAGGCCTTTAAGCAGGAAATTGATATTCACATCTGCATTTTGGAAGGATTATTCTGGCTGTGGGGCTGAGTGGGTCAGAGTGGGACAAGAGGAAAGAGGCAGGAAGAGGCTGAGCCTCAATTGGGGTGGCCTGGCCCAGGGCAGTGGCAGCAGGTTGGAGAGAGCTGAGGGGGTGGGGGAGCACCAGAACCTGGTGACTGGCAGGGCGGGGTTGGTGGAGGCCGGAGGAATTTTGAGCTTGACTTCTAGGTTCTGGCCTGGCACTGAGGGGTGAGGGTGCCTTTCGCTAAGGTGTAGTCCCAGCAGCAGCGCCAGGTTTGGAGGGGAAGCTGATGAACTCAGCTTTGAAAGGACTGCGGTTGAAGGACCTCCCGGTGGAGGTGTCAGAGAGGCTGCTGGGTACTCGGGGAAGAGCTCTGTGCTGCTGCTGAGGTTATGGGCAGCTCCAGCATGTGGTGTAAGAATCAGGTGAGCAAATGAGGTCACCCAGGAAAGGTTGTAGAGAGAGAAGAGGGCCTAGAAGGAACCCTGGAGGAGCTCTGCGTCCTGCCCACGGGAAGGGCAGGGGAGAGAGAGGAAACAGAGAAGGAGCAGCTGAAAGGAAGAGAGCCGAGCAGGGAGGGATCCTGGACTACCTGAGAGGGGCCACCATCCCTTCCATCTGTCCTGGCTCATTTCATTAGGTGAATGCAGGGCTTCGGGAGGGACTCTGGGTGTTCAGAGCCCTCAGCAGTTTCGGGACTGCCTGAGAGGGGGCCACCACCTGTCCTAGCTCATTTCATTAGGTGAGTGCAGGGCTTCGAGAGACCCTTCACCTGCCCCATCCCAGCTCAGACCACTCTACCAGGCAAGGGGATTTGGTACCATGGTCAGAGGAGTCCCCAGTCCATCACTTTTCTGATAGGTGATGTGGCAACCTGTGAGCTCCATGGCTGGCACCACGAGATAGAGGGCCTGGCTGTGGCCTGTGGAGTGAAGGCAGGATGTGAGCATCACCGGGAAGGCTGGGTCCCCTGCAGGAGAAGCAGGTCAACCTTGGCTCTTACCCCACCCCACCCGCTTTCTCCATTCTCTGCAGTCCATCGACCCTGGACAGCAGTTCACGTGGGAGAATTCAAACCTGGAGGTGAACAAGCCCAAGAACCGCTATGCGAATGTCATCGCCTACGACCACTCTCGAGTCATCCTTACCTCTATCGATGGTGAGCCAAGGGGGTGCCCCTCCCATCCCCTTGCTCTCCCCCTTGCTAGCTAGGGCAACATGTCATTCTACAGAGGATGTCCACGAGTCTCAGGGGTGCACTGAGGCATGGTGGGCTGGGCTGGGGACCCTGTAGTAATGCCCTCCCACCTCCTTTCTTATCCATAGGCGTCCCCGGGAGTGACTACATCAATGCCAACTACATCGATGGCTACCGCAAGCAGAATGCCTACATCGCCACGCAGGGCCCCCTGCCCGAGACCATGGGTGATTTCTGGAGGATGGTGTGGGAACAGCGCACGGCCACTGTGGTCATGATGACACGGCTGGAGGAGAAGTCCCGGGTGAGGCTGCAGGGCCCTGCCAGGAGGCGGGTGGGAAATGCCCAGCCACAAGGTGATACAGGGCACCTTCTTCTGTGCCGCTTTCTTCTGTGGAGGAAGTCGCTCAAGTGATCCCCAGATGCTATTGTTACTGGGGGTATTATGCTCCCCAAATACTGGGTGTTTCTGGGATACAGCATGTTCCCCACATGCTAGTGGGTTCCTTAAGATGTTAATATGTTTCACCAAATGCTGTCATTTTCGGAGAATGTTAATGTGTTCCCCAGTTGCTGGCGTGTTCCCGGGGTATTCATGTGTTCCCCAGATGCTGGAGTGTTCCTGGGGCATTAACACATCTCCTAAGTTAATTAGTGGAAAGAGCTGCTGTTATCTGTTTTTGGACTGCAAAGCATTGACTGGAACGTAAAATTTACAGAGCTTGAAAATGGCACATAAACGTTATGGGTAAATTTGGCAGAAAATGTGCCTGGTGCGATCTGGCGTTGAATAAATAATTTTCAATTATGACCCTTATTCCACTAGCTAGGGCAGGGCGGTGACATAGCTTGAGGACCTGATGTGGCTTGTGGAGGACAGGGGGCAATGGATCTGAGAGCTCAGGGCTGGGGGGCTTTGTAGCCAGAAAGGCTACAGCCAGGGAGTTGACCAGCCTCCACCCTGCTTCTGCCCGTCTGAGCCTGTGGGCTTCCTTCAGCCTGCCCTGCTCATCCTCCTGCAGGTAAAATGTGATCAGTACTGGCCAGCCCGTGGCACCGAGACCTGTGGCCTTATTCAGGTGACCCTGTTGGACACAGTGGAGCTGGCCACATACACTGTGCGCACCTTCGCACTCCACAAGGTATAGCCTTTCCCCAGTGCATATCTCTTACCCAGACACTGTAAGGACAGTGGCCTGGGTGTGGTGTGCTGGGTCGGGGGGAAGCTGGAGCCTGGGTGTTGGAGGGTCGGAGGCTCAGGTGTGTGAGTGATGTGATGATCCATGTTATGGGAACAGTGCTAGGAGCTTCAGGCTACTCTGTGTGGCTTCTGAGTCCCATGGGGAAGTGGCGGGTATGGCCTCAGCATCAGGTCATTCAGTCCTGAGTCTATGGCAGGTAGGCTCCTAGTCGCCAGTATGTCCCCACTTTGTCCCCCAGAGTGGCTCCAGTGAGAAGCGCGAGCTGCGTCAGTTTCAGTTCATGGCCTGGCCAGACCATGGAGTTCCTGAGTACCCAACTCCCATCCTGGCCTTCCTACGACGGGTCAAGGCCTGCAACCCCCTAGACGCAGGGCCCATGGTGGTGCACTGCAGGTGAGAGGGTACAGTGCCACCCAGAGGGGTGGGTGGGGTGGGAGGTGGGGGCGCCTGTGCCTCAAGCTGAGCCCGTGTCCTGCAGCGCGGGCGTGGGCCGCACCGGCTGCTTCATCGTGATTGATGCCATGTTGGAGCGGATGAAGCACGAGAAGACGGTGGACATCTATGGCCACGTGACCTGCATGCGATCACAGAGGAACTACATGGTGCAGACGGAGGACCAGTACGTGTTCATCCATGAGGCGCTGCTGGAGGCTGCCACGTGCGGCCACACAGAGGTGCCTGCCCGCAACCTGTATGCCCACATCCAGAAGCTGGGCCAAGTGCCTCCAGGGGAGAGTGTGACCGCCATGGAGCTCGAGTTCAAGGTGGGGCTCGGGTGGGCCTGCTTGGCTCCAGGGCCTAGACTGGGTCATGCAGATGACCCCCACCCCCACAGGAAGCCTGGCCTGACCAATCCCTGCCTCTCAATAGTTGCTGGCCAGCTCCAAGGCCCACACGTCCCGCTTCATCAGCGCCAACCTGCCCTGCAACAAGTTCAAGAACCGGCTGGTGAACATCATGCCCTACGAATTGACCCGTGTGTGTCTGCAGCCCATCCGTGGTGTGGAGGGCTCTGACTACATCAATGCCAGCTTCCTGGATGGTTATAGGTCAGCATGCATGTCACTGCCCCACCATGCCCTACAGGGGCCTAGGCCTGTGCCTGGCTGGTGGGGGTGGGCAGCAGAGTAGGGCCAGCCTAGAAGACCAGAGAGGGCTGGGTAGAGCAGTGAGGACTTCCTGGAGGAGGGGTGATCTGAGCAGGGCCCCAAGGGGCTAGGCAGCCTAAGGGGAGACTCTAGGGGCAGCAGCACCTCCAGCATGTCCAGTCTTATGTCCACCCCAGACAGCAGAAGGCCTACATAGCTACACAGGGGCCTCTGGCAGAGAGCACCGAGGACTTCTGGCGCATGCTATGGGAGCACAATTCCACCATCATCGTCATGCTGACCAAGCTTCGGGAGATGGGCAGGGTGAGCCCACCCTTTCCCCCAGGGCCCCTGTCATACCTGGGAGAACACCAGCCACCCTTGGGGGAGCTGCCGCCTATGTTACTGTCTCCTTTGACACCCCAGCTGCTTGTCAGCATGGCCTCAGGCGCCCGTTATTACTACCTGAGGCATCTGTCCCAGAATCCTGTGAAGCCTGGCACCCCTCCCCTATTCCTTCTCACCTGATTATGGGGGCCCGACCCTCTGTCCACAGGAGAAATGCCACCAGTACTGGCCAGCAGAGCGCTCTGCTCGCTACCAGTACTTTGTTGTTGACCCGATGGCTGAGTACAACATGCCCCAGTATATCCTGCGTGAGTTCAAGGTCACGGATGCCCGGGTGAGTGAGTGCATTGAGTGTGTCCATAACGCTGCCTGTCCACACGCTGGGTGGATGGCTGCCTGCATGGTACCTTAGCTCAAGCTTCAGAAATCTGAGGCGGTGGGTGGGTATTAGGGTGTGAGCACATCTCCCCCTGTGGCCTCGGGTGCAGTGACACAGATGCATGCCTGTATCATGGTACTACCCTGGTCTAGTCCAGAGGGGTGGCTGCCTAAGGCACGAATTCTAATCATGTACCCCACCCACCTTTCCCAGGATGGGCAGTCAAGGACAATCCGGCAGTTCCAGTTCACAGACTGGCCAGAGCAGGGCGTGCCCAAGACAGGCGAGGGATTCATTGACTTCATCGGGCAGGTGCATAAGACCAAGGAGCAGTTTGGACAGGATGGGCCTATCACGGTGCACTGCAGGTGGGACTGGCCCCCTGGAGGGCTGGGGTGGGTGGGCCTGAAGGCCTGGCAGACCCACTGCATGAGGCAAGCAGGACTCCTGACCCAACTGTGTTTCTGAGCAGTGCTGGCGTGGGCCGCACCGGGGTGTTCATCACTCTGAGCATCGTCCTGGAGCGCATGCGCTACGAGGGCGTGGTCGACATGTTTCAGACCGTGAAGACCCTGCGTACACAGCGTCCTGCCATGGTGCAGACAGAGGTAACGCAGACCAGGCTGCAGGGCCAGGGCCTTGGCAGCAGCGCTGCTGGGAACCCTAGGCTTTAGCAACAGTTTGATGCCCACAGGCATGTGCATTCATTCATGCTGCCAACCTTTCACGTGGCCTGCGATAGGCATGGTGGTGTGTGCTTATGGTCCTACCTACTTGGGAGGTTGATGTGGGAGAATCACTTGAGGTCAGAAGTTCGAGGCTGCAGTGAGCTATGATTATACCACGGCACTCCAGCCTGGGTGGCAGAGCAAGACCCTGTTGCTGAAAACAAAACAAAACAAAACAAAAATGCTGCAACATTGCCTGTGCTGCCTGGGGGCTCAGGGGATTGATGAGTAAGATGTGTTCTTTCATTCGGCAGCTCTCTGCTGAGCCCCAGTGGTGTGCCTGGCTCTGGGCAAGGTTGCACAGAGCAATCCTTATGGGGTGCCCAGTCAGGAGCAGAGAAACATGATTGGGATGGCAGATGGAAGGCAGGTAGATGTGGGGGCCTGAGAGAATGACAGGAGAGAGATGAGCCTTCAGAGGCTCTTTCAGGCTCCCCCGCACACTGCCTGATGTAGCTGCCAGGGTCCAGCACCTGCTCTTGGCCAGCAGAGGCTAACTCCATGGCTGCAGTGTGAGTGTCAGCTGTGTAGTGGGGGTGTCCACTGGCGCGACCCACACTGACCAGCCCCCTATCCTGGCAGGACCAGTATCAGCTGTGCTACCGTGCGGCCCTGGAGTACCTCGGCAGCTTTGACCACTATGCAACGTAACTACCGCTCCCCTCTCCTCCGCCACCCCCGCCGTGGGGCTCCGGAGGGGACCCAGCTCCTCTGAGCCATACCGACCATCGTCCAGCCCTCCTACGCAGATGCTGTCACTGGCAGAGCACAGCCCACGGGGATCACAGCGTTTCAGGAACGTTGCCACACCAATCAGAGAGCCTAGAACATCCCTGGGCAAGTGGATGGCCCAGCAGGCAGGCACTGTGGCCCTTCTGTCCACCAGACCCACCTGGAGCCCGCTTCAAGCTCTCTGTTGCGCTCCCGCATTTCTCATGCTTCTTCTCATGGGGTGGGGTTGGGGCAAAGCCTCCTTTTTAATACATTAAGTGGGGTAGACTGAGGGATTTTAGCCTCTTCCCTCTGATTTTTCCTTTCGCGAATCCGTATCTGCAGAATGGGCCACTGTAGGGGTTGGGGTTTATTTTGTTTTGTTTTTTTTTTTCTTGAGTTCACTTTGGATCCTTATTTTGTATGACTTCTGCTGAAGGACAGAACATTGCCTTCCTCGTGCAGAGCTGGGGCTGCCAGCCTGAGCGGAGGCTCGGCCGTGGGCCGGGAGGCAGTGCTGATCCGGCTGCTCCTCCAGCCCTTCAGACGAGATCCTGTTTCAGCTAAATGCAGGGAAACTCAATGTTTTTTTAAGTTTTGTTTTCCCTTTAAAGCCTTTTTTTAGGCCACATTGACAGTGGTGGGCGGGGAGAAGATAGGGAACACTCATCCCTGGTCGTCTATCCCAGTGTGTGTTTAACATTCACAGCCCAGAACCACAGATGTGTCTGGGAGAGCCTGGCAAGGCATTCCTCATCACCATCGTGTTTGCAAAGGTTAAAACAAAAACAAAAAACCACAAAAATAAAAAACAAAAAAAACAAAAAACCCAAGAAAAAAAAAAAGAGTCAGCCCTTGGCTTCTGCTTCAAACCCTCAAGAGGGGAAGCAACTCCGTGTGCCTGGGGTTCCCGAGGGAGCTGCTGGCTGACCTGGGCCCACAGAGCCTGGCTTTGGTCCCCAGCATTGCAGTATGGTGTGGTGTTTGTAGGCTGTGGGGTCTGGCTGTGTGGCCAAGGTGAATAGCACAGGTTAGGGTGTGTGCCACACCCCATGCACCTCAGGGCCAAGCGGGGGCGTGGCTGGCCTTTCAGGTCCAGGCCAGTGGGCCTGGTAGCACATGTCTGTCCTCAGAGCAGGGGCCAGATGATTTTCCTCCCTGGTTTGCAGCTGTTTTCAAAGCCCCCGATAATCGCTCTTTTCCACTCCAAGATGCCCTCATAAACCAATGTGGCAAGACTACTGGACTTCTATCAATGGTACTCTAATCAGTCCTTATTATCCCAGCTTGCTGAGGGGCAGGGAGAGCGCCTCTTCCTCTGGGCAGCGCTATCTAGATAGGTAAGTGGGGGCGGGGAAGGGTGCATAGCTGTTTTAGCTGAGGGACGTGGTGCCGACGTCCCCAAACCTAGCTAGGCTAAGTCAAGATCAACATTCCAGGGTTGGTAATGTTGGATGATGAAACATTCATTTTTACCTTGTGGATGCTAGTGCTGTAGAGTTCACTGTTGTACACAGTCTGTTTTCTATTTGTTAAGAAAAACTACAGCATCATTGCATAATTCTTGATGGTAATAAATTTGAATAATCAGATTTCTTACAAACCAGGACTCTGTCTCAGCTGTTTCTGGAACCAAAGAGTCTGGGCCAAATCAGTAGCTAGGATGGGTTCTGGAGATTCCCTGCTCCTGAGGAGACGGGGAGGGTACCCTAAGTATTTGTGCCAGTGTAGGCTCCTGGCATGGCTACCCACTTTCAGAAAGGAGTGGTTATAAACCCTGAAAACCAGGCCACCAAGAGCCAGCCAGGCCAGAGCCACCAGTGCATGTGAAGAGCACCCTAGGCCGGGGAGCATACCCTTTGCCTCTCTTTCCCTTTAAGATTCTGTGGGTTGCACTATCGGGGCATTGGGACTGCCCCTCTCCCACTACCTTGGAGGAGAGGGATGGCCCTGTGGCAGTAGAGACTGAATGTATGGAAATTGGTTAGTGAGATCTCCTGTAATTATTGCAATGTGGATAATGGACACAAAAAACAGTGTGTCCATCTGGCCCCTGGACACACAGCTGCATCACCCACTGAGCTGTGCAGCTGCTCCACTGGTGAGCAGACAAGTCCTACCAGGTTGTCAAATTGTGGAACTTCTAGGGATACAGATGAAGGAGACCCAGAACAAGCTGCGAAGAGAAATGCGTAAGTCAGCAACAACCACACCAAGGCAGCATCTGACCCAGGGAAGGCTTCCTGGAGGAGGTGGCATTCAGAGTGTTTCGTAGAATGAGTAGCAGTTAGTTTTTTTTTGTTTATTTTTGAGATGGAGTCCCACTCTGTCGCAAGGCTGGAGTGCAGTGGCGTGATCTCGGCTCACTGCAACCTCTGCCCCCCGGGTTCAAGCAATTCTTCTGCCTTTACCCTCCTGAGTAGCTGGAACTACAGGTGCCCGACACCACGCCCAGGTAATTTTTGTATTTTTAGTAGAGACGGGGTTTCACCATGTTGGCCAGGCTGGTCTTGAACTCCTGATCTCAGGTGATCCACCCACCTCAGTCTCCCAAAGTGCTGGAATTACAAGCATGAGCCGCCATGCCCAGCCAAAGTAGCAGTTAGTTTTTAAAGGTAGGGAAAGGTTTTCCAATGGAACATGTACAAAGGCTTGGAAGCTTGTCACAGACCAACTTCGTGAGAAACTCCAGGAGGTGCATTAAGATTGGAGTAGAGAGGCGTGGCTAGGAAGGTGGGCCGGATGGAGTCAGATCTTGCAGCTAAGGGGATTGAGGTGATTGTCAGAGGGATGCAGGGATCCCTGGCAGGTGCAGTGCTTCTGTTCTTAACACCCTGGGCCACCTCCATTGAGTCCTTCACCGCGTTCTAGTATTGGCAGCCATCTCCTTGGGGGCTGTGAGTGACTGAGGCCTGGCACCAAGTCTCTTCTGGGTATCCCTAGCACCTAGGTCGGTGCCTGGCATATTTCTATTCAGAAAAAAGGCACCATCATTACATGACTGTTGATGTTAGAAAATTTGATTAACTTTTGCTAAATAAAAGAACAAGCCATTAAACATTTTCAAGTAAGGGGTAAGTACCAGGTGTTCACTTGAGGAAGACCGGTAGTCAGGACTGCCCCAGGCAGGCTCTGCGCTGAGGGCGTGATGGGCCTGCTCACCAGTCCTTGCGAGCAGCCGGCAGAAGGATCCTCCTCTCCGCACTCAGATGAGGAAACAGGCTTATGTGGAATCACTCATCAGAGACCACAGGGCAGGTAAGCGCCAGAGCTGGGACCCACATCTGCTGATGTCTGCTCCAGAGTCCCTGCCCTTTTCATTGCCAGTGTCAGCCTTCTCTCTCCTCTACTTCCCTCCCTCCTCACTCCCCCCTGCAAGCCTGCTCCTCCTCCAGGGCCCCCATTGCAGTGCTTGGCACCCCACCTACCTGGTATTCCAGGCAGGCATCGCTTGCATGCTCACCCCCACCTCCATTCATCGTCACACCCTGCCTGCTTGGCCTCCACGCCT
Source organism: Homo sapiens (assembly GCF_000001405.40). Taxonomy (NCBI): domain Eukaryota; kingdom Metazoa; phylum Chordata; class Mammalia; order Primates; family Hominidae; genus Homo; species Homo sapiens. Next base: position 43,625,575 of record NC_000001.11, read on the forward strand.
GTTGTCTGCATCTCCACGGCTGTCTCCCAAGCCGCTTTCCCTCTCGCCTGCACTGCCGCTGTGCTTCCTACCAGGCAGTCTGCCCCAGCACTGCCTGGGCCAAACCGTTCTCAGCACAGTGGGAGTGATTCTGCCTCGCAGGGCAGACATGACCAAGTCACTGTCCTGAGGAGACCCTGCCAGGTCCTCACTGTCCCCATGGTTTTCCAGGCTCTGCAGGACCTGGCCTGTGTGGCCTTATCTTCCTTCTCCCCTCTTGCCCCCTGCCCTCCAGCCACCACAGAATCAATTCTTTAAGTTTCTTGCCTGTTTTTTTTTGTTTTTTGTTTTTGAGACAGAGTTTCACTCTGTCACCCAGTCTGGAGTGCAGTAGTGGCGATCTCAGCTCATTGCAACCTCTGCCTCCTGGGTTCAAGCAATTCTGCCTCAGTCTCCCAAGTAGCTGGGATTACAGGCATGGGCCACCACACCCGGCTAATTTTTGTATTTTTAGTAGAGATGGGGTTTCACCATGTTGGCCAGGCAGGTCTTGAAATCCTGACCTCGGGTGATCCTCCCGCCTCAGCCTCCCAAAGTGCTGGGATTACAGGCATGAGCCACTGCGCCCGGCCCTGCCTCACCATTCTATCTCAGCTCCAGATCTTCCTACAAGCTGTTCTTCTGGAACATTCTCCCCCACTTCCACCTGGCTAACCCCTCATTGTTTAGCCCTCCCCTGAAAATATTTCCTTCAGAAGCCATCCTTAACTATCCTAAATGAGGCTAGATGACTGCTATGCAAGTTATTTGGAATATAGTATTTCACTTAATTCTCACAACAATGTATGAAGCCCATTGTGTTGATAAGAAAATTTGACCTAATCCACTCCTTCAACAAATATTTAATGAGCATTTGCTGTGTGATAGTCATTATCCTAGGTGCTTGGAATACATCAGTGAATGGAACAGACTTTACCTTTGTGGCATTCATACATTATAAATAAATGTATTTATAGTTTGTTAAAAGGTTGTAAGCCTAATTAGTGGGGAGTACAATAAGAAGGACCAAGGCCGGGCACGGTGGCTCACGCCTGTAATCCCAATACTGTGGGAGGCCAAGGTGGGTGGATCACCTGAGGCCAGGAGTTCGAGACCAGCCTGGACAACAGGGTGAAACCTCATCTCTACTAAAAAATACAAAAACTAGCTGAGCATGGTGGTGCACGCCTGTAATCCCAACTACTTAGGAGGCAGAGGCTGCAGTGAGCTGAAATCACGCCACTGCACTCCAGCCTGGGCAACAGAGCAAGACTGTCTCAAAAAAAAAAAAAGGACTGGGCGTGTGAGGGAAGATTTGATTATTTGATTTAGGGTGGTCAGGGGACACATTGAAAAGATGGGACTTGAGGAAAGACTTGAATCTGGTGAGTTTTGCCTGAGTATCTTCGAGATGAGCATCCAGGTGGAGGGAGCAGCTATAGCAAAGGCCCTGGGTGGGAGTGTGCCTGATATATGAGGGTGGGTGTGGCTGTGACACCCTGAGCAAGGGGCAAGAGGGTAGCAGGGGATGAGGTTAGAGAGGAAATGGGGCCAGCTCCTTTACCATTGAGAAGACTGCAGAAATCCAGTGGTGGAGAGAAGTGGCCAGATTCTGGTTATATCTTAAGGCAGATCTGATAGAATTTGCTGATGGACTCGATGAGAAAGAGAGGAGTCAAGGTTGACCCCACAGTTCTGGCCTGAGCAGCAGGAAGGATAAAGTTACCATTTGTTGAGATGAGGAAGGTTGTACAGAAGGGTTAAGTAATCTACTCGAGGGTCCCAACTGGAATTTGGTGGCGTTGGTAGGACTCCCAGCTCTGCTTAACTCCAGGGCTCTTTTCACACCGCTACCTGCCTAAAGCTAGAAATCGTCAGATGCATTGAGAAAAAAATATTTGGGGCCGGGCGCAGTGGCTCACGCCTGTAATCCCAGCACTTTGGGAGGTGGAGGCAGGCAGATCACGAGGTCAAGAGATTGAGACCATCTTGGGCAACGTGGTGAAACCCCGTCTCTACTAAAAATACAAAAATTAGCTGGGCATGGTGGCACGCACCTGTATTCCCAGCTACTCGGAATGCTGAGTTAGGAGAATCGCTTGAACCCAGAAGGCAGAGGTTGCAGTGAGCCGACATCACACCACTGCACTCCAGCCTGGGCGACAGAGCAAGACTCCGTCTCAGAAAAAAAAGAAAAATATATTTGGAAGGAAATATACCAGAAGGTTATGAGGATAGGTGACTTGTTCTTTGTAATTCTCCAAATTTTCTATGAAGACTTTATTTATTTATTTATTTATTTATTCTTTTTTTTTTTTTTTTTTTTTTTGAGACGGAGTCTCGTTCTGTCTCCTAGGCTGGAGTGCAGTGGCACAAATCTCTGCTCACTGCAACCTCCATCTCCTGGGTTCAAGCGATTCTCAGCCTCATGTAGCTGGGATTACAGGTACCTGCTACCATGCCTGGCTAATTTTTGTATTTTTAGTAGAGATGGGGTTTTGCCATGTTGGTCAGGCTGGTCTCGAACTCCTGACCTCAGGTGATCCGCCCGCCTCAACATCCCACAGTGCTAAGATTACAGGCATGAGCCACCACACCCGACCTGAAGACTTCATATTTTTTTATTTTATTATTTATTTATTGATTTATTTATTTTATTTATTTATTTATTTAGAGACAGTCTCTGTTGGCCAGGCTGGAGTGCAGTGGCATGATCTCGGCTCACTGCAACCTCCATCTCCCAGGCTCAAGCAATTCTCCTGCCTCAGCCTCCCAAGTGGCTGGGATTACAGGTGCACGCCACTACCTCCAGCTAATTTTTTGTATTTTTAGTAGAAACGGGGTTTCACCACGTTGGCCAGGCTGGTCTCGAACTCCTGACCTCAGGTAATCCGCCCGCCTCGGCCTTCCTAAGTGCTGAGATTACAGGCATGAGCCACTGCGCCCAGCCAATACTTTCATTTTAAAAAACAAAAATTTTTTTTTTATTTATTAAAGCAACAACAGAAACCTTTTGACTGGGATCCAGGTGTGCAACTTTGAAGTCCTCATTCTCTTTCCTCCTGCCAACTCCCTAGAGGAGAGTCACTGTTAACAGTTTAGTCTATATCCTCCTGGGCATTTTCTATGAATATACAAACATGTATAAGAAACTTCGTATTTTATGTAACTAGAATGATATTATTCATATCTTGCTGCAAGTTGCCCATTTCATTTAAATATATGCTTTCCATGTCAGGAGCTTTTTTTTTTTTTTTTGAGACGGAGTCTCACTCTGTTGCCCAGGCTAGAGTGCAGTGGCGCGATCTCAGCTCACTACAAGCTCCGCCTTCTGGGTTCCGCGATTCTCCTGCCTCAGCCTCCCAAGTAGCTGGGACTACAGGCGCCTGCCACCACGCCCAGCTAATGTTTTGTATTTTAGTAGAGACCGGGTTTCACCGTGTTAGCCAGGATGGACGATCTCCTGACCTCGTGATCCGCCTGCCTGGGCCTCCCAAAGTGCTGGGATTACAGGCGTGAGCCACTGCGCCCAGCCAGGAGCTCATTTTTTTAACTGCTATATACTATTCTGTTATGGATGTCCCATAATTTTAAAAATGGTTATCAATATAGCTTTTTTATTAAATAAGTGGATGCATATGATAAAACAAATAAAAATGATTCAGAGGCCGGGTACAGTGGCTCACGCCTCTAATCTCAACACTTTGGGAGGCCCAGGCGGGCAGATCACCTGAGGTCGGGAGTAGGAGACCAGCCTGACCAACATGGAGAAACCCTGTCTCTACTAAAACCACAAAATTATCCAGGCGTGGTGGTGCAGGCCTGTAATCCCAGCTACTTGGGAAGCTGTAGCAAGAGAATTGCTTGAACCCAGAAGGCGGATGTTGCGGTGAGCCAAGATCGCGCCATTGCACTCCAGCCTGGGCAAGAAGAGCGAAACTCAGTCTCAAAAAAAAAAAAAAAAAAAAGTTTCAGGGCCAGGCACGGTGGCTTACACCTGTAATCCCGGCACTTTGGGAGGCCGAGGCGAGTGGATCACGAGGTCAGGAGATCAAGACCATCCTGGCTAACACGGTGAAACCCCGTCTCTACTAAAAATACAAAAAAAAAAAAAAAAAATTAGCCGAGCGTGGTGGTGGGCACCTGTAGTCCCAGCTACTCAGGAGGCTGAGGCAGGAGAATGGCATGAACCTGGGAGGCGGAGCTTGCAGTGAGCTGAGATCACGCCACTGCACTCCAGCCTGGACAACAGAGCGAGACTCCGTCTCAAAAAAAAAAAAAAGATTCAGTCTTGAAGGGTCCAAAATAAAAGGTCAGCTTTTCTTCCTCCTCTCCCCAACTCTAGTTTCATTTCCTGCAATTTCTGATTTTAATTCTTTCAGTGGCAACCATCACATGCCATTAATAGATGGTGCCTGTTGGCTCCTTGGCTATAAAATGTGTGGAATTTAGTCAACTTACATGATCTCCTACCACTACCTCCTGATTTTGTTAGATATATTATTACTTTTAATTCTTCTAGAGTTCCTTTCATGACTTTAAACACTTTATTTATTTTTGAGACAGAGTTTCGCTCTTGTTGCCCAGGCTGGAGTGCAGTGTCGCCAGCTCGTCTCACTGCAACCTCCACCTCCCGGGTTCAAGTGATCCTCCTGCTTCAGTCTCCCAAGTAGCTGGGATTACAGGCATGCACCACCATGCCCAGCTAATTTTGTATTTTTAGTAGAGACAGGGTTTCTCCATGTAGGTCAGGCTGGTCTCGAACTCCTGACCTCAGGTGATCAGCCCACCTCAGCCTCCCAAAGTGCTGGGATTACAGGCGTGAGCCACTGCACCCGGCTAAACACTATATTTAAACATCTGTTTCTTGATTTATCACCTTTTGGCAGTATCTATTGATTACCCTCTCTCAAGAATGAGAAAATTAGCTCACTTTCCTTGATTCTCCCTTCTCCCTCCTCCAACTACGATTTTTTGTTATTTCACATTGTCAAGGCTTCCAATACTTTCTGTTCTGCTAATATAATTAGTTCTTTCATTCTAAAAATTGAAAACCAATACACAGCATTTTAATTGTATGTTTATGAAAAATCTTTCAAACATCAATTTCAAACAAACTTCAAACAATTTCAAACTTTTATTTTTTTTTCTATGTTCTTCACTTCTGGATCATATTCACCTGCCACCACCGCTTGCACCACATGACAGTCTTTCTTGGATTCTTTTTCACGTTGATAGAGTACTCCCCCTCACATAATTTTTTCACAGAGCATTATAAACTTTCTGGTTCTCGCATGTCTGAAAATTTTTTTTTTTTTTTTTGAGATGGAGTCTTGCTCTGTTGCCCAGGCTGGAGTGCAGTGGCGCAATCTCGGCTCACTACAAGCTCCACCTCCCCAGTTCACGCCATTCTCTCGCCTCAGCCTCCTGAGTAGCTGGGACTACAGGCGCCTGCCACCACGCCTGGCTAAATTTTTTGTATTTTTAGTAGAGACGGGGTTTCATCTTGTTAGCCAGGATGGTCTCGATCTCCTGACCTCGTGATCCACCCGCCTCGGCCTCCCAAAGTGCTGGGATTACAGGCGTGAGCCACCGTGCTCGGCCGTGAAAATATCTTTTACATTCACACTCCATTTTAACTTTGTCTGGTCTGGGCTTCCTTATACAAGATAATTTTCCTCAGAAACTTGTGAAGACATTGCTGCTAGTTCTGTATTAAGCAATTGTTGAAGGAGAAAGGCTGTCCAGCAACAAATTACCCTGATGTTTGTTTGTCCCATGACCCACGTTGATTTTTTTTTTTTTTTTTTGAGACAGAGTCTTGCTCTGTTGCCCAGGCTGGAGTGCAGTGGCGTGATCTTGGCTCACCACAGTCTCTGCCTCCCGGGTTCAAGCAATTCTCCTGCCTCAGCCTCCCGAGTAGCTGGGACTACAGGCGCGCACCACCATGCCCAGCTCATTTTTGTATTTTTAGCAGAGACAGGATTTCACTATATTGGCCAGGCTGGTCTCGAACTCCTGACCTCATGATCCACCAGCCTCGGCCTCCCAAAGTGCTGAGATTACAGGTGTGAGCTACCACACCCAGCCTTTTTTTTTTTTTTCCGAGATGGAATCTCACTCTGTCACCCAGGCTGGAGTGCAGTGATGCAATGACGGCTCACTGCAACCTCCGCCTCCCAGGTTCAAGTGATTCTCCCACCTCAGCCTCCCGAGTAGCTGGGATTACAGACACCCGCCACCACACCCGCCTACTTTTTGTATTATAAATTATTATATGTACAGAGTCGACTTCTGGGCCACGAGTCTGTTTCATTCATCTGTTCAGTCTAAGGTGAACTACTCATTTAACTTTTGTGGCTTTATTACCTGACACAACTAATTTTTATTTTTTCAAAATTAGTGCCATTCCCCTATTTTTCTTCCAAACGGACATTAGATTACTTTTTGAAAATTCCTCTTCCTCAATTTTTATTGCAGATATTTATTTTACTCAAGAAAGTTGACAATAACATTTCTGAAGCACGTATGTGTTAACATAAAACAAAGAAAAGCAGGTTGGAGTCTAAATGAAGCTTAAACTTTCTGATGAAAAGAAAGCTGTGTTCCTCCAGCCCTGCTGAAAGTGAGGAAGCGCTGTCTGACCTATGCAACCATCCCAGGTTCTAGAGTGAGAGCTGTGATGTAATTCAAGGATACTTGGGACCTGTCCATGGTCCCCCAGCAACGGCAGGCTGGCACTTTTGACACTTGATGCCCTTGTCCCTGCTGGTCTGTCTAACCTTCCATACATGGTCCATTTCTCTTTTTCACTCCAGCCTTATGTAAATACTTGTGGTTTCCTAAGCACACGATGTTAAACATTTATAACAATTGAAGGGTTAAATAACCCTAATAGATAAGCCTTCTTTCAAATCAGTAAGAACAAAAGTAAACACCCTAATAGAAAATGGACACAAATAGGCAATTTCAAAAGGAGATAGGCAAATTCCAGTAAAAATACTGAAGCTATTATCCTCACTACTAATAAAAGAAGTATACATCAAAACAAGAATGAGGTACCGTTGGCCCTCTGTATACATGGGTTCTGCATCCATGGATTCAACCAACCTCAGATCAAAATTATTCAGGAAAGGCTGGGCGCAGTGGCTCACACCTGTAATCCTAGCACTTTCGGAGGCCAAGGTGGGTGGATCACTTGAGGTCAGGAGTTCAAGACCAGCTTGGCTAACATGGTGAAACGCCATCTCTACTAACAATACAAAAATTCGTTGGGTATGGTGGCACACGCCTGTAATCCCAGCTACTCGGCGGGGGCTGAGGCATGAGAATCACTTGAACCCAGCAGGTGGAGGTTGCAGTGAGCCAAGATCGCACCACTGCACTCGAGCCTGGGCCACAGAGCAAAAAAAAAAAAAAAATATATATATATATATATATATATATATATATATGTGTGTGTGTGTGTGTGTGTGCGCGTGCACACGCATGTATGTATACATGTATGTATATATGTATGTATAAATATGTGTATATGTGTATGTATACGTGTATGTGTATATATGTATGTATACATGCATGTGTATATATGTATACATGTACATGTATATATGTATGTGTATGTATATATGTGTATTAGAGAAAACTTTCATCTGCAGTGAACATGCACAGACTTTTTTTCTTGTTAGTATTCCCTAAACAATACAGTATAACTATTTACATAGCACTTACAATGTATTGGATATTGTAAGTAATCTAGAGATGATTTAAAGTATAAGAGAGGATATGCATAGGTTATATGCAAGTACTACACCATTTTATGTTGGGGACTTGAGCATGGGCAAATGTTGGTATCTGTGGGAGGTCCTGGAAGCAATCCCCCATGGATACTGAGGGACAACTGTTTGACTGTTTGACTATAAAATTGGCAAGAGTTATGTGTCAATATTGATGCAGGGAATTAGGCACTTATAAATTGCTAGTGGGAATATAAACTGGTTCTACATTTTTGGAGGAGAATGTGCAGTATCTATCAAAACCCTTAAATTATGCTTTAATTTGACCCAGCAATACAAGTTTAGGAATTTACATTAAAAAATTGTACAAATAATTTAAAAATCTGTGGGGAAAGATTCACTACATCATCATTCATAATACTGAAAAATTGAACATATTATACACACACACATATAGGCTACAACCTTGCTGAAGTGACTCCAAAGACCATCAGTGTCAGCATCACCTGGGAGCTTTTTAGAAATGTAGAATCTAGGCCAGGGTGTGGTGGCTCATGCCTGTAATCCCAGCACTTTGGGAGGCTGAGGCAGGTGGATCACTTGAGGTCAGGAGTTTGAGACCAGCCTGACCAACGTGGTGAAACCTCATCTACTAAAAATACAAAAAAATTAGCCAGGCATGGTGGCAGGCACCTGTAATCCCAGCTACTTGGGAGGCTGAGGCAGGAGAATCACTTGAACCCAGGAGGCAAGGTTGCAGTGAGCTGAGATAGTGCCGCTGCACTCCAGCCTGGGCGACAGAGCAAGACTCGATCTCAAAAAAAAAAAAAAAAAAAAAAAGTAGACTCTAACTCAGGCACGGTGGCCAAGTGGTAATGTGCCTGTCTCGTAGAAATGTAGAATCTTAGGCTCTACCCCAGACCTGCTGCATCAGAATTTGTATTTTGACAGTTCCGTATGGCATTTGTATGAGCATTAAAATTCGAGAAACACTGGAAAGGATAGACACCAAAATGTTAGCACATTGCTGGGTGGTTATGTTCCCTATTTTAAATGCATTTTCTAATTTTCCTACCTCTGATACGCACTTTTTTCATAAGCATGTGTCACATAGAAAAACAGCATGCTGTGGTTGCATGTTATCCCCTCTTCCTGGAGCCCTTCCTGGCACTTCTCATCCAAGGTCAGTCTTCCAGGAGTCCCTCCTTAGCCCCTCCTCTTCCTTGCTCAATTAGTCTCACATCCAGCTGTGTTGCTGGTCCAGGAACCATAGCACTGTGCTGAAATTATTATTCGTGCTTCCTCAGCTGTTCAAATAGTAAAATAGGGGGAAAATACCAAGAAAATTATCCAGGCTGTCGTGCAGAAAGGAAATGAAAATTGGCATTATAATTATGGTTTGATTCATCTGTCTTCACTGGACTGTGAACTTCTTGAGGGCAAGAACTGTGTCTCACTTGCCTCCCAGCTTAAGAGCCTACCCAGAGTCGGGACTCCATCAATGTTTGCTGAGTGGATGCCGGCCCTGTAGTGGGAGGTCAGTCTGATTGTCAGAAGGAATGCCTGGCAGCTGCCAGCACCCAATCCTCAAGAATCTTCACTCCCAACTCCTCAGAGGCCCTTTTGCTCCCTCCCTGAGACACGCCCTAGTCTGCTCCAAGAGGGACTTCATATCTCACAAGGGATCTCTGCATCCACCACACCAAACTTCACCCTTACCATGTAAGCTGCTTTTCTCCCAGTCCCCGACACCAACAGTAGAAATAGTTTACGTGGAGATTCACCAAGGAACATTACGTTTAAAATCAGTAAGGAGGTGACCGGGTGCGGTGGCTCACGTCTGTAATCCCAGCACTTTGGGAGGCCGAGGAGGGCGGATCACCTGAGGTTGGGAGTTTGAGACCAGCCTGACCAACATGGAGAAACCCCATCTCTACTAAGAATACAAAAAACTAACCAGGCATGGTGATGTGTGTCTGTAATCCCAGCTACTCAGGAGGCTGAGGCAGGAGAATTGCTTGAACCCGGGAGGGGGAGGTTGCAGTGAGCTGAGAACGTGCCACTGCACTCCAACCTAGGCGACAGAGGGAGAATCCATCTCAAATTTTAAAAAATAATAATAAGGAGGGCTGGGTGTGGTGGCACACACCTGTAATCCCAGCTACTCAAGAAGCTGAGGCAGGGCCAGGCACAGTGGCACACGCCTGTGATCCTAGCACTTTGGGCAGCCACGTTTGAGGCCAGCCTGGCCAACATGGTGAAATTAAAATTACAAAAATTAGCCAGGCATAGTGGCGGGCGCCTGTAATCCCAGCTACTCGGGAGGCTGAGGCAGGATAATTGCTTGAACCCGGGAGGTAGAGGTTGCAGTGAGCTGAGATCGTGCCATTGCACTCAGCCTGGGCAACAGCAAAAACTCCGTCTCAAAAAATAAAAAAATTAAAAAAAAAAATCTGAGGCAGGAGGATTGCTTGAGGCCTTGAGTTTGAGCCTTTAGTGTCCTATGATCTTGCCTGTGAATAGCCATCCCACTCCACCCTGGGCAACATATCAAGACCCCATCCCTAAAATAAATAAATAAGGGTTACCCAGTCTTGAGCTGGAGGGAAGTTTTTAGCCCCACAAATGGGATACTCCTCAGTCTCCCCGAAAGACCTTGTGTCCCAGATGCTTTTTCAGGGTTTGTCCTTTCCAGCCTCCCCTCTCTGGCAGATATTCAGGGCATTCCCTGTAATTACCCCCACCTGAGCTATGTGGTCGTAAAGATTTAAATCCAACAAACATGGTGTGTACCTATCATATTCTGTAATAATACCTGCTAGCATTATTAAGCACTTAAATATGACAAGCATTTTACCCGCATTGTTAACATTCAGTTCCTCCAAAAGCCCTGTATAGTAGCTTGTATTACAACCTCCTTTTGTGATTGAAGACAGGCTCTCAGAGGTCAACCAACTCACTCTTAAGTCACACAGCTAGGAAGAGAGCAGAACCTAGATTTGAGCCTGGTTCTGTGAGTCCAGAGCCTGAATGCTTAACTACCATACAAACTACAACCCACCTAGCTTCATTTGTCCATTCTTTCCCCAAATCATAGTCCAGTGATATTTATTGAGCACTTACTATGAACCAGGCATTGTCCAAGGTACTGAGATTCAATAGTGAAATAATAAAGTCCCTACCCTTTTTTTTTTTTTTTTGAGACAGGGTCTCGCTCTGTCACCCAGGCTGGCGTGCAGTGGTGTGATCTGGGCTCATTGCAACTTCTTGCTTCCCAGGTTCAAGTGATTCTCACGTCAGCCTCCTGAGTAGCTGGGATTATAAGCACATGCCACCATGCCTGGCTAATTTTGTATTTTTAGTAGAGACGGGGTTTCACCATGTTGGCCAGGCTGGTCTCGAACTCCAGACCTCAAGTGATCTGCCTGCCTCGGCCTCCCAAAGTGCTGGGATTACAGGCATGAGCCACGGTGCCCAGCCCAAAGTACCCTTAGAAACCTTAATCTGGCAGGAAGACAGACATCATTCAAATCTTACACACACACACAATCAAAAGCTCAGATGCTTTGCAGGAAGTGTGCAGAATGCATAGAGAGTCCCTTTCTCACAGAAGCCTCTGACTCCCCACACTAGTCCGGGTCCCACAGCATGGGACAGTAGGACCCAGACAAGTATGGGGAATCGGAGGCTTCTACAAGGAAGAGGCTCAATAGGGTGTAAAGATCCTGAGGCACGAGGGAACATAGCTCTTTCAAGGGGTGTTTTAGAAAAACAGAACAAAGGCCAGCGTGGCTGCAGCCCAGAGTGCAAGGGGAGAGTGGGGCAGGATGGGGTGCAGAATGGGCAGGGGCTCTCGCAGACATGAGCAAGGCACTTTGGATTCAGGATAGGGGCACAGAAAGCTTTTAAGGGGTTTTCAATAAGGTAGTTCATTGGATTTGCTTTTCTTCGTCTTTGAGACAGGGTCTCACTCTGTCGCCCAGGCCTGAGTGCAGTGGCGCAATCGCAGCTCACTGCAGTCTTGACCCCCCAGGCTCAAGCCATCCTCCCACCTCAACCTCCCAAGTAGCTGGGACTACAGGTGCACACCACCGTCCCTGGCTAATTTTTTAATGTTTTTGTAGAGACAGGGTCTCACTATGTTGCCCAGGCTGGGGACTTGTTTTTTTGACAGATCACTCTGGCACCTATTTGGAGAACAGATTGGAAGGGGCAGGAGCAGAAGCAGGGAGTCCAGTCAGGATGCTGTTGTAGTGTTCCAGGTGGAGGGTGATGGCTGCTTGAAGTACAATGATAGTGATGCGGAGGTAAGAGAAGGATTCGGGATATAGTTTTGAAAGTAAGTAAGGCTAATAGGATTGGATGTGGGCTGCTAAAAGAATCGAGAATGACTCTGGGCACCTAGGTGAATATTGGTGCCTTTACTGAGGTGGGGAGCACTAACAGCAGAGTAGAGTCAGGGGAGAACCAAGAGCTTACTTTTTTTTCTTTTTGAGACAGAGTCTCGCTCTGTTGCCCAGGCTGGAGTGCAGTGGCGCGATCTTGGCTCACTGCAACCTCCGCCTCCCGGGCTCAAGCAATTCTCCTGCCTCAGCCTCCCAACTAGCTGGGACTACAGGCGCCCGCCACCACACCTGGCTAATTTTTTGTATTTTAGTAGAGATGGGGTTTCACTGTGTTGCCCAGGCTGGTCGCAAACTCCTGAGCTCAGGCAGTCTGCTCACCTCGGCCTCCCAAAGTGCTGGGATTACAGGCGTGAGCCACTGTGCCGGGCCGAGAGTTTACTTTTGTTGAGTTGAAGTACCTGTAATTGTCCCAAGTAGAGGGATGGAGTTGTTATCTCTGTATTTCCAGAGTCAGCACAAAATAGATGCTTAGTAAAAAGTCTTTAAATAAAAGAATGCCATCTCACACCAGTTAGAATGGCAATCATTAAAAAGTCAGGAAACAACAGGTGCTGGAGAGGATGTGGAGAAATAAGAACACTTTTACACTGTTGGTGGGACTGTAAACTAGTTCAACCATTGTGGAAGACAGTGCAGCGATTCCTCAGGGATCTAGAACTAGAAATACCATTTGACCCAGCCATCCCATTACTGGGTATATACCCAAAGGATTATAAATCATGCTGCTATAAAGACATGCACACGTATGTTTATTGCGGCACTATTCACAATAGCAAAGACTTGGAACCAACCCAAATGTCCATCAATGACAGACTGGATTAAGAAAATGTGGCACATATACACCATGGAATACTATGCAGCCATAAAAAAGGATGAGTTCATGTCCTTTGTAGGGACATGGATGAAGCTGGAAACCATCATTCTCAGCAAACTATTGCAAGGACAAAAAACCAAACACCACGTGTTCTCACTCATAGGTGGGAATTGAACAATGAGAACACTTGGACACAGGATGGGGAACATCACACACCGGGGCCTGTTGTGGGGTGCGGGGACGGGGGAGGGATAGCATTAGGAGATATACCTAATGTAAATGACGAGTTAATGGGTGCAGCACACCAACATGGCACATGTACACATATGTAACAAACCTGCACGTTGTGCACATGTACCCTAGAACTTAAAGTATAATAAAAATATATATATATATATATATAAGTAAATTTTTTAAAAAAAGAATGCAGGAATAGGTAAAATTTAAGCCAAGTCTTAAAGAATGGATGGCATTTGGCCTTGAGAAGAAGTTATTTTAGTGCCTGAGATTAAAAAGGCAAACAAACAAATAGAACACAGGGTGGAAGCAAAGGATAAAGGAATGAGTGCAAGGTAGCCATGGCCCATGGGGCACCTTGTTGCTGCTCCCCAAGGCTTTCTGCTTTTATTTTTTTGAGATGGAATCTTACTCTGTTGCCCAGGCTGGAGTGCAGTGGCGCGATCTTGGCTCACTGCAACCTCCACCTCCTGGATTCAAGTGATTCTCCTTCCTCAGCCTCCCGAGTAGCTGGTATTGCAGGCATGTGCCACCATGCCTGGCTAATCTTTTGTATTTTTAGTAGAGATGAGGTTTCATCATGTTCGAGGCTGGTCTCAAACTCCTAAACTCAGGTGATCTGCCTCCCAAAGTGCTGGGATTACAGGCGTGAGCCACCACGCCCAGCCATCCCCAAAGCTCTTTGTGCCTTTGCCTGTAACACCAAGCCATCCTCTGCAGAGAAGAGAGAATACATCAGCTAAGAAAGAAATCGATGTCTGTGTTAAACATTGGAACTCAGTGTATTTGTGGGTATGCATGTGTCTGCCTCTAAACATTTTTTTTTTTTTTGGATGGAGTCTTGCTCTGTCGCCCAGGCTGGAGTGAAGTGGCACGATCTCAACTCACTGCAACCTCCGCTTCCTGGGTTCAAGCGATTCTTCTGCTTCAGCCTCCCAAGCAGCTGGGATTATAGGCCCGCACCACCATGCCTAGCTAATTTTTGTATTTTTAGTAGAGACAGGGTTTCACCATGTTGGCCAGGCTGGTCTCGAACCACTGACCTCAGGTGATCCACCCACCTCAGCCTCCCAAAGTTCTGGGATTACAGGCGTGAGCCACCATGCCCGGCCCTCTAAGCATTTTTATATTTATGTTTCTATATTTCATAGGCTAGAGGGCCCTGGTATTTCCAACTGACCTTGTCTGCAAGGCTGAATTAAGGCTGAATTTTCTTTCTTATTTACATGGACTAAACTGGCCTCAGAAGCCCCCTCCCCAGGGAACCAGGCTGACCAGGTCACAGTGTGTCAGTGTGTTCCTGGTGCTTACTCTCATGGCTTCTTATCTGGGCGGCTCCTGTCAGGCTCTTTGTCCAGAGCTTCCCAAAGTACAAGAAAAGATTGTTTACTTTCTTTCAGCTGCTAGTGCCCACTGGCAAGGGTTGAATGTAAATGACCCAGAGGTGAAGGCTGAAGGCATCATTAGTATACAAACATAGTCCTTCTTGTTTGTTTATTGATTCAGTTTCAGTTTATCATTCATTCTTTCTATTTTTTTTTTTTCTGGGGCAGGGTTTTGCTCTGTTGCCCAGGCTGGAGTGCAGTGGAGTGCAATCTCAGCTCACTGCAACCTCCACCTCCCAGAGCTCAAGTGATCCTCTCACCTCAGTCTCCCAGGTGGCTGGAACCACGGGCGCACACCACCACCTGGCTGATTGTTGTATTTTTTGTAGAGACAGGGTTTTGCCATGTTGTCCAAGACAGGCTGGTCTTGAACTCCTAGGCTCAAGCAGTTCACCTGCCTCAGGCTCCCAAAGTGCTGGGATTACAGGTGTGACCCGCCACGCCCAGCCCATTATTTTATTGCACATACCTCCTCAGGCAGACTGCTCATTTCAAATTATCTAACCTCCCTGCACTCTAGTTTCCTCAGCTTTACAATGGGACAGTAATAATGCCACCTTCTAAAGTTCATTGCATGGATGAAATTAAGGAATATTATTCCTTGACTCAACAAATATTTAATGAGCACATACAAGGAGCCAGGGCTGCTCCAAGGGCCAGGGATAGCGGTGAACCAAGCAAAGGTCCCTGCCCTCATGGAGCAGACATTCTAATGGAGAGAACTAAACAATAGAAAAATAAATAAAGGATATACTGGTGGTCAGGGAAGGCTTCACTGAGGTGACATTTCAATGAGGCCCTGAAAGGTGAGGGAGCAAGCCATTCAGACCTGAGGGGGAACAGCGTCCTGGGAGAGTGTGCAGAGAGCGGGTGGGGGACGACTGTCTGTAGGCTGTTAAAAGGATTTGGCTTTTCGGCTAGGAGCGGTGGCTCAATGCCTATAATCCCTGCACTTTGGGAGGCCAAGATGGGTGGATCACCTGAGGCCAGGAGTTCAAGACCAGCCTGGCCAACATGGTGAAACCCTGATCTCTACTAAAAATACAAAAAATTAGCTGGGCGTGCTGGCATGTGCCTGTAATCCCAGCTACTTGGGAGACTGAGGCAGGAGAATTGCTTGAACCTGGGAGGTGGAGGTTGCAGTGAGCTGAGATCGCACCACTGCTCTCCAGCTTGAGCGAAGAAGTGAGACTCCGTCTAAAAAAAAAAATTAGCCAGGTGTGGTGGTGCACACCTGTAATCCCAGCTACTTGGGAGGCTGAGGCAGGATTGCTTGAACCTGGAAGGCAGAGGCTGCAGTAAGCCACACCACTGCACTCCAGCCTGGGTGACAGCAAGACTCTGTCTCAAACAAAAAGAATAAAAGGATTTGGCTTTTCTTCAAAATGAGATGAGAAGTCATGTGATGGTTGTAAGAAGAGGAGTAACATGATGTAGCTTCTAGTATTAAAGAATCACTCTGGCCAGGCACGGTGGCTCACGCCTGTAATCCCAACACTTTGGGAGGCCGAGGTGGGTGGATCACAAGGTCAAGAGATTGAGACCATCCTGGCCAACATGGTGAAACCCCGTCTCTACTAAAAATGCAAAAATTAGCTGGGCATGGTGGCACGCGCCTGTAGTCCCAGCTACTCGGGAGGCTGAGGCAAGAGAATCATTTGAACCCAGGAGGCAGAGGTTGCATTGAGCCAAGACCACACCACTGCACTCCAGCCTGGCGACAGAGTGAGACTCCGTCTTAAAAAAAAAAAAAAAAAGAATCACTCTAGGCTGAGCGGAGTGGCTCATGTCTGTAATCCCAGCACTTTGGGAGGCCGAGGCGGGTGAATCACCTGAGGTCAGGAGTTCACTACCAGCCTGGCCAACATGATGAAACTCCGTCTCTGCTAAAAATACAAAAAATTAGCCGGGTGTGGTGGTGGGCGCCTGTAATCCTAGCTACTCGGGAGGCTGAGGCAGGAGAATCACTTGAAAAAAAAATTAGAAAACCCGTTTTTTGTTGTTTGTTTTTGTGTTTGTTTTTGTTTTTTGAGATGGAGTGTCACTCCATTCCCCAGGCTGGAATGCAGTGGCGAGATCTCAGCTCACTGCAACCTCCACCTCCCAGGCTCAAGCGATTCTCCTGCCTCAGCCTCCTGAGTAGCTGGGATTACAGGCCCATGCCACCACACCTGGCTAATTTTTGTATTTCTAGTAGATGTTGGCCAGGCTGGTCTTGAAATCCTGACCTCAAGCAATCCACCTGCCTCGGCCTCCCAAAGTGCTAGGATTACAGGCTCGAGCCACCATGCCCAGCGTAGAAAATAATTTTTTAAAAAATTAAAAAGAATCAGTCTGCTGTGTTGAGGAGACTGCAGGGGGCAAGGGCAGAGATACAGAGACATTAGCAGGCTGTGGCAATTATCCTATTCAGGCTAAGGATGGCTTGGAGCAGGGTGATGGAGTGGAGGTGAAGGGAAGTGTTGAATTCTGGACATATTTTAGGGGCAGAGCAGAACTATGTAAATGTTAATGTCAATGCACCAAAACCACAATTCATACAATAAACTGATAAATTGAACTTCATCAAAACGAAAACTCTTGTGCTTCAAAAGACACTAAAGAAAATGAAAAGGCAAGCCACAGAAGGAGAGAAAATATTTTTAAAGCCTACATCTGATAAAGGATCTGTATCCAAATACATAAATAACTTTTACAACTCAATAATAAGAAGACAAACAACCCAATTAATACATTGACAAAAGGTTTGAATAGACATTTCACCAAAGAGGATATATGAATGGTTAATAAGCACATAAAAAGATGCCCAACATCATTAGTCATTAGGGAAATGCTAATTAAAACCACAGTGAAATACTACTTGGCACCCACTAGAATGGTTATAATCAGAAAGATAGACAGTACCAAATGCTGGCAAGAATATGGAGAAATGGGACTCCTCATGTATTGTTGATGGGAATGTAAAATGGTACAGCTACTTTAGAAAATAGTTTGGCAGTTTCTTAAAAAGATAAACACAAATTTACTATACAACCTAGCAATTATTCCACTCCTTGTTATCTACCCAAGAGAAATGTAAACAGACATTTACACAAAGGCTAGCATGTAAATGTTCATAGCAGCACTATTCCTAATAGCCAAAAAGTGGAAGCAACCCAAACATCAATCAACACTACAGTGGAATACTATTCAATAATAGAAAGGAGGGAAATACTGATGCATGCTACAACATGGGTGACTCTCAAAAAAATTATGCTCAGTGAAAGAAGCCAGACACAAAAGACCACATAGTCTATGGTTCTATTTATATGAAATGTCCAGAAAAGGCAAATCTATATAGACAGAAAATAGATTAATAATTGCCTGGGGCTGGGGGTGGGAATGGAGACTGATTATAACTGGGCACGGGTAATCTTTTTGAGGTGGTAGATTTTATTGAGGTGATGGAAATGTTCCAAAACTGGATTGGGTGATAGTTGCATGCGTTTGTAAATTTATTTAAAAATCATTAAATTATATTATTAAAAAGAACATTGTTAATGATAGCATATATCTAAATGTAAACAATTTTTGTGCATATAAAGCATTTAGCACAGTGTTTGAAATATAACAGCTCAATAAATGTAGTTAACTTTGTTTTGTTTGTTTGTTTTTTGTTTTTTGTTTTTTTTTTTGAGACTGAATTTTGCTCGTCACCCAGGATGGAGTGCAACGGCACGATCTCGGCTCACTGCAACCTCCACTTCCTGGGTTCAAGCAATTCTCCTGCCTCAGCCTCCCGAGTAGCTGGGATTACAGGCGCCTGCCACCATGCCCAGCTAATTATTGCATTTTTAGTAGAGGCAGGGTTTCACCATGTTGGCCATGCTGGTCTCTAACTCCTGACCTCAGGTGATCCACTGGCCTCAGCCTCCCAAAGTGCTGAGATTACAGCAGTGAGCCACTGCACCCAGCTGTAGTTAACTTTTTTTTTTGGGGGGACGGAGTCTCGCTTCGTCACCCAGGCTGGAATGCAGTAGCGCAATCTCAGCTCACTGCAAGCTCCACCTCCCAGGTTCATGCCATTCTCCTGCATCAGCCACCTGAGTCGCTGGGACTACAGGCGCCCACCACCACGCCCGGCTAATTTTTTGTATTTTTAGTAGAGACGGGGTTTCACTGTGTTAGCCAGGATGGTCTCGATCTCCTGACCTCGTGATCCACCCACCTCGGCCTCCCAAAGTGCTGGGATTACAGGCGTGAGCCACGTCACCTGGCCTAGGTGTAGTTAACTTTTTAAGCGAATAATATTGCCATTATGATTACTTATGTCATGCCTGCCATGTGCTCGGCATTGTGCTGAGTGCTGGATAAAGTGAAGCTCTAGGAAAGGAAACCCTGGACTGGGAACATGGCATACACTTTATGCCATGATAGCTTTATTTCCAAATCCTGCTGCCATTGGTGGCAAGTCACTCTAAAGGTGTTCTCCCCTATTCTTTTCCTTCATAGCAAGCACAACTTTGTGGCAATTTTTCTTTTTTTGAGATAAGAGTCTCACTCTGTCATCCAGGCTGGAGTGCAGTGGCTCCATAATAGCTCACTGCAGCCTCGAATGCCTCAGTCTCAGGAGTAGCTGGGGTTACAGGTGTGAATCACACCCAGCCTATAATTTTCTTTCTTTGTGCAAGCACTTGCTTCATGTCTCTCTCTCACTAGATTATAAAAACCATGAGTGCAGGAAAGGGTCTGTTCCACTCATTACTGGCAGGCAGGCAGATTCTGGTAGTCTTTTTGCTGGTGTGATAGAAGAAACAGGACACTGTCTCTGTCCTCCTTCTGGAGCTGCAGCAGTCACCTTACAATCACGAGTTGCACAAGAGGGTGGCAAAAGCCACGTTGCAAAGGGTGCAAGAGAAAGATGGAACATACCTGTATGTTTCATGACTTTGTTGAGCACTGAGCTAAGGCTCACCACCTTCAGACCTCTTATCCGATGAGAAAATAAACTTGTATTTAGCCACTTTTGCTAGGGTTTTCTATTTTTGGCAATGGAATACATTCCTAAACGGTATTAGCAATAAGACCAAAATGATATTCTCACGAGACTTTTGTCTAGTGAGGAAAGATGCACATGTAAACAAATCCATGCATTTGTAAAATACTTGCTTTGTGGAGCTCTGGACAGGGTGAGGTAATGGACTGCACCTGGCTTAAGCAATTAGGTCATGGCTCTTCCACTAACTGAGATAGGAAACCTAGGAGGTACAGCTTATTTGTGGGGCAAGAGTAGCTCTTTGTTGGGTAGGTCAGCTTTAAGTAACTGTAGGACAACTAGGGGGAGGGATCCAGAGACAGCAGGATACATGGATCTGAGCTCCAGGGAGAAGATGTCTGGGATATACAATGGGTGTCATCAGTGTGCACATGAGTGCAGCCTAAGAGTGAAAGTGTATTGAGCTCTTGTTTCAGGCTCTGTGCTAAGTGCTTTGTACCATCATCATCATTTACTGAGCTGACATTTACTGAGCACTTACTACGTGCCAATTAGACTTCTAACTGGTTTACTTCATTATCCCATTACTTCATTTATCTCATTCAATTCTCACAACCCAGAAAGGGAAGTACTATCCCAGTTTTAGTTATGAGAAAACTTGAGAACTAGAGAAATTAAGTAACTTGCTAGTGAGTTGTAGAGCCAGAAACACCTGCACGTGGGCAGCTGTCAAAAAAACAAAAACAGAAACAGAAACAAAAACCCACCTGGGCAACATGGCAAAACTCCGTCTCTACAAAAAAATACAAAAATTAGCCGGGCTTGGTGGCATATGCCTGTAGTCCCAGCTACTTGAGAGGCTGAGGTGAGAGAATCGCTTGAGCCCAGGGGGTTGAGGTTGCGGTGAGCTGTGATTGCACCACTTCACTCCAGCCTGGGTGACAGAGGGAGACCCTAACTCAAAGAAAAAATAAAACAAAAGCACCTAAGAAGACTGTGTAGAATGAGAGAAGAGGGCAAAGGACCTAAAGCTATGAGGACATTAACATGTTTTTCCTTTTTTTTTTAACTAAAAAATTTTAAATTTACTTTTAAAAACTAAGGTATATGTATATCAAAACTTATGCACAACTTTCAAGCATACAGATCAGTTAATTTTCACAGCCGGGCATGTTCATGCTTGGAAATTCCAGCACTTTGGGAGGCCAAGGCAGGAGGGTTGTTTGAGCTCAGAAGTTCAAGACCAGCTGAGACAACATAGGGAGACCCCACTTCTATTTTTTTTTTTGAGACAGAGTTTTGCTCTTGTCACCCAGGCTGGAGTGCAGTGGCGTGATCTCGGCTGACCGCAACCTCTGCCTCCTGGGTTCAAGCGATTCTCCTGCCTCAGCCTCCTGCGTAGCTGGGATTACAGGTGTGCACCACCATGCCCAGCTAATTTTTTATATTTTTAGTAGAGATGGGGTTTCGCCATGTTGGGCAGGCTGGTCTTGAACTCCCGACCTTAGGTGATTTTCCCACTTTGGCCTCCCTAGTGCTGGGATTACAGGCATGAGAGCCACTGCACCCAGCCTCCCAGTTCTATTAAGAATTTTTTGGCCGGGCGTGGTGGCTCACGCCTGTAATTCCAGCACTCTGGGAGGCCAAGGCAGGCGGATCACCTGAGGCTGGCAGTTCAAGACCAGCCTGACCAACATGGTGAAACCCCATCTCTACTAAAAATACAAAATTAGCCGGGTGTGGTGGCTCATGCCTGTAATCCCAGCTACTTGGGAGACTGAGGCAGGAGAATCACTTGAACCTGGGAGGTGGAGGTTGCGGAGAGCTGAGATCACGCCGTTGCTCTCCAGCCTGGGCAATAAAAGGGAAACTCCGTCTCAAAAAAAAAAAATTTTTTTTTTAAATTTAAAATTTTAGTGGCCAGGTGTGGTGGCTCATGCCTGTAATCCCAGCAATTTGGGAGGCCAAGGTGGGCAGATCACCTAAGGTTGGGAGTTTGAGACCAGTCCGGCCAACATGGCGAAACCCCCTGTCTACTAAAAATACAAAAAATTAGCTGGGCGTGGTGGCACACGCCTATAATCCCAGCTACCTGGGAGGCTGAGGCAGGAGAATCGCTTGAACCCAGGAGGTGGAGGTTGAAGTGAGCTGAGATGGCACCACTGCACTCCAGCCTGGGTGATAGAATGAAACTGTCTCAAAAAAATATCTATCTATCTATCTATCTATCTATCTATCTATCTAACCAATAAATAAAAGTAAGTTTTACAATGTGAACACACTAGCATAACCACCATCTAGATGAAGAAATAGAACATTGCCGCTGGGCGGAGTGGCTCGTGCCTGTAATGCCAGCACTTTGGGAGGCCGAGGCAGGTGGATCACTGTGGTCAGGGGTTCGAAACCAGCCTGGCCAACAGGGTGAAACCCCATCTCTACTAAAAACACAAAATTAGCCGGGCGTGGTGGCACGTGCCTGTAATCCCAGCTATTTGGGAGGCTGAGGCAGGAGAATCACTTGCACCTGGGAGGCAGAGGTTGCAGTGAGCCGAGATCACACTACTGCACTTCAGTCTGGGCAACAAGAGCAAAACTCCATCTCAAAAAAAAAAAAAAAAAATTCCTAACACCCCAGAGCATTCTTTGTGCCACCCTTTCCCATCATTCCCTGTCCCCTACCTAAAAGTAACCAGAACATTGACTTTTATTGCTATAGGTTAGTTTTGCTTAGAATATCGACATTTAAAGCGTGCAAAGGGGCTGGGCACGGTGGCTCACGCCTGTCATCCCTGCACTTTGGGAGGCCAAGGCGGGTGGATCACTTGAGGTCAGGAGTTTGAGACCAGCCTGGCCAACATGATGAAACCCTGTCTCTACTAAAAATACAAAAAAAATTAGCCGGGTGTGGTGGCGGGCGCCTGTAATCCCAGCTACTCAGGAGGCTGAGGCAGGAGAATCATTTGAACCTGGGAGGCGGAGGTGGCAGTGAGCCGAGATCGTGCCTGGGCAACAAGAACGAAACTCCGTCTCAAAAACAAAAAAACAAAAAAGCAAGCAAACAAACAAAAAGTGTGCAAAGGGAAAGGTGAGCTTAAAAAGGAAACAGGAAAACTGGTCAGAAAAATGGGAGCATATCACGAGAACTTGATTTAGGCTCCACCTATCACATGCACATACCAATTGGAAGCTAGTGATACACAGTAGAGGGCCCTTGGAAATCATCTGGCAGCACCAGGAAATACAGCAAAATCCAGTTTATGGAACACAGTAACAGTAACTAGCGACTGTATCCATGTCCAGGACAGTGGAGTCTGTGAAGCAACCTGCAGTATCTTGTGCTTAGTGGCAGCAGGAAAGACAGTGGTGGATGAATTCTACCGCAGGATTTGGGTTTTCTTTATGTGTCCTGCAAGTTGGATTCTTCAGACTCGGCACTTTTGTGAGCCACTCAGTATAATCTATTATCTAATACTGTCGATTACCTTACTGGGTAAGGGCAAAAACCCCTATTGTGAAAGACTTGTGGCTGCGTAGCCAACGGCCATTCTTTTTGAAACAGTCATTTCTGTTTTTGAAACTATTTTTTTTAAAGATTTTTTTTTCAGTAGGCATGTACCCAGCCTGAGGCATAAATCATGATTGGTCCATAGCATTCTATGAAATATGTTCTTTTTGCCAACATTCATTAACTCTCATCTTTACAAAATTTGCAAGGCATTATTTTTTCCATTTTATTGATGTGAACTCCCAGGCTCAGAGAAGTTACTAGTTTTGAACACAGGCCTGACTCCATATAGCTCTTTCCAGGGCACTACCCCATTATTCATCCATGGTAATTCTGTATATTTTTTTATGACTCTGGTTGTGGGTATTTTACTTTCCTACTTGACCTTCCCCACTACCCTTGACAATCTGGGAATTCCTTAAGGCGACTCACTACCCCTCAGGAACCGCTCCTAATGACTTCTAGGAAGCCCCCTCGCCCTCCAGAAGTGCCTCTTCTGATTCCCAGGATGCCCCCCTCTCCGCCCCAAGAGCTGCTCCTAATGATCCCCCAAATCCCCGCTCACTGAGGAACTGCTTTTTTTTTTTTTTTTTTTTTTTTAGACGGAGTTTCACTCTTGTTGCCCAGGTTGGAGTGCAATGGCGCGATCTCGGCCCACCGCAACCTCCGCCTCCCGGGTTCAAGCGATTCTCCTGCCTCAACCTCCGGAGTAGCTGGGACTACAGGCATGCAACACCACGCCCGGCTAATTTTGTATTTTTTTTTTGAGTAGAGACGGGGTTTCTCCATGTTGGTCAGGCGGTCTCAAACTGCCGACTTCAGGTGACCCGCCCGCCTCGGCCTCCCAAAGTGCTGGGATTACAGGCGTGAGGGACCACGCCCGGCCAGGAATTGCTTTTTAATGACCCTAAGGAGAGCCTCCCTCATGGTCTGTCCTAATGACCCTCAGGGCAGCTTCCCTTCCCTGTTCAGGCTTGACAGCGAATGAGGGGTTTCCAAGGCCACGGGATTTTGTTTTGAAAACCGAGACACCCAGGACAAACCGGGACAAGACGGTCATCTTTTCAGCACTCCCTGAGCTCGGAAGCTGCCCCTAAGGGCCCCGACACATTTCCACGTTAGGCAAAGAGGATACTCATCCCAAGAAAACTTTGGCCTATCCTTTCGTTAGCGACATCCTATAGTAACCTCACCGCCCTTACCCATCTACCGGACCGGCCCACTTCCAGGTACTAGCTTCTTTCAACCCTGATTAGTTATGGGTGACCAGGAGCCCGCCTATGATTGGCCAGCTTCGCGATCCAGCTAGAGGCTCACTGGCCGCGGTCCCTAGTGGTACAGCGTTTCCTCCCGGCAACAGCCCGAGCCGGCGCTCATAGGCTGAGCACACTGAGGTCGGGACTGGGAGGTGGCTGCGGCGCGTGCTCATTGGCTGGTGTATGGCTTGCAGCCACCCTTGAATTGGTTGACTCTGTACGGCTGCGCAGATGCCGACTTTAGAGGAGGCGGAGTTTCGGCCTTCGCCTGCTGGAAAAGCAGTAGGATCGGCCAGTGGCGACAGCAGGAGCTGAGCCTAAGCCCTGGCGGGGCTTTGGGCTGTAGGTGAGAACTATAGGGTTTTGGAATTCTCGAGGATCATTGCCGCTGTAGCAGTGACCGTGAGTTTTGGTGGGGGAGGGGCGGTGGGGGTGGGTCTTCCAGCGGTGAGTGATCGGCATGTTTCTCGGCCAATAGGAGAAGGAGCTTCCAGAATGGGTTCTGAGATTGGTCCTTTCCAATCTTCAAGGCCAATGGACCTCGGGAGAGGGGGGCGGGTCATCTGGGCCTTATTTTCTTCTTCCTGCGGCCGAGCTTCACTCGCCAAGGCGGCGGGGCCGGGAGGGGCCGAACCTGTGCGCGGTGAGGTTCGGGGACGGTGGGGAGCAGGGTGCGCTGCCTTTGGAGTGATGCTCGCGGGAGCGGCTGCGAGGGAAGGGTGCGGGAGTCCGAGGGGGTTGTTAGCAACAGCTAGCTTTATTGAGTGGGTAAGTACCGGGCCTAGTGCTTAGTGCTTCGCTTGCATCATCTGAGCTAATCACAGCGACCCTGCAGGGCAGGGGGTTGGGATCCCCATTTTACAGGTGGAGAAACTGAGACTCAAGTCAGCTCACACAGCCAAGGTCACATAGCTAATAAACGGCAGAGACCGGATCTGTATTCAGAGTTTTGACTTCGGAGCCGGTGTTCTTGAATCTCTAGGCTTTGTTACTGATTGGGAGGGAAGGTGTCATGAAACGGGAGCTTTCCCCAGGGAACAGATTTGGGGGAAGGGAATCCTAGGGTTGAAGAAGGGATGAACAATTGAGGTGAGGGTGAGGAAATCAGTTTTTCAACAGTTACCGATTGCCTACTCTGTGCCATGCATTGTTCTAGGCATACAAAGATGAATAGGGGCAGAGGCTGATGAAGCCCATTAGGGCCCCTTTGAAGGCCCGGGGAAGGGCCCCAACATTGTATTCACATGATTGTATGTTTTTATAAAATGTGCAAAAGTAAGATATTTTGGATTCATTTTTCTTTTTAAGAGGGTCTTCAAAATTAAATAAACTTCGGGTTTCTCCACACTTGGAGCTGCCCTTGCAGAGGACTTAGTCCAGGTGGAGATGAGTATGTAAGCAGTATAGAGCAGTGGAAGGTGCACTTAAGAGTGGGCTGTGGGCAAATTTCCTGGTATGTAAAACAGGGAGAACAGTATACCTGCCATGCAAAGTTTCTGCCAGGTTCATGAAAAGCGCCTGTTTAGAAACACGCCTTATTTTTGATAGGAAGCCTAGGAGATACGGGTAACTGGATTTGCCTTCTCTCCTACCTTACACAGTTGTGCTCCGTGTTCTGCTCCCAGGCCTGTAACTAGATTTCTGGTGGATTGGAGGCGCTTTTCTCCTTTCTGAGCTCTCCAACTCTCAAAGAGAGTCTTGGAGCTGAACCGCCATACCTTTGGGCCCCAGATAGGGGGTACGGAACTGCTGGACCCTCAGTGAGGAGGGTGGGTAAAGGAAAGGACATACTGGTGTTCCTTCTAGAATGGCCTATTTTCATTGATATGCTTTGTCTTTTTTCAGTTGAGGTGGTCTATTGCGTTACCGAGCTGTGGGGATGCACCCACTTAGCTGAAGTTCTCATCTAAAAACAAAGTATTTATTTTGCTTTCTCCAATCAGTTATGAAGTTTTCCGTGTATTGCCAGTTTAAATTTTGTCCTTTGAGTTCTGGGTACAGTGCAACTGAACTTGTCTGTAGCTTGATTTCATTAAGTACTGCTGAAACTGCATCTTAGTTTCAACAGAACAGTTTCACTTTAGGGTTTTAAAATTATGTTACTAATATCAAAGGGCTTTTAAATCATGTTACTAATATCAAAGTACTTTTGAACCCTTAAGTTTTGTTATCTTGTAGCCACGTAACTTTTATTAGGTATCTGGTTTAGCTGTGCCCTAGGGAGGAGCCTTGGCCTCCCAAAGTGCTGGGATTACAAGGCGTAAGCCACCGCACCCAGCCATGGGTGGCTTTCAAGTTGTAGTGTATTCTGTTTAATACTCTGAAAAGTGATTAGCAAGGTGTTAATAAGGGAGTAGCTTGAAAGGATAAGGGTAAAATATGGGCATTTTAGCTGTACTATTAGGACCAACAACTAAATAATTAGTTTCCTTTTTTTAGCTGAAACAATTTTCTTTTTTTTTTCTTTCAAGAACAATCCTATTGCAGTAACAATGTCTCTGTTGAAATAAGGTTTGAATCCATGCAGTTTTGATACATCAGGTTCTTTTTAAACAGAACCTTTTCGATCTGTATTTCTAGTTTATTTAAATAACTTTTTGTTGTTTATTTAAAAAAAATTTTTTTTGAGACAGGGTCTCACTATGTTGCCCAGGCTGGTCTCAAACTCCTTAACTCAAGCGATCTGCCCACCTCAGTCTCCCAAAGTGCTGGGATTACAGGCTTGAGCCACCACACCCCCACCCTAAATTACTTTTCTTTCTTTCTTTCTTTCTTTTTTTTTTTTTTTTTTTGAGACGGAGTTTCGCTCTTGTTGCCCAGTCTGGAGTGCGATGGCGCAATCTTGGCTCACTGCAACCTTTAGCCTCCCGGGTTCAAGTGATTCTCCTGCCTCAGCCTCCCGAGTAGCTAGGATTGCAGGTGCCCGCCACCATGCCCAGCTAATTTTTTGTATTTTTAGTAGAGACAGGGTTTCACTGTGTTGGCCAGGCTGGTCTCAAACTTATGACCTCAGGCGATGCACCCGCTTTGGCCTCCCAAAGTGCTGGGATTACAGGCGTGAGCCACCGTGCCCGGCCCCTAAATAACTTTTCTAGAGGTAGATTCCAGGTGTGAAGTCTTAACTGTGTCTTTTGAATTTCTATATTATCTTTTACTGTTTTCAGAGTTGATGTTTCCAGCACTTAATTTTAATTTTTATATTATTTTATACTCTTAATGTGTTTCTTCAGATTCCTGTCTGACTAAAGGGACCTCAAAAAGGAGGGAAAATGGCTTCTGAGTCTGAAACTCTGAATCCCAGTGCTAGGATAATGACCTTTTATCCAACTATGGAAGAGTTCCGAAACTTCAGTAGATACATTGCCTACATTGAATCCCAAGGAGCTCATCGGGCAGGGCTAGCCAAGGTAAGGAGCTGGGATTGTTCAAATGGTTTTGTTACCTAGGGCAGAGCAGTAAGATTTTTTTCCTACATTTGGGCCGGAACTGTGTTTTACTGAAAGTTGGGTGGGGTGATGACTTTAGTGAATGCGGTTCTATTTGCAAGTTAATTCCCGTTGTTAACATCAGAAGCATCTCTGCTTTTAGGTAGGAAGAGAGCTACTTGGAATCTTCAGAAAGGGGGAGGTAAAGAGCTAGTGTCTCCAGGCCTGGCTGCTGTTGTGCCTCAGCCCTCTTGGTGGAGCTGGGTGCTGTGGTGTTATTGAACTGCCAGTGAGTGCTTATGCCATCTGACTTCTCTTGCTCTCATTTCAGTCTCATCCAGCACTCTAGTAGCAATTTGGCTTCCCATGTGGACTTTCTTCAAGGGGAGAGAATGCACTGGCCAGCCAACATGAGTATTCTGGTCCTTGTAATTTGAAATTGGTTTCTGGTTTGTACTTCTTTCTCCTGTGAGTTGGATTCGTTATTTTTCCTGAGTCAAATCAGCTTTTCATATATTCTGTCACAATCAGGTTGAGTGCTGGAAGCTGAAAGAACTGCATTTCTGGAGAGATCCTCAGGAAACTGAGAGGCAGGGACCTCAGTCTAAGCCAGGAGGAAATTTTTTACACCATTTTATGTTGTTTGAATTCCCTACCATATGTGCTTGTTACATTTTCAATATGAAAAGAGAAAGCAAGAACATTGGCTACAAAGCTGAGGACCAGTCTTGGACCCTGGTGCCTCCAGAGACTTGAGACGACCACATCCTCTTTCTTATCTGCAGATACGGCTACTGCTGGGTTAATAACAGCAGGCGGGAATAGCAGGGCCTGCAGTGCAGTTTTTCATAGCACATTGCTTTTTTTGGTTGTACTTTATTAGATTTAAAGTTACCAAAAAAATGTCGGTTATTACAAGTTAAATATTTCAAACGCAGATAAAGAAAAGGCTGATCTTCATCCACCTTCTCCAGTGCCGTCTCCTTAAGTGGTATTAGCTCCCTCCACACCTTTTTCTCTGCTCATACAAACATACACACATATAAAATAGTGTTATTTGTTTTGTTTTTAAAAGAGAATGGCATCATGCCATATACATTCCTGTGTTGGTTCGTTCATTCTTTTTTCTTTTTTTTTTTCTTTTTTCCTTTTTAACAACATATATTCCTCCCTCTAGGTCAATTATGGATTCAACTCATTCTTCTTTTTTCTCATGTCGACTGTCTTGTTAATTTATTACTATTGGAATGGGTAATTTGATTATGTGAGTAAAAACAGAATGCTATTGGAAGGTAGCTAATGTAGAGTCTTGCTCCCTTTCCGTATTTTCTTATATGTCCTTTCAGTGTTGCCTTATGCAGATGCTTGTGAGTGTGTGTGTGTGTGTGTGTGTGTGTGTGTGTGTGTGTTGTTTTCTCCCTTGTTACATAAAGTAAAACAATACTCTCTAATTAAAAAAAAAAAAGCTGTATAGTATTCCATAAAGCAGATCTATCTTACTTAACTATTCAAGATTAGATTTTTTTTGTTTTTTTTTGAGATGGAGTTTCGCTCTTGTTACCCCAGCTGGAGTGCAATGGCGCAATCTTGGCTCACTGCAACCTCTGCCTCCGGGTTCAAGCGATTCTCCTGCATCAGCCCCCCAAATAGCCGGGATTATAGTTGAGTGCCACCACACCAGGCTAATTTTTGTGTTTTTAGTAGAGATGGGGTTTCACCATGTTGGCCAAGCTGATCTCAAACTCTGACCTCAGGTGATCCACCTGCCTCGGCCTCCCAAAGTGCTGGGATTACCGGCATGAGCCACTGTGCCCGGCCTCAAGATTAGATTTTTAAGAATGTTATGCTTCTTTGTAATTAAACTGTAATCTAGTGTGTGAAAAAAGGAAATTCTGTACAAGTATAGAGTTGACCAAATCAAGTAAAGTTGTGTTTGTGATTTTTTTAAAGAGAGCCCTGGGCTAGGAGATTGAGAGAGAATCAAGTCTTTAATCTCCTTTCTTGGTGTCCAAATAAGATACTGAAGCTGGGAACAAGTATTACTTACCTTAGGTTGCTGCAATTAGGCAGCTGGTTGGTGGCAAAAGTGGATCAGGGTTAGCATGCCTGTGACTTACTGTGTTTTGGTGAATGTGGGTAAATCAAAGTAACTGTCTAGTAAAATTGACTGTTAGGTTGGCTGGTAACTACATGCTTCCTGGACTCTGACTGGCTTGCCAGGTTTCTCATCTGTCTTTTTGTTTCTTGTGTTCCCTTCAGGTTGTTCCTCCAAAAGAGTGGAAGCCACGAGCATCCTATGATGACATTGATGATTTGGTCATTCCTGCCCCCATTCAACAGCTGGTGACGGGGCAGTCTGGCCTCTTTACTCAGTACAACATACAGAAGAAAGCCATGACTGTTCGAGAGTTCCGCAAGATAGCCAATAGCGATAAGTGAGTGGAAACCCTTTCTTACCTGACATAGCACCTAGGACCCTGGTGTCTCATCCTCCTAGCATCTCCAGGACTGCTGCTGTCCTGATGAACAGTGTCTTCAGCAGGATGGCTCTGTTCTAGCTGTCTCCCTTTCTGCTTTTTTTATGGAAGCATTCCCTCCTCTCAGGACTGTGTCCCAGTCTAAACCTGTTCCTGTTCTTATAACAACAAATCCCATTGTTTTTCCATCAGAAGTAGAATCATTTTCTGACTCTAAAGTTGCAAGGAGAAAGTTGGATGTGGTGCACAAGGAGCTTTTGCTGGGTATTATCAACCACCTGCTCATCAAAAGTGCTTTAGTTCCACTTCCTCTCTCTCGGGATGCTCTGTGTTTAATTGTGCTGGAATTTCTCACTGCCCATCCAGCCTGCTAGCTCATTTCTGTTTTGACATTAACAGTGTGAGTAAACCACCAAGCTGGTTGCTATTTTCTGTCACTCCTTCTTTCTCTGTACATTCCTGTCTCTTTTAGAGATATCTTTCTTTGTGTAGGCCTGTTTTCAGTTCTTCTCTGCTGTTGGTTTTTTTTTTTTTTTTTTTTTTTTTTGAGATGGTGTCTCACTTTATTGCCCAGGCTGGAGTGCAGTGGAGTGATCTTGGCTCACTGCAACCTCTGTCTCCCAGGTTCACGTGATTCTCCTGCCTCAGCCTCCCAAGTAGCTGGGACTACAGGCACGCGCCACCATGCTTGGCTATTTTTTGTATTTTCAGTAGAGACAGGGTTTCGCCACATTGGCCAGGCTGGTCTTGAACTCCTGACCTCAAGTGATCCTCCTGCCTTGGCCTCCCAAAGTGCTGGGATTACAGGCAAGAGCCACCACTCCTGGCCCTTCTCCGCTGTTTTTAATGTTTAGTTCTCATTTTTCCTGAGATTCACAGAGAATAAATTTTGTGTTTCCTTGTTCAGCTCTGACTACTCCATCTTTTTTTTTTTTTGAGGTGGAGTCTCGCTCGTTCCCCAGGCTGGAGTGCAATGGTGCAGTCTCGGCTCACTGCAACCTCCACCTCCCGGGTTCAAGCAATTCTCCTGTCTCAGCCTCCCGAGTAGCTGGGATTACATACAGGCGCCTGCCACCACGCCTGGCTAATTTTTGTATTTTTAGTAGAGACGGGGTTTCACCGTCTCTACTGTCACCCAAGTTGGAGTGTAGTGGTGCAATCATGGCTTACTGCAGCCTCGACTGCCCAGGCTCAAAATGATCCTCCTTGCTCAGCCTCCCAAGTAACTGGAGGTATAGATAGGCATGTGCTACCGCGCTCAGCTAATATTTTTTATTATTTGCTGCCCAGTTTGGTCTTGAACTCCTGGGCTCAAGCGATCCTCCTGCCTCAGCCTCCCAAAGTGCTGGGATTATAGGCATGAGCCACTGCATCCGGCTGACACCTTAACTCCTTTTATTTATTTTTTTTTTTGAGACAGAATCTCGCTCTGTCGCCAGGCTAGAGTGCAGTGGCGTGATCTCGGCTCACTGCAGCCTCCGCCTCCTGGGTTCAAGCAATTCTCCTGCCTCAGTCTCCTGAGCAGCTGGGATTACAGGCGCCCACCACCACACCTAGCTAATTTTTGTATTTTTAGCAGAGGCAGGGTTTCACCATGTTGGCCAGGATGGTCTCGATCTCTTGACCTCGTGATCCACCCGCCTTGGCCTCCCAAAGGGCTGGGATTACAGGTGTGAGCCACCGTGCCCGGCCAACCTTAACTCTTAAAACATCTACCTTGCTGGCCAACCTGCTGACCGATGAGAGAATTTACATAAAGGCATGTTGAAGAAATGTGGGGCTCTGCAGGTGAAAGGCTGTATCCTTCCTGCCATCCTTATTGTCTGATTTTTGCTACACATGAGGAGCAAACTCACCTGCCTTCTGTTTCTCACATGGAATTCAGCCAGGGGCTTCAGTCTCCTCAGCCTTTTTTCCCTTTTTGTTAAGGCTTTTTCTTTTCTTTTTTTTTTTTTTTTTTGAGATGGAGTGTCGCTCTGTCACCCAGGCTGGAGTGCAGTGGCACAATCTTGGCTCATTGCAGCCTCCGCCTCCCAGGTTCAAGTGATTTTCCTTCCTCGGCCTCCCGAGTAGCTGGGAGCCCGCCACCACGCCCGGCCAATTTTTTTGTATTTTTAGTAGAGATGGGGTTTCACCATATTGGCCAGGCTGGTCTCGCTTTTTCTTCTTTTAGCACACTTGTTTTCCTTTTAAATTAACCAGCCCTATGTCTATTCCTTTCGTCCTAATACATAGCAGATTACCTTTAAAGTAAAAACATAACTTTTTTTTTTTTTTTTTGAGACAGAGTCTCGCTGTGTTGCCCAGGCTGGAGTGCAGTGGCACAATCTCACTCACTGCAATCTCTGCCTCCCAGGTTTAAGCGATTCTCCTACCTCAGCCTCCCATGTAGCTGGGATTACAGGTGCCCACCACCACGCCTGGCTAATTTTTTTGTATTTTTAGTAGAGACGGGGTTTCACCATGTTGGTCAGGCTGGTCTCGAACTGTTGGCCTCAAGTGATCAGCCTGCCTTGGCCTCCCAAATGCTGGGATTACAGGCATGAGCCACCGTGCCCAACCTAAAAACCTAAATTCATGAAACAGATTAGTTGACAATAGGGGAGTTAATTGTATTTCAGAGAGAATGTTAGGTCTCTAAAATTTATTATTCCCTAGGTTGACATTAAAGTGTAAGGCAGTTACTTAGTCAGATTTTTTTTTTTTTTTTTTTGAGATGGAGTCTTACTCTGTGGCGCGGGCTAGAGTGCAGTGGTGCTATTTAGGCTCACTGCAATCTCCGCCTCCTGGGTTCAAGCAATTCTCCTGCCTCAGCTTCCCAAGTAGCTGGGACTATAGGCGCCCGCCACACCACCCGGCTAATTTTTTGTATTTGTTGTAGATACAGGGTTTCACCATGTTAGACAGGATGGTCTTGATCTCCTGACCTTGTGATCCGCCTGCCTGGGCCTCCCAAGTGCTGGGATTACAGGCGTGAGCCATTGCTGCTGGCCAGCTCTGCTAATTTTTAAAGTTTTTGTAGAAATAGGATTTTGCCATGTTGCTGGTCTCAAACTCTTGGGCTCAAGTGATCCTCCTGCCTCAGCCTCCCAAAGTGTTGGGATTACAGGCATGAGCCACTGTACTTGGCTAGTTTGAATCTAAAAGAAGTTTTTTTTTTTTTAATTAAATTTTCAGTATTAAGCTAAAGAGTATAGATATTTTTAGACTGGGTGCATTGGCTAACTTCTATAATCCCATCACTTTGGGAGGCCGAGGTTGGAGGATCACTGGAGGCCAGGAATTTGAGACCAACCTGGGCAACATTGCAGGACTTCATTTCTACAAAAAATAAAAACACCAGATGTGGTGGTGTACACTTGCAGTCCTGGCTACTCGGGAGGTTAGGGCAGGAGGATTGCTTGAGCCCAGGAGTTCGAGGCTACAGTAAGCTATGATCACACCACTGTGCTCCAGGCTGGGCAGCAGAGCAAGGATCTTGTATAGTTTTTTTTAAGGTATAGTTTTCTTTTCTTTTTTTGAGACAGAGTTTTACTCTATGGCCGAGGCTGGAGTGCAGTGGCGTTAGTTAGCTCAGCTCACTGCAGACTCCTCCTCCTGGGTTTAAGTAATTCTCCTGCCTCAGCCCCCACCCTAAATAGCTGGGATTACAGGCGTGTGCCACCACGCCCCTCTAATTTTTGTATTTTTAGTAGAGACCAGGTTTCACCATGTTGGCCAGGCTGGTCTTGAACTCCTGACCTCAGGTGATCCGCCCCCGCCAGGCCTCCCAAAGTGCTGGGATAACAGGTGTGAGCCACACCCCTGGCCAAAGTGTAGATATTTTTATGGCTTTATGTAGATAGGTAGATATAAATATGCGTATATGTGAGTACGTATTTTCCTAATTGGAATATTGGATGTGCAAAAATCTATATTTTTAGAGCTATTTTATATTTTTACTAAAATATTTGTTGTTTTTAGGAGTGATTACTTGGTGAGTGTCAGCCACTGCGTAGGGCGCTTGGGCATATAGCAGGGGTACTTACAAATGAGCCCTCTTGGAGCAGCTTCCTTTTGGCTGGTTCAGGGAGGTGAATGCTGTTGGAAAGCCTTAGCTCTTCACATGCTGCTGGGTTTTGGTTGTCTGTGGATATGTAGGGACCTTGGGTCTTGGTCTGTAAGCCCATTTTCTCCCTGGGTGGCCACCTGAATCTAGCAAGGTGTAGTTTAAGTAGAGTCTCTTCAGAGAGTTGAGGATGTTGTGCTTGTTAAGGAAGACCGGTTTACATCTGTGTGTACATTACCTTCCTCAGGCTTCCTCAGGCCCAGTGCTCATGGAAGGGACGTTGAGGGACTGACTACGTATTAGAGCCTTGAAGGCCAAGATTATGCCTTGTTCATTTGAAATTCTTGCTGTCACTGGAATAGGGGATTATGTCTTGTAATGTTCATAATGCCTAATAAACCCCTGTAAGTGGTTTACATGTTTCTTTTTACTTTCAAAAAGGTACTGTACCCCACGCTATAGTGAGTTTGAAGAGCTCGAGCGGAAATACTGGAAAAATCTTACATTCAATCCTCCAATCTATGGTGCAGATGTGAATGGTACCCTCTATGAAAAGGTGAGGCTCACTGGAAACCCTCTGTGCAGTGTTTTTGTAATTTTGTAATACCTTTTTTTCGGCCCGGCACGTAGTAGGCACCTAAAAGCTGTTTGGTGAATGGGTGGATGAACAGATGATCTACCCCCAGCTGATGTTGCTGTGCTGGCCTAATTGTGGGCCATTTTGCATGTGACTGAATTTTATTTCTCCTGCTTTACATGTGAATTGGATGATGTGGTGTTCTTTTCAAGGGTTGTTAGCATAGTCGGTGGGTGGTAGCTGATGAGTTCTTGAAAGGGTGGGTTGGCTCTCAGATAATGAAATGAGGCAGTGTGGTTTCTGCAGAAAAAAGATGACTGACTAATCTAATGAAAGGGGTATACATTTAAGAAGAGAAATACATTTAGATTTTTCAGAACCCTCAAACAAGATTCTGTGGCAAAAGCTATTTTAACCACTTTTATTGGCTTGAAATCCTGCCTTAAATATGGTGAAAGGGGAGAATATTTGGGAATATCTTCAGATGACTGAAAAACAGTAGGGCATTCAGGGATTATCACTCATAATTGTTTTCATATTTTAATTTTTTTTTTTTTTGAGACGGAGTTTCGCTTTTGTTGCCCGGGCTGGAGTGCAATGGCGCGATCTCAGCTTACCGCAACCTCCGCCTCCCGGGTTCAAGTGATTCTCCTGCCTCAGCCACCTGAGTAGCTGGGATTATAGGCATGCGCCACCATGCCCGGCTAATTTTGTATTTTTTAGTAGAGACGGGGTTTCTCCATGTTGCTCAGGCTGGTTTTAAACTCCCGACCTCAGGTGATCCACCTGCCTCAGCCTCCCAAAGTGCTAGAATTACAGGTGTGAGCCACTGCGCTTGGCCCATATTTTAATGTTTTTATCAATTATTGGAAGAGTTAAAAAAATGAATTCCAGGCCGGGTGTGGTGGCTCACATCTGTAATCCCAGCACTTTGGGAGGCTGAGGTGGATGGATCAGGAGGTCAGGAGATTGAGACCACTCTGGCTGACATGGTGAAACCCCGTCTCTACTAAAAATAAAAAAAAAGTAGCCTGCAGTAGCGGGCGCCTGTAGTCCCAGCTACTCTGGAGGCTGAGGCAGGAGAATGGTGTGAACCCGGCGGGAGGCAGAGCTTGCAGTGAGCCGAGATTGCACCACTGCACTCCAGCCTGGGTGACAGAGCAAGACTCTGTCTCAAAAAAAAAAAAAAAAAAAAAAAAAAAAAAAAGAATTCCAGTTTTGTTGATAGCAGTTTTTGGGGGTCAGGGAAAGTCAGTCTTGTAGGGATGAATGGCAGGAAGATGCTGTAAGGATCTGGGATGGAGAGCTACAAAAGTCAGGCATAATAATAATACAGGACCTAGTTATGGGAGATGGGCTCCCAGCTGGCCATTACAACTCGGGAAAAGGATATTCCACATTTTTTATGAAGACACTGCCTGGTGGAAATCAGGGCTAAAAAGCCACAACATTGCCATAGTTTTTTGTTCTTTTGTTTTTGAGACAGAGTCTCGCCCTGCCACCCAGGCTAGAGGTTAGTGGTATGATCATAGATTACTGTAACCTCAAACACCGGGGTCAAGGGATCCTCCTGCTTCACCCTCCCAAGTAGCTGAGACTGCAGGCACATGCCACTTCACCTGGCTACTTTTTTTAATTTGTAATTTTT
Source organism: Homo sapiens (assembly GCF_000001405.40). NCBI lineage: Eukaryota > Metazoa > Chordata > Mammalia > Primates > Hominidae > Homo > Homo sapiens. Next base: position 43,662,082 of record NC_000001.11, read on the forward strand.
TTGTAGAGACTGGGCCTTGCTTTGTTGCCCAGGATGGTCTTGAACTCCTGGGCTCAAGCAATCCTGCCTTGGCCTCCCAAAGTGTTGAGATTACAGGCGTGAGCCACCACACCTGGCCCACTGTCATAGTTCCCATGTTTTGCGATTTTTTTTTTTGTGGTCATAGAGTTTTTTTTCTATTTTGACCTAAATTTCTTTAGCATCAGTTCAAACTTTTCCTCTTGGGGTTTCAAACAGGTGACTCTTGGTCGGGCGCGGTGGCTCAGGCCTGTAATCCCAGCACTTTGGGAGGCCAAGGCGGGTGGATCACAAGGTCAGGAGTTGAAGACCAGCCTGGCCAAGATGGTGAAACCCCGGCTCTACTAAAAATAGAAAAATTAGTTGGGCATGGTGGTGGGTGCCTGTAATCCCAGGTGCGCGGGAGGCTGAAGCAGGGAATTGCTTGAGCCCGGGAGGCGGAGGTTGCAGTGAGCCAAGATCATGCCACTGCACTCCAGCCTGAGCAACAGAGCGAGACTCCGTCTCAAAAACAAACGAAAAAACAAACAGGTGACTGTCATCTCTTTATTCATCTTTCCTACACTAGTATTCACAAAGTAATATTTGCCCTTTGAAGGTAAATGGTGTCAGTTCCAGTGGTAGCCGTGAAAGTCAATGAGGAATGCTATGGTCTTCACGTCCATAGTGTTTTGACATTATTCCCAATGTTTGTCAGAGATGACAGCTTACTTGTGACCTACTCTGATTTGTAGGTTCAGAGCCTCGGTTTCTATGCAAATGTAACTTGCCCTGGACTGTCATTGCCTTTGCAGCATGTTGATGAGTGGAATATTGGCCGGCTGAGAACAATCCTGGACTTGGTGGAAAAGGAGAGTGGGATCACCATTGAGGGTGTGAACACCCCATACCTGTACTTTGGCATGTGGAAGACATCCTTTGCTTGGCACACTGAAGACATGGACCTCTACAGCATCAACTACCTGCACTTTGGAGAACCAAAGTCCTGGTACAGTCTGCCTGCAGTCGGCACCGGGCTTCTATGCTAGAGCACGGGCTCATGTTCATTGTGCGTGGGAAGCACCTCAGGATTGTGTTAAAGGGCAGACCCTGGTTCAGGCTTGGGGTGACATTCCATGTTTTAAACACACTTTCAAGTGCTAAGATGCTTGCTGTTGGAGCTCTGGTGCTCGGACCACCTTTTGAGTAGGGAGGCTTTAGAGAGCAGGGTGCTGGCAGTTACCCAAAGACACGGGGGCTCTTCCAGGCTATCCCACTGCTTTCTAATTTTTTTTCTGAACAGGCCTGAGGCATTTCTTAGCAGCAGACTTCCAAGACTAGAGTCACTCTCTCAGATGACAGAAAGCTTTCTTTTCGTCATGGAAAAAATACTAATACTTGGGGAGCAGCAGTGTGTGCTTAACACATAAGGGATTGCGAGGCTATTCAGCATGCTTCCTGTTCTCCAGAGTGTTATTCTTGTTGGTGAGACAAACATTGGTTCTCTCTCCTCTCTCTGTGCTGACCCATCTTTGAGTCTCAGCATTTTTTTTTTTCTATTTTGAGACAGGGTCTCACTCTGTCACCCAGGCTGGAGTGCAGTGGCACCATTATGGCTCACTGCAGCCTTGACCTCCTGGGCTCAAGTGATCCTTCTACTTCAGCCTCCCAGGTAGCTGGGTTTACAGGCGTGCACCACTATGCCCAGCTAATTTTTTTCCTTCTTTTTTTTTAGGGTAGAGATGGGGTCTCACTATGTTGCACAGGCTGGTCTCAAACTCCTGGGCTCAAGCAGTCCTCCTACTTCAGCCTTGCAAAGTGCTAGGATTACAGGCATGAGCCACTGTACCCGGCCCATCTCAGCATTTTAGTGAAGGTGCTGCAGATAACAGCAGTGAATAAGATGGATGAGATACCTACCCTCACACAGATAGGAGACTGGTCAGGAGGTAGAAAGTGTGAGAGAATGCTCATACGGTGTGGGGACAGCTCTGAAGGGGAAGAAGTGGGTGCTAAGGTCCACATAAGAAGGATAGATGGGATTAAAGAAGGCTTCTTTCAAAGAGGTGACAAGTGAGACCTAAAACATGAGAAGGACATAACCGGGTGGAGTGGTGGTGGGCTTAGCAGCTGGGAGATTGAGGGAAGTGTATCCAGGCAGTTGGAACCACAGACGCAGAGCTCCTGGATTAAGACAGCACATGAGGGCCAGGCGTGGTGGCTCACACCTGTAATCCCAGCACTTTGGGAAGCCGAGGTGGGTGGATCACCTGAAGTCAGGAGTTGGAGACCAGCCTGGCCAACATGGTGAAACCCGTCTCTACTAAAAACACAAAATTAGCCAGGCGTGGTGTGTTTAGGGAGCTAGGGGGAGTCTGCTGTAGTTTGGGTGCTGTGTAAAACGATGAGAAGTGAGTGATGAGGCCGGAGGGGACATCATGGGGCACATTATGGGGAGTCATGAAAACCATATCCACTTTCAGGTCTTTTTTCAGCATCTTCAGCCATGTTCTTTCTCAGGGGTTTTCCTTTCTTCTTTCAAGTGCTCTCCAGTTTCTAATCTTGGGGGAAAGAACCTTTTGAGCCTATGATTATCTCCTAACTACTGTCCTGTTTTTCCTTCCTCAGAAGGCTAGACTTGTAGGATGTGTAAATGTAGCTTTTGTGTCTTCACCATTGTTTACTCCAAAATTCACTGCTCCTGGATTTTTGAATTCTCTTATAAAAGAAGGTTTTCCAGTTATTATATACATTCTTAGGTCCTCTGAAGTGGGACCTCCAGAGCCTTCTGTATAGGGTTGCCTGATGGATCCCAGAGTCCTTTAGGTGACATTTTTGTCAACTCTTCTTCTCTGTTTTGTTTTATAATGAAGCTGTTTGCAGTGGGAGGATTTGTTGTTACTGTGGAATAATCTTCAGAAGAGATTAAAAAGGTTAAAACAGAGTTACTGTGAGTTTCAGAATATAAAGTTTAACAATTTTGCAAAAGTTTAATAGTCCTAGGTGTTCTTTTTTACTTTTCATTTTTTAGGAAGAGCAGTTTCTATGGTGTTTAGACACCCTACTGGGTAGAGAGGTAATTGATTGTTGGGTAATCAGTATATGTAGCTGTTGGGGAGATAAAGGGAAAGTGGGTTCATCAGCAGATACGGGGCTAGGTCTCTTAAGTGTCAGATCCATCTTTCACTTTGTTTTCCATCTTCCTCTTGCCTGCCCCCAGTTAGGCCTTTCAAGCATTTAAAAATACTGAGCATTTTTAAATACTGAGGTTATATAGTGACATCCTTCTTTTTTTTTCTTTTAAAAAATGTTATTATATGAACAACATTATAAAGGAGAGTAATATTATGTACCGTAAATCCTGGCTCATGGTGAACACTTAATAAACATCTTATTAAGTGAATGAATATAGAAGAAATAAATTCACTCACCTTCTTTATGGGCTCCTTACTCCTGTGCCCAAACAGTCTAATATTTCATTTTTTCAGATTCCTTTCTACTGCTTGGGAAGTTAAAAAAAAAATCTGCTATTTCAAGGTGTTTTGAGAGTGGGAATAAGTCCCTTAGCTTCTGTACCTGCCCTCCACCCAGCCTCTGATGCTCTCATGTGATTGCAGGTACTCTGTTCCACCTGAGCATGGAAAGCGGTTGGAACGCCTCGCCAAAGGTACTGTGTCTCTTCTGTTTGCTGGATTGGACCCTCCTATGAGCTGTGCTCCTTGCTCTGCACTAAAATGTGCGTTCCCCATGGTCAGATACTTGCAGGTCCTGTTGCAGGCCTGCAGACGGGGGTGAGCCACACTGGTTACCTTAAGAGGGCAGTGACGGAGCCTTTTCTTCCTTTGTCCTGACTGTCTGTGCCTCAGTTTTAATGAGCAGGGGTGTTTCTTTGACCAGCGATAATGAACCAGACCCAGTATGACTGGTGTTTCCACTAAAGACCCAAATGTTAAAGAAAAAATTGAACTTTATGCTTTGTTTCTTTTAAGTGGACTTAGATTTGTATGTCTGGAGAACATAGGAAAGCCTGGGTAGATGATACTACAGCTGCATTACTGAAAAAAGATCAGGGATACAAGTGACTGGAGAAAAGGTCCTAAATAGTTTCAAAGCTCTATAAGAACAGAGGCAGCTTGGGTGACCTTGGTTTCCCAAACAGGATTTCATTACCCACGTAATGCCCTACATGGGAGTGAGCCTAGAGGCTCATTGCAGAATCTTAGAATTGGTGCGGAGCTATAAGGATCCTCAGAGGTCACATTGGTGATGCATCCTCTTTATCATTCCGATGAGAAGCACAGGTGTGAAGTGACTCCAGGATTGCGGAGCTAGTGTGGAGCACTGTGTTAACCTGTACCCTTTCAATTAAATAGGCTTTTTCCCAGGAAGTGCTCAAAGCTGTGAGGCATTTCTCCGCCACAAGATGACCCTGATTTCCCCGTTAATGCTGAAGAAATATGGAATTCCCTTTGACAAGGTGAGCTGATGTTACATGCCAAAGTTCTCAGGCACCACCCTTTCTGGCCTTTGTTTTACAGTTTTATTCTAGTTCATCACTATACCAAGAGGGGGCCAAAGCTTAAATAAACTATGTAACAACACTTTGATCTAAGAGCATTAAAGGTGGGGCCACTGTAGCTTCCTGGTGCCAGAGGAGAGTCAGATCCCCTAGAACAGTGTTCATTTGGAGGAATGGTTAATTATAGTCATGTCATCTGATATGTCTGGGCTTTGCATTTTATAGAAGACAGCAAGGACCCCAGGGGTTTTATGACTTACCCTTTGTTACTCAGCTAAGTTGTGGTGGAGCTCAGAATTCCAGTTCTGTGGACTTCTGCCATTTGAAGCAGCTGCTTCAAGTCTGCTCTTGTTCAGGTGACTCAAGAGGCTGGAGAGTTTATGATCACTTTCCCTTATGGTTACCATGCCGGCTTTAACCATGGTTTTAACTGTGCGGAGTCTACCAATTTTGCTACCCGTCGGTGGATTGAGTACGGCAAGCAAGCTGTGCTGGTAAGTCTGCTTGATTTCTTTCTATAACACCATGACAAAAATGAGCAAATTCTGGTTAGATACGTTGGCTGGTGATTAGAGTATTTCTTTGAGCTGCTGGAATTCAGAAACAAGCAGCTAGCAATGTGTCAGAGTACTAACATTTTGTGTTCATAAGGAATTTTTAAAAATGTGTTCAGAATTGGGAAGTATAAAATGAGGTTCTTAAGTCCATTAGGCATTAAAACCACATCCACACACGTTAATACTCTTGTTTATCCATTCCGAGATTTCTCTGTTGAAATTTTTAGGGGTTTCCTTTACTCTAGGGAAGCAGCAGGGTCGGGCCTTTGACTGATAGTAGTAGACTTGCTTGTGTGTTCCTGGCTTGGACAGGGAACAAGGGCAGGTGGCTCACCGTCCTGGGGGCCTAAGTGCAGAGCCTAACCACCCTCTGTGACCCCGAGTTAGTGCCCAGGTAGATTTGCCCCAGTAGCATGTGCTCTCTGCCTTTTTTTCCCTGCTTCCCTTCATGTTTGAAGGTCCTGCAAGGATAACATGCCCTCAGCCTGTGAACCAAAACAATCTGGTTATAAACCATCTTGCACTTGTTTCCATGTGGAGGGAGGAGCTAGGACGTGGGGGTGAGTTGGAAGCAGCAAGGTATGCTCACCTGGTGCTCTTCTGGTTCCTGCTGACAGTGCTCCTGTAGAAAGGACATGGTGAAGATCTCCATGGATGTGTTTGTGAGAAAGTTCCAGCCAGAAAGGTACAAACTTTGGAAAGCTGGGAAGGACAACACAGTTATTGACCATACTCTGCCCACGCCAGAAGCAGCTGAGTTTCTTAAGGAGAGTGAACTGCCTCCAAGAGCTGGCAACGAGGAGGAGTGCCCAGAGGAGGACATGGAAGGGGTGGAGGATGGAGAGGAAGGAGACCTGAAGACAAGGTAACCCAGCAGCCCTTTTGTCCTGGCTGCGTGAGGGAGGGATGTCTGGGTAGGTCCTGTAATCTGTGGAGAGGCTGTTTCTTGTTTTTTTTGTTTTGTTTTGTTTTTGTTTTTGTTTTTGTTTTTGATGGAGTCTCGCTCTGTCGCCCAGGCTGGAGTGCAGTGGTGCGATCTCGGCTCACTGCAAGCCCCGCCTCCCGGGTTCAGGCCATTCTTCTGCCTCAGCCTCCCGAGTAGCTGGGACTACAGGCACCTACAGCCACGCCTGGCTAATTTTTTGTATTTTTAGTAGAGACAGGGTTTCACTGTGTTAGCCAGGACGGTCTCGATCTCCTGACCTCGTGATCCGCCCACCTCGGCCTCCCAAAGTGCTGGGATTACAGGTGTGAGCCACCGCGCCCGGCCGAGGCTGTTTCTAAGATGCCGTTTGTGCCTTGGCTAAGGGAGTGTTCTTGGTAAAGGCTCCAGAAACCTGAGAGCCAGAGCATTCAGGCACTTTCTGAATGAGAGACCTGTAGTGGGCGTGTAGTCTGCTGGAGCAAGGCGTCAGTTATATGAGGGTCGGGGGCATTTATGTGCGAAGGTCGGGCTCCCTCTGAGCCAGAAAAGTCATGTTTTCTCATCATATCAGAGAGTCTTTTAAAAAGAAGTGTAGTGAGGATGAGACTCAAGGGCATTGGTAATGTCGTGATTTAAGTCTGCAGTGCTATTGGTGGCTGAGCCAGGGGATCTGTGCTCTGAGGAGAATTTATCCTGGGCCATATGGGAAAGAAAGGAGGAACCGTTCCTTGGTACCTGCTATATGCCAGGCACTTTGCCAGCTACTCTGCATACCTTTTCTTAATCCTCACAACAAATCTGTTAGGTGGGTGGTAATACCTGTATTTTCCAGATGATTGAACAAGGTCAGAGAGGTGAAGTCCCTTGTCTCAAGTCACAAATAAGAGGTGTCCCTGAGTTTTGAGCCAGGCCTGACAGGCTCTGGCCATTCACTTTGGGTTGTGTGTGGATGTGTATGAATGTGTTTGAGTAAGTGGATGTATATGTGGGCTCTTAAAAGATTTGCCCTCTCCCTTGCAGCCTGGCCAAGCACCGAATAGGGACAAAGAGGCACCGAGTTTGTCTTGAAATACCACAGGAGGTGAGTCAGAGTGAGCTCTTCCCCAAGGAGGATCTGAGTTCTGAGCAGTATGAGATGACGGAGTGCCCGGCAGCCCTCGCCCCTGTGAGGCCCACCCATAGCTCTGTGCGGCAAGTTGAGGATGGTCTTACCTTCCCAGGTTAGTTGACTATGGTGTATTTTCCACAACCCTAACTCATATATGTGTCCCGTGTTAGATGCCATATTGAGTGCTGGGTCAGAAATAAAAAAGGCAGAGTGACAGGTCCGTGAGCAGATAGCATACTTGGAGTGTGAGAAGTGCTTTGGGTAGGGATGTACAGGGAGGACTGGACACGTAGGGAAAAGCTCCTCCCTCTGCCTGGTCAGGGGTCAGGGAAACACTGGAGGTTTTGGTGAAGGTGACTCTTACAAGGTAAGTAGGACCTTCCCAGGCGGACAGAGAGAGAGGAGGGATGTAGAAAGGGAGTCCCAGATGGGAGGAGCAGGGCACAGGCATGGAGATGGGAATTTTTTTTTTTTTTTTTGAAATGGAGTCTTGCTCTGTCATGCAGGCTGGAGTGCAGGGGCGCAATCTTGGCTCACTGCAACTTCTGCCTCCTGGGTTCAAGCGATTCTCCTGCCTCAGCCTTCCAACTAGCTAGGACTACAGGTGCCTGCCACCATGCCTGGCTAATTTTTTTTTGTATTTTTAGTAGCGATGGGGTTTCACCGTGTTGGCCAGGCTGATCTTGAACTCCTGACCTCAGGTGATCCGCCTGCCTCGGCCTCCCAAAATGCCAAGTGGGATTACAGGCGTGAGCCACTGTTCCCAGCAGAGATGGGAAATATTAATAGCATGGTCCACTTGGGGGAACTGGTGGGGAGTTTCCCTCAATTGAATATTAGGGTGGAAGGCAGCTGTGTGACCAGAAGGTGACGCTGGAGAAATAGGAGATGATGTAGGGCTGTCTGCCATTTTCATTTGCTCACTTGGAAGCTTAAGAAGCCATTTATATTTTAAGAGAGGGAGTGGTGTGATCAGTGCTGTTTAGCAGTCACTTGGAAGGTCATTGAGGCTAGATTTGTTAGAGAAAGGCTTGTATCTGTCTTGGGTCAGGTATGACCCAAAGATGTGGTCTGCCGACAGCCAGGCAGCACTGTGGACTGACACCCTGGGCTGGGCTGGCTTCTCTTCAGCAGATTTTCTTTCCCTTTTTTCTCTTCAAATTTATTTATTTATATTGACAGATAAAATCGTGCATATTTGTCTTGTACAACATAATTTTTTTGTTTGTTTTAGAAACGGGGTCTTACTGTGTTGCCCAAGCCTTTGTGAACACAGCTCACTGCAGCCTCAACTTTCTGGGCTCAAGCAATCCTCTTGCCTCAGCCTCTCAAGTAGGTGGGACTACAGGCATACACCACGCCTGGCTAATTTTTTTTTTTTTTTTTTTTTTTTTGAGACGGAGTCTCACTCTGTCTCCCAGGCTGGAGTGCAAAGGCATGATCTTGGCTCACTGCAACCTCCGCCTCCCGGGTTCAAGTGATTCTCCTACCTCAGCCTCCCAAGTAGCTGGGACTACAGATGCTTGCTACCACGCTGGCTGATTTTTGTATTTTTAGTAGAGACGGGGTTTCACTCTGTTAGCCAGGATGGTCTCGATCTCCTGACATCGTGATCCGCCCACCTCAGCCTCCCAAAGTGCTGGGATTACAGCAGTGAGCCACCATGCCTGGCCCATGCCTGGCTAATTTTTAAATTCTGTAGAGACAGAGTCTGACTTTGTTGCCCAGGCTGGTCTTGAACTCCTGGGCTCCAGCAATCCTCCCATCTTGGCCTCCCAAAGTGCTGGGATTACAGTTTTGAACTACTGCTCCTGGTCCAACATGATTTGTGAAGTATATATAAGTTGTGGAATGGGTAAATCTAGCTGTTTAAAATACATATTCACATAGTGGTCATTTTTGCAGTGAGAACATTTAACATCCACCCTCTTAATATTTTTCAAGATCTTTAGATTTTCTAGCATGGGCTAGGTAGCCAGGTCTCTGCTGAGCTCAGACTTGCATTACCTGCAGGAGACTTTGGAGGAAATGGCAGCTGCCCCTTACTGAGTGTCTGCTGAGTGCCAGGCGGTGCTCAGGAGTCTTATTTATGAGCCCTGTAGATCTGTAGTAGCATCTTCTCATTACAGAGGAAGAAGCTGGAGGCCAGGAGGCTGAGCAAATAGCCCTGGCTCACAGTGCCCCTCAGTGACAGAGCCAGGATTGGAAGCCAGGTCCCATTCCCCGCCCATGTTCCTTGTGCTTTGCCCTCTGCCTTTCATCAGGTTCACATGTGCAGGAGGAACTTGGCTCTGTCTAATGTGTATGTGTGTTTCAGATTATTCTGACTCCACTGAAGTCAAATTTGAAGAGCTTAAAAATGTCAAACTAGAAGAGGAGGATGAGGAGGAAGAACAAGCAGCAGCTGCCTTGGATCTTTCTGTGAATCCTGCGTCTGTAGGGGGACGCCTTGTCTTCTCAGGCTCCAAAAAGAAATCATCTTCTAGCCTGGGCTCTGGCTCTTCACGGGATTCTATCTCTTCTGATTCAGAAACTAGTGAGCCTCTCTCCTGCCGAGCCCAAGGGCAAACGGGAGTTCTCACTGTGCACAGTTATGCCAAAGGGGATGGCAGGGTCACTGTGGGAGAGCCATGCACGAGGAAGAAAGGAAGCGCCGCTAGAAGTTTCAGTGAGCGGGAGCTGGCAGAGGTATGGGCTCCAGGCAGTGGTGTGGGGTGGGGAGCTGCCCTGGAGGACACCCTGTCGGGAGGGGATCTGTGTGGGGGAGGGAGGTGGATCTGTGTGATGGAGGTGCTGCAGGAGGGCAGGAGAGACCCTCAGTCAGTGCCTCTAGCCAGCAGTGGTTGTGTCAAACAAAAGCCTGGGGTGGCATTCACTCTCCCAGCTTGTTCTTTGCTGGGAGTTGCTTTTCTGTTATCCCTGTGGCTACTGATTCCAAGAATTGCATCAATGCAGCCTGAGTCACAGCAGCAGATCCTCCTCAGCCCACTTGGATCACAATGCCTTTTTTTTTTTTCTTGAGATAGAGTCTCTGCTCTGTTGCCTAGCTAGAGTGCAGTGGCATGATCTTGGCTCACTGCAACCTCTGCCTTCCAGGTTCAAGCAGTTCTCCTGCCTCAGCCTCTCGAGTAGCTGGTATTACAGGTGTGTGCCACCACACCCAGCTAATTTTTGTATTTTTAGTAGAGACAGGGTTTCACCATGTTGGCCAGGCTGGTCTGGAACTCCTGACCTCGTGATCTGCCCACCTCAGCCTCCCAAAGTGGTGGGATTACAGGCGTGAGCCACTGTGGCTGGCCTTTTGTTTTTTTTTCTTTTTTTTTTTGAGACGGGGTCTCGCTCTGTTGCCCAGGCTGGAGTGCAGTGGCACGATCTTGGCTCACTGCAAGCTCCGCCTCCTGGGTTCACACCATTCTCCTGCCTCAGCCTCCCGAGTAGCTGGGACTACAGGCGCCCACCACCACGCCCAGCTAATTTTTTGTATTTTTAGTAGAGACTGGGTTTCACCGTGTTAGCCAGGATGGTCTCGATTTCCTGACCTTGTGATCCGCCTGCCTTGGCCTCCCAAAGTACTGGGATTACAGGCGTGAACCACCGTGGCTGGCCTTTTCAACTGGGGTAGGCAGGAACTCTTCCTCTGATCCTCATTGCCTTAGCGGCACCAGGGTTAGAATGGCTGCTGTTGGAGCCCACGTGTTTGGAGGTTTGGGATCAGATGAGATGACCTTTCTTACCTTGAAATTCAAGGGTTTTTTTCTTACACCTCTTGACTGCCCTGTAGACTCCCAGTATGACATTGATAGAGCATCCTTTTGGAGACCAAGATGCATTCCCAAAGCTATAAACACGAACATGTGTGTTCAGGCTTCCTCCTTAAATACATGTTGTCACCAAAAGCTGATTCCTGCTTTTGTGCAAAATGGCTCTTGGTGGGTCTGCCACTCTGAGTGATCAGTCATGTCAGATGCCACTGGACCCCCACTACCCAAGTGACTTTCCCTGACTCCCCAGCCTTGGAGCTTATGTGGGTCAAGCTGCAGTCTTTGGTGAGGGGTGGGAGATAGAAGAAGCCAGTGCAGAAGGTCCTCTTTATTCCCTATTCCCTTACCTTTAGTTTTTAAAAATGTATCTTAAAAATCTTCACTATGGAAAATTTCTGACGTACGTACAAAATACCATCACGAGCCCCCGCGTGTACTCATCATATATATGATTAACATTTGGCACATTTGCTTTCTGTTTTCTTTGGCTGCAGTACTTGACACTCAGTCATATTCACATTTCCCTAGTGTTGCCAATAGTCCCTTTTTATGGTAGGTTTGTCTCCTTGTTGTTGATACTCATAACTTTTCTCGGTGCCTTCTCTGAATCTCAGGGTACGGTTTTGGTAGACTTCTTTTTACCTTGTGAATGTTCCTCTTTCCATCCCACTGTGGTTGCAGGCTAATGAGCTAATAACTACTGTGTTTCCTTCTCATTGCCTCTGATTGCAGTTCTCTGTGCCTTCTTATGGCAGCTTCCATAAAGGAGGGCTTTTTCAGCCTGGAAACCAGAGTCTCTTTAACTCCCAGTTGCCACCTAGCAATTCTTCCTTCGCAGAGGCCCCGGGCCATTTCATCCATCCTACTGTTGACTACTGTTCACTACAGTTCATGCTGTCCTCTTGCTGAGTCTTCCTGACATTCTTGTTTCTAGTTGCAATCACAATCACAAAAAGCAGCTAAGAAGTAGCAAGAGCTCACTGTATATTAAATACTTTGTTTATCTTTTTTGAGACAGGGTCTTGCTCTGTTGCCCAGGGTAGAGTGCAGTGGCACAGTCTTGGCTCACTGCAACTTCTGCCTTCTGGGTTCAACCCATCCTCCCCACCTCAGCCTCCCAAGTAGCTGGGACTACAGGTGCACACCACCACTCTTGGCCAATTTTTGTATTTTTCGTAGAGATGGGGTTTCAACATGTTGCCCAGACTGGTCTCGAAATCCTGGGTTCAAGTGATCCTCCTCCCTTGATCTCCCAAAGTGCCGTGATTTCAGGTGTGAGCCACTGTGTGCCCCACCGCCCCCCAGCTGTTAAATACTTTATATGCATTGTTCAGTCTTTGTATTACTGCTTAATTAATCTTATTACAGAGTCAAGTTTTTGTGGGAATTTTTTGGGGTGGGAGGTGCAGGAAGCCAATAAATAACACCTGTCCTTTTTCCTCTCAATTCGGAACTATTTAATTGATGATACAAGAGTCAGGCATATGGAGCTCAGAATGTCGCTTTATTTACAAGTTAAAATGATTGAAGAAAGTGACTTTTAACCTGTGACTAAATGGCCCTGCTACTTTTTTTTTTTTTGTGGGGGGACTGAGTCTCGCTCTGTTGCCCAGGCTGGAGTGCAGTGGTGTAATCTTGGCTCACTGCAACCTCCACCTCCTGGGTTCAAGTGATTCTCGTGCCCCAGCCTCCCGAGTAGCTGGGATTACAGGCATGCACCACCACTCCTGGTTAATTTTTGTATTTTTTTTAGTAGAGATGGGGTTTCACCATGTTGGCCAGGCTGGTCTGTAACTCCTGAGTGCCCGCCTCAGCCTCCCAAAGTGCTGAGATTACAGGTGTGAGCCATCGCGCCTGGCCTACTCATTTACTCTTGATGTCTCCAGGCCCCTCTAGAGGCAAAGCATTTCCATGGAAGCACTCAGCTTCCATGTGGTGTGGATGTAGGCCAGAATGCACTCCCTCTCCAAAAGACAGATCCTAGTGAAGTGAAGCACAGCTTTCAAGGGGGTGGGGAGAAGAAAAGCCAGGACTCCTTCCGTGTGGAAGTGTGCTAGGGGAAGGGGTCTTCTCTCTGACATGTCTCTCTTTTTCAGTCCTCTGCTCAAAAACCCTTGAGTGTCTTCTTGGTTCCTTTTTATTTCGGTATGTACTTTTCAGGCCGAGCCTGATGATAATACCCTAATAAATAACCCTCTCTGCTCCATCGCCAACCATCCCTCCACCTCCAACATGTGCTGGCTTGTTTGTTTGAACTACTTAAAAGTCTCTAAAACTGTCTTGGCTGCCCTGCCACTTCCCTCTACTTTCTAATCATTTATGGCATGCCTACTCTAGGCCAGGACTGTGCCTTCAAGGAGCTCACAGTCTAGGATAGATAGGTAAGAGCAAATCATTCCAGTACTTAATGATACGTGTTGTGGTACAAGTGGGAGAGTTAGCAGCTCAGCCTGGGGTTGCAGTGTAGAGTTCTGGACTGCCTGAGAGAAGGAAACAGTTTAGGCCTGAGGTTAGAAGAATGCCAGGTGGACAGAATGAAATCGAAGAGAATCTGGGAGAGGAGGGTGTTCTAAATGCTCATGATAACTCATGCCAGGGTCAAAGCACTTGGGGATCTGCAGTGGTTTAGTTTGTCTCAGGCATATAGGACTGGAGAGGGCCTCAGGTGGTGCTGTTGGGGGATGTCAAGAGCCAGAACCTGGAGGGTCTGCCTTGTTGCTCTGTGAAGCAGTTTGACCTAGTTGTGGTGTAGGGAGCAGCAGAAGGGTCCCCACCATATGCACCATATGGATTTGGAAATTGAAAACTTTCATAATTCATTCTTTTAAACGCACACACAAAGGGCCGGGTGCCGTGGTGCATGCCTGTAATCCTAGCAGTTTGGGAGGCTGAGGCGGGTGGATCACCTGAGGTCAGGAGTTTGAGACCAGCTTGTCCAACATGGCGAAACCCCATCTCTACTAAAAATAGAAAAATTAGCTGGGTGTGGTGGCGGGCGCCTATAATCCCAGCTGCTTGGGAGGCTGAGGCAGGAAAGCGCTTAAACCCTGGGGTGGTGGGGGGCGGAGGTTGCAGTGAGCTGAGATCACACCACTGCACTCCAGTCTGGGCAAAAGAGTGAAACTTTACCTCAAAAAGATAAAAAAAAAAAAAAAAAAGCAAGAAAGAAATGCACACACAAAGATTCAGAGGGAGGCCACGCAGGGTGCCATACACCTGTGGTCCCAGCACTTTGGGAGGCTGAGGTGCGAGAATTGCTTGAGCCTGAGAGGTTGAGGCTGCAATGAGCCGTGACTGTACCATTGCACTACAGCCTGGGTGACAGAATGACACAGTATCTTAGAAAGATGCAGAGCGAATAATACAGTGAACCCACAAATAATTTTTTTTTGAGACGGAGTCTTGCTCTGTCGCCCAGGCTGGAGTGCAGTGGCATGATCTCGGCTCACTGCAACCTCCACCTCCTGGCTTTAAGCAATTCTTTGCCTCAGCCTCCTGAGTAGCTGGGATTACAGGCGCCTGCCACCATGCCCGGCTAATTTTTGTATTTTTAGTAGAGACAGGGTTTCACCATCTTGGCCAGGCTGGTCTTGAACCCCTGCCCTCGTGATCCACCTGCCTCGGCCTCCCAAAGTGATGGGATTGCAGGTGTGAGCCACCATTCTCGGCCAAACCCACAAATATTCTAACAGGTGTCAGGATCTTTCCATATTTGCTTTGTTTGTCCTGTTTTCAATTTGCTGAAGTATTTATATTAAAATTATATTATCTTCATTAGTATATAATGTACATATTTTTGGGGTACATGTTGATACTTTAATACATTAATTTGTAAAGATTAAATCAGTGTAATTGGTAAATGCATCACCTTAAATATTTGTCTTGTCTTTATGCTAGAAACATTCAAATTATTCTATTTTGAAATGTACAATAGATTATTGTAAACTATAGTCACCCTACTGATTTGTCAAACACTAGGTCTTATTTCTTCTATCAGACTATATATTTGTGCCCATTAATCTGCCTCTCTGCTGAAGTATTTGAAAGCACATCCCAGATACCTTGTCATTTCTTCCCTACTTCAGTGTGTATCTCTGAATAATATGGTCATTTTTGGCTGGGCGCAGTGGCTCACACCTGTAATCCCAGCACTCTGGGAGGCCGAGGGGGTGGATCATCTGAGGTCAGGAGTGCGAGACCAGCCTGGCCAACATGGTGAAACCTTGTCTTTACTAAAAATACAAAAATTAGCCAGGCGTGTTGGCGGGTGCCTGTAATCCCAGCTACTCAGGAGGCTGAGGCAGGAGAATTGCTCGAATCTGAGAGGCGGAGGTTGCGCTGAGCTGGGATCTTGCCATTGCACTCCAGCCTGGGCAACAGAGTGAGACTCCATCTCAAAAAAAAAAAAAAAAAAAGGAAAATATGGTCACTTTCTTAGATGATAACTATGCCATTATTATACCTAAGAAAACTACAAAAATTCTTTAGCATAATTTACTATCCAGTCCATAATCAAATTTCCTCATTGTCCAATCTGTTTTACAGTTGATTGGTTTGTATCAGGATTAAATCAAGGCCCACACCTTTGATTTGCCGATGATGTTCTGAAGTCTTCCTTAATGTAGGCCAGCGCCTCTCCCCCTTTTTTCCTCACCATTGACTTAATCAAGAAGCTGTCATTGATTGTCCAGTAAAGGGTTTTTTAAGTACTGCACTGATGTTTTGGAAGATTGTTCTGGAGGCAGTATAAAGATTTTGAGGGGGAGGAAGAAGGAGGCAAAATTAGAAATTGTTTAACAGAGGTTCTCTTGAAGGTGGAATTATGGATGATTTCACTTCCTACATTTATGCATCATTTGAATATTTTTATGATTAACATGTGATTTTTATAACTAAATACTTCTACTTCAGGAAAGGAGGAAAAAAGATTTGAAACAGGGAAACCAATTAGGAACCTGTTTCTTTAGTCTGAGAGAGAGGTAGTGAGGACCTGTAGGTGGTGGTGATAGGGATGGGGAGCAGAAAATGGACTTGAGAGCTACTTGGAAGGTAGGCACATAGGACTGGGTGACTGGATGGGGGTGAGTCAGAGGGTAGCATGGGGCTTGACTCGGGTTTCCAGCTTTGAGTTCTTGGGATAGGTGGTGGTGTCATCCATATAGGATAATGGTTATAAGAAAACTAAAGGGTTTTTAGTGTGGGCCAGGAAATGAGTTGAGTTTGGGTACGTCTAGAGGGGGACTTTTGTGAGGTAGGCTATGGAGACACATAGACATAGCCTTGAAGCTGGGGTGGGAGGGTTGGTCTGTGGGTGTGGGAGTCACCAGGAGGGCACTGGTGGGCATGGAAGAATGTGTGTAGAGTGAAGAACAGTTTCACAGTGTGGGGTGACAGGAGAGGGCCCAGGTAGGAGAATGTGAGGGAGCAGCCAGAGGTCAGGAGAACTAGGAAAGAACAGTGTATCCAGTGCCAGGGCAGGAGAAGAGTTCAAGACAGTGGGAGATATGGCCAAGTGTGCCTTGTATTAAAGGGCAGGGTCCTGCCAAGTGGGGGAAGTTGAAGAGGTAGTGATTGGATTCTGGGGATCTAAGGAAGTGGGAGTGCAGGTGGAGGGACAGGAGGGGATGGCTGCAGATAGGTTTTTTTTTTTTTTTTTTGAGAAAAGGTCTTGCTGTGTTGCCCAGGCTGGAGTGCAGTGGTGCGATCTCAGCTCACCACAGCCTCGACCTCCCAGGCTTAACTGATTCTCCCACCTCAGCCTCTCAAGTAGTTGGGACTATAGGCATGTGCCATCATGCCCAGCTAAGTTTTTTATTTTTGTAGTGATGGGGTATCCTTATGTTGCCTAGGCTGGTCTCAAACTCCTGGGCTCAAGTGATCCTCCTGTCTTGGCCTCCCAAAGTGCTGGGATATAGGCATGAGCCACCACACCCAGCCTGTGTTTTTAAATTGTGGTAATATATACACGGTATGAGATTTACCTGTTTTAACAGTTTTTTTAGTAAACAGTTCAGTGGCAGTAAGTACATTCACTTTGTTGGGCCACTGTCACCAGAATGCAGATGGTTTTGAGGTGGGAGGAGATGGGGAATTTATCTCTGAGGGTCGCCTAGAGTAGTCAGATAACTACCTCTGCTTAGTGCAACCCAGCCCTTTTCAAAAGCCACTACTCTTAGAAACACTTCATTGCTTTCCATCTAGTTCCCTTTCTTCTTTGAAGCCCTAGAGTACTAGTTTCTTAATGCCCTTGCCATAGGCTGGTGAAGAATATAACCTTCTAGAAGCTGGGCCCTGTGCCACATTCATCCTCATTTCTTGAGTTACCAGCACGGTCCAGAGGGCTTGGCCTATGAAACCCTCTGTAATGAGGATGGAATGAGTAAATGGAAGGTCAGGTTTGTTTTAGTAAGAAGCCACCATCAGAATTAATTGACTGGGAGGAATAAGGGACAGATAGTCAAGGTTTGGGGGCAGAAGCTGAGCAACTTTGTCCATCCCTGGAGAGGTCTTATAGCACTGGATCTATATTTGTAGACAACTGGGTTCCTTAGAGCACCCTTATGTTCCCCCACCCCCACTTTAAGCATCCCCAAGCTGTAATCTGGGCTGCCTGCTGTTCAGTTTCCATGCCACCATCTATGTCAAGGGCCTTTTTTAGGTCAGTCTGGTAAACTGCAGTTTTTGGTAAAAGCACCCTGGCTGGCTGACACTGCCGAAACTGTAGAGTTTTCATTACCTACTGACTGAGCCACAGCCATATGTCTGCTGCAGAAGTTCTTGTTAGTTCAAGCTACTTTGAAAAGTGAGTTCCCAAAACAAGGTGGGAGAACAATTGGTTCTTCTCTGTACAGAATAAACCCTATCAGGAACACTAACCTTGACCCTGGTGCCAGATGTTGGATGAGGGAGGAAAGAACTCAGGAGCCTTGAGTTCCAGCTTTCTTCAGGCAGGGCCCTGGGAGTCTGCCTGCTATCCCGCCCTGTCTGCAAAAAGAGCCCTCTGGGGAAGGGTTTATTACTACCGTTTTACTGGTGGGGCTGCTACTCATCCAGGCTCACACAGCTGCTAGTTGGTCGAACCCTGACCTTTCTGTTATATACTGAGGGAATTTAGAAACTGGAGCAATCCCAGGGAAGGCAGCACCATGAGAAGGGTGCGGATGCCATGGTAGCAGGAGGAGTACTGTCCAGGAGATGAGGAAATGTGAAAAGATATTCAAATCTTTGAATGGACCTGACTACTTTGGTCAGAGGCAGCATGACGGTAGTGGAAAGGGCTCAGACTTCGGACTTGGACACCAGGTCTCCCTCCCTGAGGTTAGAGATCACGTCTTGTTTTTCTCTGCATTGCCAAAACAAGTATTCCCACCGTATACTGGGTATATAAGAGGTGCTGTGAATATACTGATCATGGAAAAGGTGTCCTCTTCCCTTCCCAAGCTGCATTCTGGTGTTCTTGACCTTCACCCTTCCACCTCCTTTGGAACTTGGATCTTAGGTACCTCCTACCCTGTATTTGTTTCCTATTGCTGCTATAACAAGGTACCACAAACACAGAGGCTGAAACACTTGTTCTCTTATGGTTCTTCAGTTCAGAAGTCTGAAATGGGTTTCACTGAGCTAAAGTGAAGGCATCAGCAGGGCTGTGTACCTTCCTGGAGGCTCTCAGGGGAGGACCCATTTCCTTGCCCTTTCCAGCCTCCCTGGGCTGCCCACATTCCTTGGCTCCTGGACCTCTAGGTCCATTGTCAAAGGCAGCGGCATCCAGCCAAGTGTCTCTGGCATCACATCACTCGGACAGACTCTTCTGCTTCCTTCTTCTGTTGTAAGCCCCATTGGGATTACATTGGGCCCACCTGGATGATCCAGGGTACGCTCCCTATTTTAAACACTATCTGATTAGCAATCTTAATTCTCCTTTACCATGTTAGAATAACATATTCACAGGGATTGGGATGTGGGCATATTGGGGAACCATTATTCTCTCTACCAAATATCCTACTATCTCCCTTTCACAAGCTGCTGCTTTGCCTATAAAGCCAAGCTCATGAAGCCCCTATCATAGCTAAAATACAATTCTAGAGGAAATTTCCTTCTCAAACTATGATCTCATTTTTCCCTTGATCTTCTCAAAAATACTCCACGACGTATTCACTCCTTAGTTTCTTATTCTTTGTCCACCGGAACTTATCTCAAAAAACAGTCCTCATAGCTCCCCGTTGCTGAGTGAGTCCCTTGGCCACTTCCCTGCTCAGCTCTTCTATGTTCTTTGACCTGTGGATCTCCCCCTCCCTGAAGCCGTCCCCTTCTTCTCTTTCTGGTATTCCTCTTACCTGTCTGCTTCTGAGTCTCCTTTTCTCCCTTCTCTTCTTCCTCCTGTCCCTGGAAGGCTTAGTCAATTCATCATCCAAGACAATCTCATCTTCTCCCACCATTGTAATTCTGAACCTGGTGCTGCGGATTCCCAGATCTTGCTCTGACTTCTTTTCTGAACCCCCAGTCTGAATTTCTTATTGCCTCCCCTGGGTATTTCCAAATGAAAAGACCCTTGGGTACATGTTGTGTACCCTACACAGCTTGTTTAACCTGGTTTGTTATTAGCCCCCACTTCCTCCACATGAGCCCTCTTAAAGCCTGTCACCTTGGTGGTCCAGGCTAGAAATCCCCACCGTTTCTGGCTTCTTTATTCCCATCCTTTTTTTCCCTAGTCTGCCACAGCCCACAGGTTTAGGCCTATTGTCCAGGTGCCCCCAAAGTGATGGCGGGGGCAGGTCGGGGGGAAACAAGAATATTATTGGGGTATAGGAATAAAGCAAAATGAACTTTGTTTTTATCTTAACCTTTTATAGTCTGTTTTTGCTTTAAAATATGCATATGTGCATTAATATTAGTATATGTAATTGATTAGTAAGTAATATATAGGTTGGGGGTACATGCTCCTAAATTTTCTATTTACATGGTTAAGACTGTCGGGCAAGTATGGGTTTTCCAGTTTGTTTTAGCCAAAGAACCCTTTTACTTACTTACTTATTGATTGGAGACAAAGTCTCACTTCTGTCACCCAGGCTGGAGTGCAGTGGTGCAGTCTCAGCTCACTGCAGCCTTGACCTTCCGGGCTCAGGTAATCCTCCCATCTCAGCCTCTTGAGTAGCTGGGACTACAGGTGCATGCCACCACACCTGAATTTTTTTGTGTGTGGAGACGGGGTGTTGCCATGTTATCTGGGCTCAAGGGATCCGCCTACCTCAGCCTCCCAAAGTGCTGGGATTATAGGCGTGAGCCACTGTGCCTGGCCAGAACCCTTTCTTTAAGTGAAATCTTAATTAAAACATAAATCAAAAGCAGAGCCATTCTGGTTGGAAAGAAGATGGGGCCTCTAGCCCTTTTTGTTCACTGTAATGGAGGCTCCTGAGGTGCTTTCCGGATGTACGTTTTGAAAACCATGGGTTTAGACAGTTGATATAGTTCCGGTCTGATTAAGTCTATGGTCATGTAAGTCTTCATGGACATCAGTAGGAAAAGGTCCCTGATATCCTCACTCCACCATATTCCTCCATACTGCTGCAGCATCCTTACTCACGTAAGCACAGATCACATCTTCTTTGCTTCTCTACACCTTCTTCTTTTCCTGGGCAGGCCTTTGCACACAGTAGGTGCCCAGTGAATATTTGTTGAATGAATGGCAAATGGATGGCAAAACTTGTTGGCAAAATGTATGTTTGGAAGAGCAGGTTCTGTTTTTCCTGGACATGGCCTGTTCAGAAGTTGTTTTCTCTTGGCATTCCAACTGTGGTCCTTAACTCCTGGGGCTCTGTGTAGTTGCACATGGAGTCTGTAGGCCCAGGGTGTGTTCTCTGAAGTAGCACTGCAGCATTTATGGCATTGGTTTTTGTCACAGTTGCAAAGTGGCCCTCTTTCAGGCCTCATTTCCTTGCTTAATGGATTTTGCTAACCCTGCATCTCCTGATGTCAGTATAACCAAGTTTTAAATACGTTGATTAGAAAGAAACCCTTCTGTAGTGTTTCTGAGTCAATCCTGTACATTTAAATCTAATTACATTTGCTCTGACATTATGTAAATGCAGTCTTAAATCAACCTTTCCCTTTGCAAGCCAGGCCAGAGTTTCAGATGCACTTTCTGTCCTGGCTGATGTTCTCCCCTGGAGAAGCAGCAGCTAACTGAGGAATGAACAGTATCTGCTAGCGCGAAGTCTTGGCAGTGTATAAGGAGAAGGTGGCCTATTTTACTTTTAATAGGTCAGCTGCTGCTCACCCCTTTGGGTGTCCCCTAGACACTCCTGGGTGGCCCAGCTGCCTGGCACATTGTAACAGGTACTGTTGACCTACTGGGCCAAGGAAAGGGGCACCTAGGCTCCTTGGGGGCTCTCTCACTTGGGCCACCTTGGTAGTCTCATAGCAGTGAGCTTAAGGGACCGGGCAAGCCTCTCTCAGAGCTGGAGCAGGCTTGTTTTTGGTACACTGGTTTCAGGCTGCTCCTAAGAAGGCCAAGAACTACACTTGGGTTTTGCCCTAAATTTACATAATCCTGGTTCAGACTAGTTTGGTACGTGGTATTGTCATTTGGCTTTTTCTAAGATAGGTATTTTCTGTTTGGTATTATATGTCTTTTTGTTTCTCTGTGCCCCTCTCTTTCCTTTGGTTTTCATTGTAAGGGTGACTTGTGCTGTGTCTCAAGTGGAGACAAGACCAATTTAATTTCTTGTGGTTTGCCCAGGTTGCAGATGAATACATGTTTTCCCTAGAAGAGAATAAGAAGTCCAAGGGACGCCGTCAGCCTTTAAGCAAGCTCCCCCGCCATCACCCACTTGTGCTGCAGGAGTGTGTCAGTGATGATGGTAAGTGTTGTTTTTTCTTCACCAGGAGGAAAGCAGCTCACCACATTAGACTTGACAGGACAGGACATCAGAAGGCCAAGCTGAGGGATAAGGGTGGGCCTGTGGCTTAGCTGCTCTTCCAGATATTCCATAAAGAGAGGACCGGATTTCCTTATATCTAATTGACTAACCAGATTCCATTATAAGTTTGAGTATCTTGCAGTGTACCTTAATAGGGGATAATTGCAGGCAGGTTTTTTCCTTTCTTTTCCTGGGAGGTACAAGGCTGATTTTTCAGGACAGAAAATCCTGTCAGTGATGCAAAGCCCTGTGGTGTATATGTGGCTGCAAAGATAACTAAGATATGTCCGTGCCCTCAAGACACTCACAGGGTGGTGGGGAAACTGGACAGGTAAACAGATCTCAAGAAAGAAGAGGTGGCCGGGTGTGGTGGCTCATGCCTGTAATCCCAGCACTTTGGAAAGCCAAGGTGGGCGGATCATGAGGTCAGGAGATCGAGACCATCCTGGCTAACACGTGAAACCCCATCTCTACTAAAACTACAAAAAAGTAGCCGGGTGTCATGGCACGCGCCTGTAGTCCCAGCTACTCAGGAGGCTGAAGCAGGAGAATTGCTCGAACCCAGGAGGCAGAGGTTGCAGTGAGCCGAGATGGTGCCACTGCACTCCAGCCTGGGCGACAGAGCGAGATGCCATCTCAAAAAAAAACAGAAGAGGTGTTACTCTGGGGCAGAAGGACAGCATGCTATGGAGAAGAGGAGCAGGAGGCTGTAGTCAGAGGAACTACAGTCAGCTCAGTGTGGCTGGAGCTGGAGGGCAAGGCCAGGGAGTGATAGGTGGAGTAGGAGGAGGGGGACCAGATCCTGGATAGCGTTATCATGGAGGCCAGAGTGAGGACTTTGTCTTACTGGCATTCAGGAGCCAGTGACATGTTTTAAGCAGAGGAATGACAGAGTCATTTAGATTCCTTTAGAAAAGATCGCTCCTAGTGCTGGCATCTTGAGGATGGCTTTGAGAGGACCACATAGGCTTCCGTAATGGTCTGCCTGCAATATGAAGGTCTGAAGTAGGATGGTGGTGGTAGGGAATATATTTGGAAGATAAAATCAACTGGATTTGGTGACTGGCTGTGAAGCTATGAGGATGGTAGTTGAGGAGGATGAGTTGAGTGCCTCCCCGGTTTGTAGCTTTGGTTGGGGAAACCTGAGTTCAGTGTCTATGGAGGATGTAGACTTAGGAGTTGGCACTGAGGTGACATTGGATACAATTGTTGGAATAATGAGGCCGATCTTGGGGAGGGGACCAAGGGGGGTGAGCAGACGCTGGGGCTAGGTGGACAGAGGAGGGAGGGGAGCCTGTGAAGGAGGCAGAGAAGCAGGGTAAGCAGCCATGTGTAAGGAAAACCAGGAAATGTGGCACTGAAGCTCAGGGTGTGTTGACATCAGTGGAGCATGGTCTCCTTGGCTGCCTGAAGCCCAGAGATCCAGGATGATCATCACTGCCGAGCCTCAGCTCCAGCTTGGTTGGTGACTGGGCCCTGTCACCTTCAGGGAGAGCAGAGTCAATCGTACATGTTACTCTTGACTAACATCAGGCCCTGTCCTACCTGGTCCTCTCCTTCCTGATCTGATGTCAGTGCCCCATCTCTGCTGTTTTTTTTTTTCAGTAGAAAGATCATGGTATAGCCGGGCGTGGTGGCTCACACCTGTAATCTCAGCACTTTGGGAGGCCGAGGCGGGTGGATCACAAGGTCAGGAGATCGAGACCATCCTGGCTAACATGGTGAAACACCATCTCTACTAAAAATACAAAAAATTAGCTGGGCATGGTGGTGAGCGCCTGTAGTCCCAGCTACTCGGGAGGCTGAGGCAGGAGAATGGCATGAACCCAGGAGGCAGAATTTGCAGTGAGCTGAGACCATGCCACTGCACTCCAGCCTGGGCGACAGCGAGTCTCTGTCTCAACAACAACAACAACAAAAAAGATCATGATAAACAGGGTGGGGAATATCCCTTCTGTCCTCCAGTCAGAAGTGTGGCAGGACCCTGAGTCAGGTCCTAGGAAGTTCTCTGTGTTCTTATTCCAGCTCAGACAGGAGCTTCAGGTTCTCTGGGTAGCACCTGCCTATCTCCCTGATTGGTTTAAAGCAATATAGACTTCAGGAAACTGGAAAAGTTACCAAGAGGAATACAAAATTACCCTTAAAAGATGACCATTTTGAATATATTAACATATTATCTTCCTGGCTTTTCTCTAGTCAGATATTAGAGTATGTCCATGTATATCTTTTTAAAATAATGCAGTTGAGATAATACACAACCTCTCCCCCTACTTTTTTTTGTTTCTTGTTTTTTTTTTTTTTTTTTTTTGAGAAGGAGTCTCACTTACTCTGTTGCCCAGGCTGGAGTGCAGTGGTGTGATCTTGGCTTACTGCAACCTCTGCCTCCTGGTCTCGAACTCCTGACCTTGTGATCCACCCACCTCGGCCTCCCAAAGTGCTGGGATTACAGGCGTGAGCCACCACGCCCAGCCTTTTTTTTTTTTTTTGAGACGGAGTCTTACTCACTCTGTTGCCCAGGCTGGAGTGCAGTGGCATGATCTTGGCTCACTGCAACCTCTGCCTCCTGGGTTCAAGTGATTCTCCTGCCTCAGCCTCCCGAGTAGCTAGGATTACAGGTGTGTGCTACGACGCCCAGCTAATTTTTGTATCTTTAGTAGAGACGGGGTTTCACCATGTTGGCCAGGCTTGTCTCGAACTCCTGACCTCAAGTGATCTGCCCGCTTCAGCCTCCCAAAGTGCTGGGATTACAGGCGTGAGCCACCGCACCCAGCCCCACAATATCCTTTAATCTTCAGTCCATGCCCATCTTTCCCTGCATGTCCCAAGAATGTGTTTTATAGTTATTTCTTTTGAACTCTAATATAAATCAAACTAAGGTCACATACTGTATTTGGAAGTTATGTTTCTTTACTGTTGTATGCCCCTCCCCCTACTTTTAAAAAAATTTCAATTCAAGCATAACAATTCAGTGATATGCACACATTTTAACTGTACAGCTCAATGAAATTTTACATATGTAAACTGTATAATTTTGCTTCCTGCAATTTTCACTTAACGTAGTGAACATTTTCCCTCATCATTCAGTATTCACAAATGGAATGATCTGGGGCCACTTTTGGCTTTGTAAATGGAACAGATGTCAGTGTGTTAATTTTTTAGTTGTGAGTGTGAGCCTGCCTGTCTGTTTCTGTTTCTTCCATTCTATCTTGGTCACTCCTGTTTGGCCAGGATAAAGAAAAAAATCTGTGCTTGGGTTCTGGGCACCATGGCTCCTGATTACAACTGAACGATGGGGCATATAGGGGTTGATTTTAATTGTCTGCGTTGGTGTCCTTAGGGTACACTGAGGCGGCGCACAATGGCAGCTGCCAGATGCCTTCAGATTAAACATGACTATGAGGGCAGCGTAGAATACTATCTGCACTGAGCTGGAGTTGCCAGAAATGAAGAAACAGGCACCTAATGGAAGTACAGACCAGAGCTTTCCTTGGCTGCTTGGAACAGGTTTCAGGGGCCTTTGGGAAAGCACCTCTGTTTGGGAAGAAGGAGGGTCATAGCTGGGGACTGATGATGCCATTCAAAGCGAGATGCATGGATCCCCTGGGATGCCCCGTGTGATGGGGCTGGCAGAGAGCCAGTCTCCTGTCAGGGGCCGCATACTTGGGCCTTGCTTGGTCACACTTGCCAAAGAAAGGCATAGCAACTCTAGCTTCATACCTCCCTCACATGGTAGAGCATCTGGAGAAACATTTTGGACATCTACCAAAGACTGCGCTCATTTACTTATACCTTCAGAATTATGGCGTTTCCTTTACTTCCCTGTTTCTGTTTCCTTGTTTCTGCTGGGAGCTTGTGGACTATGCCCCTGTTTCACTGATTTAGGAAGAACTGGGAAGTGTGCACCTTTATCACTTACATGAGTTTTGTGAGCAAACTTTTTTTGTTTTCCACTCAGCAGTATGTCCCCTTTCTTGTAGGAAGATGCACCCAGAGGGGATTTTTCCTTCCCAGGCCTTAGTGAAGTCTGATGAGTTGTATGCCCTGCTGTCTAGCATACCTAGGAGACACCATCTGTCATGACCAGGGATATATAAAGGGCCAGGAAGTCAGTATTTTAGGCTTTACAGTCTTCATTGGTCTCTGTGGTTGTCACTGTTTTTTTTTTTTAAGCCCCAATGCTGAAAATGTAAAAACAAAGCTGGGTGCAGTGGCTCATGCCTGTAGTCCAAGCTACTTGGGCAGCTGTGATGGGAGGATCACTTGAGCCCAGGAGTTTGAGGCTGTGGTGAGCTATGATCGCACATGTAAATAGCCACTGTACTCCAGCCTGGGCAACATAGCAAGACCCCATCATAAAAATGTAAAAACAATTCTTAGCTTCCTCAGTGGGCTGGATTCAGCCTGCAGGATATTGTTTGCCAGCGTCAGGCATCACATCTTGTGGCTGGGAAGAGGATTCATCTTGGACATGTAGCTCTGCTCTAGGAGGGGTTGGGGAGCCTTGTCCAGAATAGGTACATACTGCTGACCTTTCCAGAGGAAGCTGGTAAGTCCTGGCCAAGGACCATGATATTACAACTTTTAAGCTTTGCCAATTCCCTGTTATTTTCCTTCCTTGTTTAGTTGCACTAAAGGGAAAACTCTAAAAGGTAAAGGACTTAACAGGCTGACGTTTTGGAGGCAGCAAATAAGATGGTTTTTGGCAAGATGGTGCTTCATTCTGCTGTCCTTGGGCAGAAGGGCTGAATGTGGCAGCTGTTAAGGGAGAGTAGAGCAAGCTGAGCTCGTGGGGCAGGAGGAAGAATGGAGGCCATGAGTCAGTCTGGCCAGAGAATGGGGTACTGGCAGGACTCCCTACACATCATCAAGATACTGAAGGAGTCTATTGACAGTTGCTTCCACCCTTTGCCTTTATCATCCTTAGGAATTCAGGAGTCACCCTTGGTCCAAACCTAGGATCAGGAGTCCTAGTGGAACTCATCTGTTCTCCAGGCAGAGCCACAGATGTGCAGGGTTAGTGCTGACTCACACTTCTGTTTCCTCCTCTAGAGACATCTGAACAGCTGACCCCTGAGGAAGAGGCTGAGGAGACAGAGGCCTGGGCCAAGCCTCTGAGCCAACTGTGGCAGAACCGACCTCCAAACTTTGAGGCTGAGAAGGAATTCAATGAGACCATGGCCCAACAGGCCCCTCACTGCGCTGTCTGTATGATCTTCCAGACTTATCATCAGGTAACCCAGCTCCATGCACTCTGTTTACCCAGGACCAGCAATCATAGGGAAGCTAGATTTAATTGTGAGTATATAGCTTGTCACTGGTTGTCTTGGGAAAGGCCACCTCCACCCCCAGCATTCTCTGCCCCATCTGTGTATTGGTCAGTCTTCTCCAGGCAGATAACCCAGCAACGTGGGTTTCAATTGAGAATGCTTTGGAGATGAGCTGAGGGTGGGCTTAGGCTCCCCTTTGCACATGCAGTCATCACAGACATCAGTTTGCAGAGCAATCTGCATTTCTGTTATTCTAGTCCGTGGTTATTCCTGCCAAGTGGTTTATAGTCCTGGCCAGGGTGGAGAACTGTGATTTCCTTACCACAGTCTGAACCTCAGCTGAAAAGCCAGATCCTCTAATGTTGTTTTTCCTTTCCCATTGCCACAATGCGTGTTGCCAGTAGCAGAAGGAACTTGGGAGGGGTGGAAGCAAGGGCCTGATATGTGAGGAGGGGCTGGGAAGCAAGATTGCTGAGCTCAGCTGTGTGCCTCCTGCTCTGGGGCATCTGTGGCTTCATTGGTGGATCTCTTTGGGTCCAGCTCTAGGATGCCAGGAAGGCATTCACAGCAGCAGGTGCCAAGGGACCAGCTCAGTCTCAGCTGGGACCTGCACAGCATAGCAGGTAGGTAAGTGGTCCTTACCTGCTGTGGTGGTTAAAGTGGCATGGCTGCCGCTGAGCCTGGCAGGGCCCCAGATTCATGCTTGCTGAAAATGGAACCTCAGACCAACACACTTTGGATTAGGAACTCACTAAACCTTTCCATTGACAAAAAGCAAAACCAAAGCCTTTGCCTATGAGGGGAGTGAATGGCTGGGTTCTTACTATAAGCAGATCTACTAAGTAGGAGTTTCACAAATGGCATAGGCTCTGGGGTTGACATCTTTCTGGGCCTCATCCTTGGAATGGAGATGCAGGTGCCATCCAGCAGATATTTGCAATCAGTATAGTTTGCCAAGGGAAGTATGTGGATTTAAGTTCTTCCTGGAGGGACCCTGAGCCAGGAATCACACAGGTGGGGCTCCAGCCATGTGACAGTGCTGCAGTTCAGGTGACCTGCTGACAGGCACAAGAGGCAATTAGTGCTGGCCTACTAGGAGCATCTGCTCTGGGTACACTCCTGAGGTGGGGTCACCGCACAGTGTAGCACGTAAGGGAGCCCACAGTAGCAGCCTAGCTGCTAACATCTCCGTGCATTTTTTTTTTTTTTAGACGGAGTCTCAGTCTGTTGCCCAGGCTGGAGTGCAGCTGGGACTACAGGCACACACCATCACACCCAGCTAATTTTTGGATTCTTAGTACAGACGGGGTTTCACCATGTTGGCTAGGCTGGTCTTGGACTCCTGACCTCTGGTGATCCACCCGCCTCGGCCTCCCGAAGTGCTGGAATTACAGGCGTGAGCCACCTCACCTGGCCTCTCAGTGCATTTTATTAACCACTTTCTTTGGGAAGATTGAAATCCCAGTTGCCTCTTACCTTGCTCCCTTTTCTCAGTTGTCCCCTAGGGGCCTTTGTATGATGCTGCTGTGAGAAACTGAATTTGAGTCATTACAGGTAACTTCAATTAGCAGCTCCGGGATAATGGCTGTGCACCCGGGAGCTGTAGCCATAGTCAGATCGGTAAGAGAGCCAGCTTTCTGCTGATAGAGCAGGTGGAAAGCTAAGAGCATAGGCACGTGCTCACTGAGGTGTACACTTGTTCTTTCCCCTTAGGTTGAATTTGGAGGCTTTAATCAGAACTGTGGAAATGCTTCAGATTTAGCCCCCCAGAAGCAGAGGACCAAGCCATTGATTCCAGAAATGTGCTTCACTTCGACTGGCTGCAGCACGGACATCAACCTTTCTACTCCTTATCTTGAGGAGGATGGCACCAGCATACTCGTTTCCTGCAAGAAGTGCAGCGTCCGGGTCCATGCCAGTGAGTGCTGCTCACCTTTCTCTGTGTCCTGTCCCAGGAGTATGGGCCTGCTCACTGGAAGTTCTTGCCACCTCCTGGCCTCCCAGCCCCAAAAAGATTGTTGATGTTTTATTGGGGAGTCTGTTGCTAGCTGATTTTTCACTGTCTCCAGGGGTCCATACTGGCACTAGTCATCTCTTTGCCATCCTCTTGGTTGCAGATAGCAGAAAGGGATTAGTCCCTGCCACTTACTAGGTGTTTGTACCAGTGAATCTACAGTTTTTGACTTTTTGAGACTTTGAGCCATACTGTATGCCTGAGCCCTGGGGACTCAGACTAAAGAAAACTAAGGGGTTTCTGTGAGATTTGGTTGTAGCTTTGGGAGGTGGTATATGGAAAGGAATTGCAAATCTACCTTTTGACTCTGACCACTGGGTTTAATTTGCTCATCTTGGTGTCCCTGTTAGGTTGCTATGGGGTCCCCCCTGCAAAGGCTTCTGAAGACTGGATGTGTTCTCGGTGTTCAGCCAATGCCCTAGAGGAGGTGAGTGATCCCACACTGTTACTGTCTTCACCATGAGTCTTGGTGCATATTCAGGGCCAGACGATTTCATGTTGGACTCAGTATTCCCAGCAGTCTGCATAGGGTCTGGTACGCGGTGATGTCAGAGAGCGAGTATTGTGAGAGTAAATCCTATGACCGTGAGAATGGTTGCTGCCCACTTACGGAGTCTGGATGCTGTGTTTGCTCCATTGTGGAAAGACCAACTAGTGGTCTTCCTGTGGAGGAACAATAACTCCCTTAAAAGAATTTAGCCATTTTGAATTGGAGCCTCAGAAAGGGGCTCAGATGATTCATTGTGCTGTTTTCTCTTCACTGTACCCCCTGGAACCTGGCTGTACCTAGCCCATATAAGAAGCAGTCAGAGCCCTGTCATGCCTCTAGTTTGAGCAAAGTATCTTTTGTGACTTTGCTAAGAGTTGTTATTAGCAGCAACAATGAAGAGGATTATGTGAAGTCACGTGACTACTTGGCACACTTTAGCCCTGAGTGGCCTCTCCTTCTGACAGGGCGTCCTGGTGCAGGGGCTGCCTGGGTGAAGCCCCACATGCTATTATGCTTCTTTCTTATGTGGAGGAGTTGCCCAAAGCAGGTCCAGGGGAGAGCAGATTGAATGTTAATGACTTGGTATTAACCACTTTTTCCTCCCTCTCCTTTCTTGGCAGGACTGCTGTTTATGCTCATTACGAGGAGGGGCCCTGCAGAGAGCAAATGATGACAGGTAAGTTTCCTGAGCAGTGCCTTGGAATGCACAGGCTCAGTTCCGAAGCACACAGTGTCTTTGTGAGGGTACTAGCTGTTCTTCTGAATGACTGATGAGGATTTGGGAAGCACATCGTGTGGAGCAGGAATAGCATCTCCAAGACTCATTTTAAAAATGGAATGCTAAGGGAGCCAAGCAGTCCCAGACTTTCCAACTCCAGCTGCTCCTCTGCAGCAGAGATGTCAGTGACATCCTCCTTTGGAGAAGCTAAGAATGGACTCATGAGAATATGAAGACGAAGATGATGCGCAGGGACTGTGTGGGCTGGAGTGAGGACATTCACCTTGTCACAGCTGGGGCTGGTATGCAGAGGCGGCCACAGGCTAGCAAGCACTTCTCCACATGGCAAACTCCCTGGCTCAGACCTGCTGTTTGGAATGAGGCGAGTGTGCTCAAGGAGGACACTGAGGAGAGCTCAGACAGGCCCACCCACTATGGAACCGAATCTGCTGAATTTTCTGGGCTTCTCAGCTGTTGGGCAGCTCGTTTTCATGGAGTGAATCTTTGTGCTTAGGCTTGTGTTTGGTTGCTCTGAGGTGGAAACGTAAGATGAATGAGGTTTCTGACCTGGAAGAGCTAGCTGTCTAGGGCATGGTGCGTGCAGGTCAGTGCTGAGTATCCTGCTTCCAAGTAGAATCCCGTGGCAACTTGCAGCATATGTTCAGTCCAGCCGCCTGCCCTCAAGAGTCCCAGTTATGCTGTCCCTGAGAGATAGCTACTCTGCCTGCTGCTTCTGCTCCTTCAAAGGCACTTGCTGCCATTATTTGAGGTCACTGGGTTCCTCACAGTCACAGGATAGTGCTGGGAACATTCTTTCTTATTTGGAGTGGAAATGGCTGTGCTTGAATCTCTCACCTTTACCTCTGAATGCCTGTTCTGCCCTCCAGGGCCACACAGAACAAATCTGTTCCCACTCTAAAAAGACAGCCCCACTAGAACTGCAGAGAGCTTCCATGGAGCCCCAGTGTTGTCTGGTGTAGGTTTTCACGTAGCATGGTTTTAAGAGTTGTCACCATTTTCGTTCTTCTCCTCTTGATGCATGCTGGTTTCCCAAAATGTCCAAAACTTACTTTAATTCTTAAGGATGTCCGTTGAATAGACCTCTCAGAGTAAGTGGGGCTTGGGTCAGACCTTAAAGATTAAAGAGTGAGTCAGCTATGGAAAAAGGGAGCAGAAGGGAGAGGTCATTTCAGCCTGGGGGAGAGGTTTGGGCAGAGGCCGAGAGAGAGCTGTGATTACTGGCAGATTAGGGCACAGCCGGGGACGTTTTCAGGAAGCACTTGGGTCCTATGGTAAAGAGGTCTGCATAGAGCTTTCCAGTTTATTCTCACTCCCTGAGACCTGCCACACACCATTAGCCTGCAGCTCTGTTCATTTTTCAACAGAGTGGTGTAAGAAGCATGATCCGGTGCTAACCTAGGGCAGTGGGCAGTGGCCTAGGTGGGCAGTGGGGGTGGCACTGCTTCCACATACTCAGAGGAGAGACGGTTCTGGTTCTCACCTTCCTGGGTCCCAGGCATGTGCTGGTGGAAGTCAGTGGTCACCCAGGTGAGGGAGGAAGCGCTGTCAGCAGGCCCAAAAGAGAAGGCCACAGAGCCTTGGGCCCAGAGGTGACTGAGGGAGCCTTTGCCTTTTGGCAGGTGGGTCCACGTTTCATGTGCTGTGGCAATTCTGGAAGCAAGGTTTGTCAACATTGCAGAAAGAAGTCCGGTGGATGTGAGCAAAATCCCCCTGCCCCGCTTCAAACTGGTAAGGGCTTGTAGACTCTACATAATTTCCCGACTTACAAGTTTCTGGGTAGAAGAGAACAGGGACCTCCTGTACCCCTTGGTTTTGGTTAGAGTTTGTGATTCTCACTCTGTGGTTAGATTCCTTAGTGGAGGCCAGGTGTGGTGGCTCACACCTGTAATCCCAGCCCTTTGTGGGGCCGAGGTGGGTGAACCACTTGAGGTCAGGAGTTCAAGACCAGCCTGGGCAACATGGTGAAACCCCGACTCTACTAAAAATATAAAATTAGCTGGGAGTGGTGGTGCGCACCTATAATCCCAGCTCCTCGGGAATCTGAGGCAGGAGAATCACTTGAACCCGGGAGGCGGAGGTTGCAGTGAGCCGATATTGTGTCACTGCACTCCAGCCTGGGTGACAGAGCAAGACTCCGTCTCAAAAAAAAAAAAAAAAAAATTTCCTTGGCAGATAAAGTTGTAACCAGACCTGGATTAGAGCAGGCTGGTGTGTCCTTGTATTTTGGGAAGGGGCTGGCTCTTGCTTGCTTGGCTTTGCATTTGGGAGGGGAACAACAGAGGAAGCTGCAGTGCCAGTTCCTGCAATCACTGGTTTTCTTCCCCTGTGCTACAGAAATGTATCTTCTGTAAGAAGCGGAGGAAAAGAACTGCTGGCTGCTGTGTGCAGTGTTCTCACGGCCGCTGCCCAACTGCCTTCCATGTGAGCTGCGCCCAGGCTGCCGGTGTGATGATGCAGCCTGACGACTGGCCTTTTGTGGTCTTCATTACCTGCTTTCGGCACAAGATTCCTAATTTGGAGGTGAGAGAGGGTGTCATTCTAGAATCCTCTTGACAGTTTTCATGGTCATTTTCTCTGCATGTTTTCCATTTGTTGTATCAGCAACTATTTCCTCAAGCATTCTGCATTATGAAGAGTGCTAATGAGTTAAGAGATTGAGAGGTGGCCCCTGTCCATCTCCACTCCCTGCCTTGTACTCCATAAGCCAGTGACACCAAACTGCTTGTAGTTGATTCGTTTTGATTATCTCTTTACTTGTCTGCCTCTCCATCAGAATAAACTCCTTGAGGGTCCATATCTTATTAATGTGGTCATCCTTATTACTTAACCTAGTGTCCGGGACATGCAGAACCTCTGAAAATGTTGAGAACAAATGGGGAGAGCTCCCAAGAGTTAACCATGAATTGCCAGACAGTAGAGATTTCTGCAGTTCTCTTAATGGTAAAGCTTAGAGAAAAAGTGACATGTAATGTTAGCTAGAGGAGCTCTGAAGAGGATTGGGTAGACGGTGGCATTTGAAGTGGGTCTTAAACAATAAGAAGGAATTGTATGCAGAGACTGTTGTGTGCAGAGCTTGAGAAACAGAATGAACAGGTCGCAGAAGAAGGATCATGAAAGACTGGTTATGGGAGTGTGACGGTGTGTGGGAGTGTGATGCTTGAGAGGCGGACAACGGCAGAGGATGAAGGCCCTGCACTGCCACTCTCAGGACTCTGACCTGTCTTCACTGGATGAGAACTTGTTGAATATTTTGATTCTGCATTATAGTTTTTGATAATCACTCAGGTGGTTGTTTGAAGAGAGGATTCAGAGTAAGAATTTGAGGCTGGAAAACCAGTTAGTCCAGGAGAGAGTGAGGTCTGAAATGGGAACACATAGGCAGGGCTTTGGGGTACATTTAACTTTGAGATCCTCCAACAGGTAGAACTGATAGGGTTTATTGACCCTCGTGGGTTGAGGAGAGAAGGGGAGAGGAGGAGGAAAGGGGGAGTGAATATTGAAGATGACTCAGGTTACTCCCTTGAGAGATGGGAAGGATGCTAATATGATGTTAGTAACTGCAATCAGGAACTGAGATGAAGCAGTGTTGCTCTGCAAGGGAGAGAAGGAGGGATGAGAAAGAGGAAAGTAAATGCTGAGGTCACTGGAGCATTCTGGAGAGTAACTGTGAGGGTAAAGATTTGGCTATTAGCATTTAACAGCATAGTTAAATCTAGTTCCCATTAGAAACTGGGCTCTGGAGATTCCCAGTGGGAGAAGCAGGTAGCAGAGCATGAACCAGTGAAAGCAGTTGAGAAAGTGAAGCAAGCCAGTGGGAGGAAGGAGGGTCATATCCAACAGAGAAGGCAGGGCTGGTGTGGTGGTCACTAAGTACCACAAACTGGAGTGTCCCTGTGGAGTAGTCAGGTCAGAAGCCAGACCGTAGTTGGGGAAGGCTCTGCCATGAGTGAGTTACAATCTAATAGAAGAGGCGATCATACAAGTTTGACAACAGTGTGGTAAATACATAATCAAAGGAAGAACGTGATAGATGGCCAGCCCAGAAGGATGAACTTTTCACTCTGCCATTTGGGGTTGCAGAAAAGTCCTGGTTGGCTGACTGCATTCTTTTTCATAAAGATGTTGAACGTGACAGGTGGTCAGGGGTATGATAGGAAGGACCTTAGGAAGATGGGAACATATTGTATGTGAGAATGAGACTCCGGAGTGTCTCAAGGGCCCTGCCCTAGCCATCCCTGGTGCCCTCACCATGCCCTTCTCATTCTGAACTTGCCCTTAATGCAAGTAAAAACTTGAGGTAGTACTGAGTCACAGCTATGATAGGGAAGAGTTTTTTCATACACAGAATAGTTATTTTGTGATAATCATTAATACTCCACATGCTTAAGCTGGCAGCTGTAGACTGCTGGTGCTATGAGGAAATTGGGGGGACTGATGAGTTAGTAGTTTTTTCACTGATTTATTCTTCAAATGTTTATTGAGCATTTACTATATGCCAGGCACAGTTTTAGGTGCCAGGACTATACCATTGAACAAGACAAAAAAGTCCTTGCCCTTCTGGTGCATACAGTATAGTTGAAGGACACATAGAAGCAAGTAAATACACAGTATAGCAGATGGTGAGAAGTGCAGGGATAAAAATTAAGTCAGATAAGGGGAATGGAAGATGAAGTAGTAAGGAATGACATCAATAAGTTGACACTGGGATGGGAGTCAGTGTGCAAGTAACTGGGGAATGGCATCTCAGGTAGAAGAACCAGCAGTGTCGAAGCCCTGGGTGGCAGCACATATGGCACACTCATTCAGGGAACAGCAAGGGGGGCCAGCATGGCTGGGGCAGAGTGCCTGGGCAGGCTAGCAGGCGTGCTTGGAAATGAGGCCGTCACATACTTTGTGATCCTGTTTGCATCAAGGGCAAGTTCAGAATGAGAAGGGCATGGTTGAGGGCACCAGAGATGGCAATGGCAGGGCCCTTGGAATGGGGGACAGTTTGTTGTGTGTAGCTGGAGACATCTGGGAAACCTAAGTCTTTGTGCCCTAGCCCTGAGGGTAATGCTGCAGGTGCTAAGATGTGGTGCAGCTTTGCCTGGCGGCCCAGGCCTCAGGGCACCTATTGAGTCTCTCCTTCGATACTTTGATGTCAGTTCTTGGCAAGATCAGAGGTCCATGTTGTTGTTCAGAGAGTTCTGGGTAAGATAATATGGTATAAGGGCCAGTTGTGGACTAGCTAAATTTATGGGAAGAGCTAAATTTATGGAGGAAATGTGGTACTGGTCTCTTCCAATGTCCTGGCTGGGATGGTGGGTATCTGGAAAGGCTTGTTTTAGCTCCCATCTCTTCTCTCCTTTTTACTTTTACTTTCCCATGCTTATCTTTCCCTGATAAGGAGGAACTAATTGATCTTCATCTCCATATGCCAGGCCTGCAAACTCCACGTGTGAGTAACCAAAGCCTCTGTTTTTTTCCAGCGTGCCAAGGGGGCCTTGCAAAGCATCACTGCAGGCCAGAAAGTCATTAGCAAGCATAAGAACGGGCGCTTCTACCAGTGTGAAGTGGTCAGGCTCACCACCGAGACCTTCTATGAAGTCAACTTTGATGATGGCTCCTTCAGCGACAATCTTTATCCTGAGGACATAGTGGTAATATCTGCAAGGAGCTTCTCAGGCAGTTTGGAATGGGGGGATGTTTCTAAGGTCTGGCTGGCAGACTGTGTGTGTATGCCTGCTTCTTCTAGCCAGGTCCCTGGTCCCATCACCATGTCCTCAAACAGAAAGAATCATCTGTACCAGTCTTTCTTTGCAAAGAAAACTGCGTGCTGCTAGGGTACCCTATTTTCCCTAGAAGTACCTGGGAATCAGTATTTTCTGCAATTCCTTGAAACCTGCATCTGTTGCCGTCTAAATTATCCTTGAGGGCATTCTAGTGCAATAGGAGAGCCCAGGCTTTGGAATCAAATATGCCAATACCAGCTTCATTGCCTAGTAGCTGTGTGATTTTAGGGGAATTATCCAACTCTCTTTTCTATCAGGCCCTCTTAGTAGATGTATAGAATCTGCTTTTGTCTCTTCACAGTGGGCTTTAGGGCTAAGTAGAAACTGCCTGGAGACACCCTTGGCCTGTTTATGTTATCAACACCTGAGACACAGTGGCCCCACATGGACCCAGTCCTAGGTCTGGCTTGGTAGTGAGGACTTAGTTCAGGTTTCCCCTACCCCCACCTTGCCTTTTCAGTTGGTAGACTGACCACCAAAGTAGAGAGGAATGAAACCATTTTTTCCTTTAACAAATCAGGTATTGTCCCATGTTTATACCACATTAGCCACTCAGTTGCTAAAAGCACATTCATTAGTTATAAGGTAGACTTATAGAAAAGGCGACATTAGTAGTACTCATAGCAGTAGCATAGCTATCATTTATTTATATTTTATTTGTGAGACAGGGTTTCACTCTGACGCCCAGGCTGGAGTGCAGTGGCACAATCTCAGCTCACTGCAGCCTCAACTTCCTGGATTGAGGTGATCATCCCACCTCAGCCTCCCTGGTAGCTGGGACTACAGGAACGCACCACCACAGCCGGCTAATTTTTTAATTTTTTGTAGAGACGGGCTTTTGCCATGTTGCCCAGGCTGGTCTCAAACTCCTGGGCTCAAGTGATCTGCCTACCTTGGCCTCCCAAAGTGGTGGGATTACAGGCGTGAGCCACTGTGCCTGGCCTTATTTTTTTTTTTTTTTTTTTGAGAGAGACCAGGTCTCACTCTGTCACTTAGGCTGGAGTGCAGTGGCTGTATCATAGCTCCTGCAATCTCAAACTCCTGAACTCAAGTGATCCTCCTGCTTCAGCTTCCCAGGTAGCTGGGACTACAGGCACATGCAGTCACACCTGGCTAATTTTTAAATTTTTTGTAGTAACAACGGTCTTGCTTTGTTGCTCAGGCTGGTTTCGATCTCGCAGCTTGAAGCGATCCTCACATCTTGGGCCCCCAAACCACTGGGATTACAAGAGTTTGAGCCACCATACCTGGCCCTTGCTGTAATTTATTAAGCTGGTACAGTATGCCAGGCACTATGCTAAGTGGTTATTTCAAGTATCTCTTTATCTTCTCATACCCACTGTGAGAAGGATGTGGTATTATCTCTAACTTACAGTGGTTTCAGGACTCCATTTTCTACAAGTTAGAGACCCCAAAGAGCCTGTGTTTCTCTGGGTTACATCTAAACGTATTTATTCTTATTAGAAATTAAAGCAGATTGATTTAAAATAATCAATTTTTTTAGATTAAAAATAACTTTTCTAAAACAAAAACAAAAGATTGCCATTTCCCTGCAATTTTGCAAATCTCTTTAATGTCTTTTTTTTTTTTTTTTGAGATGGAGTCTTGCTCTGTTGCCCAGGCTGGAGTACGGGAGTACGGTGGCATGATCTTGGCTCACTGCAGGCTTCACCTCCCAGGTTCACGCCATTCTCCTGCCTCAGCCTCCCGAGTAGCTGGGACTACAGGCGCCCGCCACCATGCCCGGCTAATTTTTTGTATTTTTAGTAGACATGGGGTTTCACCATGTTAGCCAGGATGGTCTTGATCTCCTGATCTCGTGATCCGCCCGCCTCGGCCTCCCAAAGTGGTGGGATTACAGGCGTGAGCCACCGCGCTGGCCTTAATGTCACTTCTTGATTCAATCTATTGTGATACACTGTTTAGGTTCAAGTATAGGAAGAAAATTCAGCCTTGCGTAGATATGTAATTGGAAAAAGGAGTTTGTTTTTGTTTTTTTAAAATAGGGTTTCACTCCAGTCACCCACGTTGGAGTGCAGTGCAGTGATCTCAACTCACTGCAACCTCCACATACCAGGCTCAAGTGATTCTGCTGCCTCAGCCTCCCAAGTAGCTGGGACTACAGGCCCTTGTCACTGGCGCCCAGCTAATTTTTTAATTTTTTGTAGAGATGGAGTTTTGCCTTGTTGCCCAGGCTGGTCTCAAAACTGGGCTCAAGCAATCCGCCTACCTCGGCCTCCCAAAGTGCTGGGATTACATCTGTGAGCCACCACTCCCAGCCAAGGGAGGTATTTTAATAGTCTTTCAGGTAATTGTGTTTATTATTCTCTGATATCCACCAAAACTCAATGGAAGTAACAACTTTTTTTGTTTGTTTGTTTGTTTTAAGAGATGATGTCTTGCTTTGTTGACCAAGCACCTCCCGAGTAGCTGGGACTACAGGCATGCATGGCTATTTGTAGAAATGGGGTCTTGCCATCTTGCCCAGGTAGTCTCAAACTCCTGGGCTCAAGCGATTTCTTTTGCCTCAACCTCCCAAAGTGCTGGGATTACAGGTGTGAGCCACTGCTCCTGGCAGGTTCTTAAAAGTTAGTTGCAGTGTGGAATCTGAAAGGTCAGTGAACGTTTCATACTGTTAACACTAAAACCCATTGGTCTCTTCTGAATGGATCTTTCACCCATGCATCCTTTTATAACATCATACTTTGGTCATTTAGAAAATATTGGTGCACTGGCCTATCGACAGCCTCCAAATGTTGTTAAATATTATTATAAATTTAATTTTTTTTTTTTTTTGAGACAGAGTCTCGCTCTGTCGCCAGGCTGGAGTGCAGTGGTGCGTTCTTGGCTCACTGCAACCTCCACCTACCGGGTTCAAGCGATTCTCCTGCCTCAGCATCCCAAGTAGCTGCGACTACAGGTGCACGCCACCACGCCCAACTAATTTTTGTATTTTTAGTAGAGAGGGTTTCCCCATGTTGTCCAGGATGGACTCAATCTCTTGACCTCGTGATCTGCCCGCCTTGGCCTCCCAAAGTGCTGGGATTACAGGCATGAGCCACCACGCCCGGCCATAAATATTTTAAAAATTACATTTGTTAGTATCACTAATAATCAAAAAACTTGGAATTTTGGGAAGTTTCAAGCTCACAGTTGTGAATGCCGCTTCTCTGAAATGCTAATATTTGTTTGAAAGCCTGAATTTTACTATTGGCAACAGATACTGACTTTTGTTTTCCTTGACATGACAGGCGTTCACTTCATGCATTTTCAAGAAGATGTCTGCCAGATACCTAAGTCTGAAAAGCCATAGTTTGTCAGTCACTTTTTTCTTTTTTTAAATTTTCATAGAGTTTTTTAAAGACAGGGTCCTGCTCTGTTGCGCAGCACCACTGCTGGAGTGCAGTGGCATGGTCATGGCTCACTGCAGCCTCATCCTCCCGGCCTCAAGCAGTCCTCAGCCTTCCGAGTAACTGGGACTATAGGCGTGTGCCATCACACCTGGATAATTTTTTATGTTTTGTAGAGATGGGGTCTCCCCTGTGTTGCCCAGGCTGGTCTTGAACTCCTGGGCTGATGCGATCCTCCTACCTCTGCCTCCCAAAGTGAGGGATTACAGGCATGAGCCACCATGCCTGGCCTAGTAATTTTTTTCAAATAAAACTGGTATTCCATGAACAAAGCAGCTAGTGTAATTCACAACTCAAACAACACAGATAGATTTCTTTGAGACAACCAAAAGTGTCTTATGAGGACTTAACACATGTACTCAATGATTAAGATTTAACAACATTAATAATTTTTTACTGCTTCATCAAGGGATATTGTTACATGCAATCTAGAGTTTTTGCTCTTTTCTCCTAAATTATGAGTGTACAGTGGTGAAAAATGCAATAACAACTAGTAGAGCTTAGGGTCAGTGCCTTGATCTGTGCTCAGGTGCCAGCAGTTGTACCTATCCTAGGTAAATGACAACACAGTGACAAAGGCTAATAGTTTAATATTATAAAAATAGCCATGTCTCACTTGCTCCCTGACAGTGTCTCAGGAACCCCTCAGAGGTTCACAGACCACATTTTCAGAAGTGCTGTTATAGGAGGTGGAACTGAATTGCAGAGAACTTAAACAATTTATCAAATATCAAACATTTGAGTAGTTAAATCTTAGAACACCTCAGATATTGGGTGTAGGAGGCTGTAGTTTATGCCTAATTGTTAGATTGATACAAAATGTATTTACTGATTACCTATTCAGTAAATGAATTGTCAATAAGTAGGGAACTGTTTCCACTCAATAAATGAACTGTAGCATGATTGTAAGAGCAGATGTGAGCATCCACATCCTTTTAGACTCACTGCCCTGCCCCTCTCTCATTTTTTAAGCCATGTCCCTAAGGACCTTCTCCCAGGTATACCTATCAGACCTTTCATTCAGCCAATATGCTGAATGAAATATCCCCCCGTATACCAAGCCCTATGCTGGGAATACGATGAGGACTTGGGGTACTTACCTGCTTCTGGAAGGAATAAAAGTTCTGAAGTACTTTGCCAGGTCCCATGGTAGGTGACTCTTTTTCATCTTTCCTGTTAAGAACATATTTCTTGGTTGGGCACAGTGGCTCATGCCTGTAATCCCACCACTTTGGCAAGCCGAGGCAGGCAGATCACCTGAGGTAAGGAGTTCGAGACCAGACTGGCCAACATGGTGAAACCCCGTCTCTACTAAAAATACAAAGATTAGCTGGGCATGGTGGCACGTGCCTGTTGTCCCAGCTACTCGGGAGGCTGAGGCAGGAGGATTGCTAGAACCCAGGAGGCTGAGGTTGCAATGAGCCAAGATCAGGCCACTGTATTCCAGCGTGATCTCAGCTCTCTGCAAGCTCCGCCTCCTGGGTTCACACCATTCTCCTGCCTCAGACTCCCGAGTAGCTGGGACTACAGGCGCCTGCCACCACACCTGGCTAATTTTTTGCATTTTTAGTAGAGATGGGGTTTCACCATGTTAGCCAGGATGGTCTTGATCTCCTGACCTGGTGATCTGCCTGCCTCAGCCTCCCAAAGTGCTGCGATTACAGGCATGAGCCACCGTGCCTGGCCAAAAAAAACACATGTCTTATAGTTGAGTATGGTTCTAGTATTTCTTCATGGCAGAGCCCTGGAGAACCCGCAGGGGAACAGTTGAGGGAATGTAAGAAGGACTCTTGATTCTGGCACTTAACTCCTGTGTTTACTAAGTTTGTTATAGCTGGATTTTTTTTTTTTTTTTGGTCACCTAGAAGCAGGAGAGGGCAGAGATAGGGGCAGACTTTGACTTAGCAAGGTCTTTAACTGTTAACATTTTTCAGCCCAGAGAGCTGCCTTGCTCTCTAAAACAGTTACTTTGTCCTGGTTCACTCTTCCCTGAGTAGAGGACAGTTACCTTTGTGTGCAGGTGGACGTTCCTTTCACCCTCCTTCCTTCCTGTTTCCTCAGAGCCAGGACTGTCTCCAGTTTGGTCCTCCTGCTGAAGGGGAAGTGGTCCAAGTGAGATGGACAGACGGCCAAGTCTATGGAGCCAAGTTTGTGGCCTCCCACCCTATCCAAATGTACCAGGTATCCAAAGTTCTACCTTTCTAGGGAGTGGGGGGTGCTTGATTAATTCTGTGCTTCCTGTTGGGCCAGAGGCGAGTCTTTGCTCTTAGGAGAACTAATAGGTTGGTAACCCTTTCAGAGCTAGGGGTCTGCCCTGTTTCCAGTCTGCCAAATGTGAAGTAAGGTAGTTGTTATTTTAGTGTTCTAACTCCTTCCTTTGACTGTAGGGGACTGCCACTGTGCATGGTGGACCAGGGAAAGAGTCAGGGATATCCTAGCCAAAAGGCCTTTGTTTCCTTGGTAGGTGGAGTTTGAGGATGGCTCACAACTTGTGGTTAAGAGAGATGATGTATACACACTGGATGAAGAGCTTCCCAAGAGAGTCAAATCTAGACTGGTGAGTATTTTCTGTGTCCCCCCAGTTCCTGTCTTGGAGGGAGGGAACAAGTCAAGGATGCATCCCTTTGTATTGTTCCTGGGGTAGCTGACACTTGGCTTGCTTATTCTTCTATAGTCAGTAGCCTCAGACATGCGCTTCAATGAGATTTTCACAGAGAAAGAGGTTAAGCAAGAAAAGAAACGGCAACGAGTTATCAACTCAAGATACCGGGAAGATTATATTGAGCCTGCACTATACCGGGCCATCATGGAGTAGGTGCTTCCAGGGTCCAAGGGATTCTCAGCCATCCAGGCAAGAGCACTCTGGGTTCCACAGCACAGCAGACATGGAACGCTGAAGTCTCTGAAAGTGAAGTTGTAAAAAGAAAAGGAATGAAATAACCGACCCATCATCTTCTCACCCACCCTCATTGCATTCCGCTGTAGTGAAAGGACGAGCCATTTCTGGGCACGTGGCAGCAGTCGCTGATCTCCCAGCTGAGGGGCTGAGCACTGGAATGCTGTGGCTGCACTGGCCCCAGTCCATAGAGGGGTCAACTATGCTGGCTGGACTGGCTGCCTTGTTCCTGGCCTAGGACTTAGCTTCATAACTATCACCTGCACCGACTAGGCTGAGGTGCTGGTACTTGCCCCAACCCCTACTTTTGTATTTATATGTGTGTGTGTGTGTGCGTGCGTGCGTGCGTGCGTGTATGTTTGGTCTGGACCAGCTTCTGCCAGCCCCTGGCCTTTACTTTCTTCCTTGCCTATGCAGGGCAAACAAAATGTGAAATTCTGCCCTCAGCTGAGCTGAGTAAGGGCTCCTGGGGGTTGGCTGGAGATGGGTGTGGCATCTGTCCAGGCCTGGAACCGTCTCAAGACAGTGCTGGCAAAGCTGCAGTATTGAGATGCTAAGGAGCTGATGCCACCTCTTTGTCTTCCCCTAAAGGAGAACATGGGGATAACATGGGTGTGTGCCCACAACACTCTAGGTGCAGAGCCCCTGTGGCAAAGTATTACAGGGTGTGGGTGGGGATTACCCTGAATCGGGGATTTTAATGATGGAAGCAGGCAGAGCCTGGTGGGTGATTCTGTCAACAGAAAATTGCAATCATGCAGGGGCTGGGAGGGTTAGGATGAAAAAACTGGGGCCATTGGAGGCCCACTGTAGGTGGGAGGGAGCTGATTTTGGGGTGGGGGGTGGGACTAGAGGGCAATACTGAAGGGGTTAAACAGGTTTTTGCTCCTCAAGAATTTGTTTGCCTGGGCCCAGGATTGGAGGGCTTCACACCAATACCCTGTGTATACAAGAATCAGATTTATAATACTTCCCCTTTTTTGTTACGTATGAACACTATAAAC
The DNA here is from genome assembly GCF_000001405.40 of Homo sapiens. Taxonomy (NCBI): domain Eukaryota; kingdom Metazoa; phylum Chordata; class Mammalia; order Primates; family Hominidae; genus Homo; species Homo sapiens. The sequence continues at coordinate 43,705,456 of NC_000001.11, forward strand.
CAAATTATTTTGAAAACTGGTGCATCACCTTGTCCTTAGCAATAAAATGTGTTGAGCAGAGGATTGGCTGTCTGCCCCAAGGAGCCCACGTGGCCCACGTCAGGCTGGGGGGTGTATCTAGAGTCATAGGCTCTGGAGCGGGGCTGTGTATTTTAAGACAAATCAGTAAGGCATTCCCTAGGAAGTTCCAGAGAGTGGGTCCTTTGCTTGTCAAGCTCTGTATTAGGCCAAGTATGGTGGGTCATGGGAGCAGGGACACTTCTGGCTCTGAGCACCTCTTTGTTGTGCTTGCTCTGCCTTAGAGACGGGCAAGATGAGGTAACAGAGGAAGCACCAGACCAATGAGTCCTCTCAACAGAGTATCTCTCACTGCTGCCCCATTTGATACATCTTTGTTGAACTGGCCTAAGTTCATGCCAGCATCTGTGCTCTATACAAATTGTGGAACCAGTGGGAAGGATGGGTGCATTTTAGGTGCTTGAAAAGCAAGGGACTCAACCTCCAGTGGGATCCTCAGATTGCTCTCCGAGCTGTCTAGTTGGTGAGAAGCTTCCCTGGAGGAAGACCCAATCTCCTTTGGCTGGTAGATCCCTGAGGTCAAAGTGGACAAGGATGGGGAACCACAGAGCAGGGAGGGGGGCAATGAATAGGTGCAGGACTTGGGTGCCCCGGAGCTGCACCGGCTGGCCCTTAAACAGCCAGGCACTTCCTGTGGCATGGCCCTGTCCAGGTGCAGGAGAGGCTTAGGTCAGTTCAGCTGCTCTGGATGCTTCCTTGTGTCCCTGGGGGTTGAGAGGTGGTTGCTACTTGGTATCTCATTGTGGAGAAAGGGAGGTGCAGGAGGTGATCTTTTCTATGTCAGCTCCCTCCTGGGGCCCAGGGAGGGAAGTTGGCCTTTTTTTTTCTTTGCCCACACTCCACTTGGGGATTCCCAGGGGATGTAGCAAGGGAGGCTGGGCAGAACCAGGCCTTAGTGGATTGGTGAGAGAACACTAATCCATACATCTTTGGAAGAGAGGAACACTTCACCAGCCTTTTTACACAGGATCCCTACCTTTCTCGATGACCCCACTGCCTCCAGGGGTGGGCGCTGGGTTTAATCCCAGCAGTTTTTACTCAACAGCTGACCAGTTTTCCAGAAACTGCACTTTTTTTTTTTGGTCAACCTAATAACTCTTAGGAAACTGCAACTCAGGTGATCCAAATCACACAGACCGGCCCGTTCTCTCCCCTACTGGCTGCCTATGCAGTCGGGTCGACCTCAAGAGAACTGGCCCCAGCCAAAAGCGGCACCTCCCGGCCTGCCAGTCCCTTCCTGCCTTAGGCAGCTCCTCCCAGAAGCCTTTTTGTAGGGCAAACTGCCTTCCCTTTGTAAGGTAGGGCCTTTGGATCCAAGGTTGCAGTTTAAAGACCACCCCGACTTTGTTGAGGAATTAAGTTTTAAATTCCGCCCCAGGCGGATAACACCAGGGCTCAGCCGCAGGAATGAAAAAGGAGTGGGAGGGCTGCAAAGTGTACGTGGGGCTTGGAGGCCTTGTGCCACGCGCGGACTAAAAATGTTCTACGAGTCTCTTAACGCTCACCCCCGTGCCCCCTTACCCACCAGGGCCCACGGAGGTCCGAAGCTTTCGGCCTCAGTGAGCGGAATGGGTGCGCTCACGACCTGGAGGGCGAGATGAGATGTCCCTCGGCGTGAAGTGGCCGTGACTACCCTAGCACTTTGCGTTCCCCGCGCGGGCGACGAAACACGCTCTCGAGGGGAGAGAGCCGTGCGTCCTCTGGGCCGTGAAGCCAGGGGAAGAGGGTTCCTCTAGACAGCTCGATGTGCCCGGGAGAGACACCCACGCTGAACCTGCAAGCTGGGGTGCTCCACCAGCGCGAACCTCTCGCCCCGCACTCGCCGCAGCACTGCTCTCGTGGTAGGCGGGGTGGGCGGGACGGCAAATCCGCGGCTCCTGCGTCTATTGGGCTGCTCGGGGCAGCGCAGCTCCGCATTGGCCAGGCCCTCGCTCCGCCCGGCTTCCGCGAGCCCATTGGTCGCAGGCGCCCGACCGGGTCGCGGCCGCGCGCTCCGCCCGCCGCTGCGTCCCCACTATGGCGGCGCCCATGCAGCCCAGCGCGTTGTGGGCTCCCGCCGGGGTCCCCCGCGGCTGTCGCCGCCGCCTACGCCGCTGCCTCCGCCTTCCTGCCCCGCGTCGGGCCGGGCGCCACCTCCCCCCTGCCTCCCTCTCCGCTGTGGTAAGGGCCTGCCCAGTGCGCTTCGGGGCGCGATGGCTGACCGCGAATAACGGTCGCCGCTCCGCCCCGCCCCTCCCCCGCCGGCCGCGGGTCCCGGGCTGGGCGGGGCGCGGAGCCCGCGCGCTAGTGCCCGGGAAGGCGGGGTCGGGGCACGGCCCAGTCGTCCTTCGGGCTGGGGGCCCAGTACCTGGATGACCTCTCCTGGGTGGGGGCCGCCGAGCCTGGGGGAAAGGCCGGCCGGACGCAGGCCAGGAGGTCTGAGATCATCTCCGTGTGAAACCCCGCAGCGCTGCGCACCTTGGCGCAGAGCACGGACACCGTCATTCGGGCCCTGCTGTGGGAAAAGGAAAGAAAAGTCCAGGGAGCGCCTGAGCGGGAATCGGCAGCGTTTGGGTAGCGGTTGTCATTGCTTACTGCTCTAGCGGGGGCCAGAACTGGGGTCAGTTTGATCGGCAAAGTACGCCTCTCTTGCTTCCTTTCCTTCTGGCACTTTCCCCCGTTGTGTCCTCGGTGCTTTTGCTTGCAAGAGAAAATATCTTAGTGAGGAGGGCAGGTTTGGTTAGGAGAGTGTCCCATGAACATTTTGGATTCCTTTTTACAACAATGTCCATTTTTATGATTCCTCAGTAAGCCTCATTTATGTTTCCTTCACGTATGAGGAAGGAGTGAAACCTGATAACTGAATGTAATTAATTGAGGGAAGGACCAGTGAAGGCGGCTATTACCTCAGAAAGTAAAATACTCAAACTTTTCAGTGGATGTACTGTGAATTATAGATAGCTGGACATTAAGGTAGGAAAAAACTCTTATTAGGTTACTAAAAGTAAGATAGTCCCCATGACAAATTAGGTTGTTTCTAAGGCAGAATTATCTTGTAGAGATGATCACTGAAATGTTTGGTGTACTTTCAAGTCAACAGAGGATTAAAAGGAAGCTGGCACAGAAATTTATAGCCAAATGATACTTTCAAATAATCTCTTAAGGCAATACAGCTCCTCCTATGATTAGAGATTCTTAAGGATATTTTGAGATATTAAGTGGTGAATCTCTCCATTTCGCGTGTCTAACTGTCTAACCATGGTTTAATAAAAATAAAATGTTAACGATGAAACAAGACATTCATGTTCTCAGAGACTAACAGACTTTGTATCAATCAATGGAACGCCTCTTGAGTACATATTTTATGCAAGGCATTGACTGAGGGGAAACTCAAAACCATTTAAGATAAGAAACTTGCTCTAATGGGCCTATAATATACTTGAGGGAATAAAGCACACACATGACAATGATAACTGTGATATGGTCTCTAGAATTCCAAGATGGTAGGTACTCTGAGAAACCGAGAAAAGGAGAAATCCATGTGTTTGAGGAAGGTTTCACAGGGAAGCTGAGGCTTGAATTGGGTCATGAAGAGTGGGTAGCCGGCTGTATGAAGGGGAAGAAGTGAGCAGATGAGAAAGTGAGGATGACAAAGGTGCAGGGGAACCTGAGATGCTCATGGGTGGTTCCAGGGGGTTTCTTAGCAGAAAAAGCAGGATATGAGGTTGCACAAAAGGTAGGTTGATGGCATTAATCCAAGAGGTACCTTTGTCCTGTGTGGTGCAAAGAGTAAACAAGTAATAGAATTTACTTCAAAGGAAGCTGTAGCTAACTATCAGGAATACAGTAACACTTTACTTGTCATTGTCACTTTTTCTTTTTTCTTTTTTTTTTGAGACAGGGTCTCCCTCTGTCACCCATGCTGGAGTGCAGTGAATGTGGCTCTCTGCAGCCTTGACTTTCTGGACTCAGGCGATCCTCCCACCTCAGCTTCCCAAGTAGCTGGGACCACAGGCAGGTGACCTGGAGAATTAAAAAAAATTTTTTTTGTAGAGACAGGGTCTTGTCATGTTGCCCAGGCTGTTCTTGAACTCCTGGGCTCAAGAAATCTTCCCACCTTGAGTTCGAGACCAGCCTAGCCAACATGATGAAACCCCGTCTCTACCAAAAAAAAAATACAAAAAATTAGCCAGGCGTGGTGGCAGGCGCCTGTAATCCCAGCTGCTCGGGAGGCTGAGGCAGGAGAATCGCTTGAACCCGGGAGGTGGAGGTTGCAATGAGCCGAGATCGCGCCAGTGCACTCCAGACTGGGCAACAAGCGTGAAACTCGGTCAAAAAAAAGAAAGAAAGAAATCCTCCACCTCAGCCTCCCAAAGTGTTGAGAATATATGCGTGAGCCACCACACCTAGCCCATTGTCGCTTTTCTGATTCACCTCAGCTACTTGGAATAACAGTTCTCTCAACCCAGAAGCGGCACCTCAAGTTTATTCTTACTTTTCTTCTTTTTTTCTCCCCGTGTTTTTGGTTGGGTGCCAGGTCTTGTTGACCCTACTTCCACACTGTTTCTGGCATCTGCTTCTATTTTTGAGTCAGAGCCTCCCTCTGTTGCCCAGGCTGGAGTGCAGTGGCCCCATCTCAGCCCACTGCAACCTCCACCACCTGGGTTAAAGTAATTCTCCCGTCTCAGCCTCCTGAGTAGCTGGGACGACAGGCGTGTGCCACCACACCCGGCTAATTTTTGTATTTTTAATAGAGACGGGGTTTCACCATGTTGGCCAGGCTGATCTTGAACTCCTGATCTCAAGTGATCTGCCCACCTTAGCCTCCCAAAGTGCTGGGATTATAGGCATGAGCCACCATACCTAGCCTGGCATCTGCTTCTTTTCACTCCTACTGTCATCACACTGATCTGGGGCCATTGGACCATTCCTGTGAATTACCACAGAAACCCCCTAACATTTTTTTCCTTCCATCCATCATGTGTATTGCCATCACTTCCAAGTTTGTCACTTCTCCAGCCAGGACTTTGAATGGCTCCCCATTATCTGTTGCGTTAGGCACAGACCAGCCTGGCATGGGCAATATGGGCAAACTGATTTCTTGCCATTCTGTTATATTTTCCAGGTCAATGGAACTATTTGCTCTTTGTGCTTTGCTGTTTGTGCTCTGTATCTTTGCTCATGTTGGCTTTTTCTATCTTAAATAGTCTCCTTGACTTTAATTGTTCTTACGTATGTTTCAGGGCCATTTGATACGGAACTTCCTTTGTGAAGCTTATCTGTACTTTTTCTTCCCATCTAGATGAGCTGTCTCTCTTCTTTAAGTTTAAACCACCATAACATTAGAGTCTGCCTTTTTGCGATAATTGCCTTAAATCCTGCTTCTACCCACAGTATAAGACTGAAGCTATTTCAAGACATAGACTGTCCTCTTCATCATCCAACTTTGTACATAGTAGGTACTTGGCAAATATATTTTATATTGAAAATAGCTTTGAATCAGGATGGATGCAGAGATAATTCTTTATCCAAACAAAATGTTTATCATTAAAATCTATAAATAAAGTTGTTTATGTGAGAGAATCCCTTACTGAGAGATCTGTATTGACATAGATAGCTTGGATTAGGCTGCACTAACAAAAACCTCAAGACTTCAGTGGCGTAACAGAACAAAACTTGACTTCTCATTCATGTGACGTGTCCAGCATGAGTGTACAGGAAACTCTTCACAGTTACTCAGGAACTGAGGCTGATAGAAACTCCATCTTAATATGGTACTGCCATGACCATTTTGATTAAATGAAAAGATAGTGGTCAAGTGGACACTGGCTTTTCAAGTTTCTGTCCCACTATGGCACATGCCACTTTCATTCACATTTTCATTGGCCAAAGCAAGTCACATAGCCATGCCTAACTTTAAAGAAGGTTAGAGAATTTCAGTGTTAGCATATGTCTGGGAAGCAAAGAGCCAGAAATATTTGGTGCATAGCACTAATGACTACTACCTCATCTGGGGTATCACAGCCCATTGAAGATTAGAGGTAGCACATCAGATGGGCTGCTAGAGACAAACATTGACAGTAGCAAGAAATAATAGCTCTAACCAGGCATGGGGTAATGGTAGATTCAGAGTCAAAACTCTTCCAAGCACTTGTAAATGCTCACAGGCCAAGGGTGTTGATACAAGGGCAATCTGTTACATCCGAGTTATGACACAGTCATTCCTGAGGAATGTCTTTTACAAAACTTACTATGTTACAGCATTCTTAGTAACAAATACAGCAATGGTTCTGAGATAGCAAAAAATAAAAGTTAAATTATATTCAGGGTATTCAATTTATAAGAAATTGGGAAATGTGTAATAATTTTAGGTGCATTTTCACTCAAATGGTTAAAATTAAAAAGTAATCTTAGTTTAACCTTACTGGTTTAATTGAACCTAGCAAACTTGGTATTTGGGGAGGAGGTTTCACTTTTGACAGACAATAGAAACAGTGCTGGTTGGAGCCCTGGTTCAGGAAACAGATTTGGGTTCAGATCTTGGCTCTTCCACTATTAATAGTTGTCTGACATTAAGCAGGAATCTTATTTTTGAGCCTAAGTTTCCTCATCAGTGAAATGCATGGGGCAGTTGTGAGAATTAAACAAGTCAGTTCATGTAAAGTGCTTTGCAGAGCACGTGGTTCACAGTAAGCACTCATGATCACAGTGCTTCTAACCAGCTGCAGCAAGGTTAGAAGAAACTTGAGAAATCAGGTAAGGAGCCCTCAGAAATACAGGTAGAAGGGTTCCCCTGGATTTCCCCACCTTTTTTCTCCCTTGGACAGCATCCCTACGATCTCTTATTTTCACATTTTTCATATTTTATGTGAGTGTATACATTTCTTTCTCTCCTACTAGACCAGGTGCTCTCATCATCCACAAATGTGTACTGAACATAAGCTCTGCCAGGCTCTGTGCTAGGTGGTGGCTTGATAGGTATGAAGGACATGTCCCTGGCCTCAAAGAACCTCCAGTCTAGTAGGACCAGAAGCAAGTAAAGAATACATTATAACCAGAAGCAGAATACATTATAACAAGGGCTGTGGTTGAGGGTCTTGTGGGATCTTCTAAAAGCGCACCTGATATCGTGGGGAATATGAGTACTGGTTTTCTAGGGAAGTTCACATCTGACCTACATCTTGAAAAATCAGTAGTTATTAGCTGGGTGGATATGGGTTTAAAAGGCTTTTCACACAGGCAACAATGTGTGCTGTGGCCTAGAAGCAAAGAATGTGGCTACATCCTAAAGACACTGGTGTGGCAGGAGTATGGAGCCTGTTGGGGGAGTGTGTGGGAAATGAGGCTGCAGAAATCGGTCAAGAATAGATTGTGAAGGTCTTTGTGAGTTATGAAGTTAGAGCTTTATCCTGAAGGTGATTAGGTGCCACTGAAGGATTTGAAGATAGAAAGTGACTACTTTGTCAGCTTTGCCTTTCAGGAACATCACTGTGTGGAAGAGGCAGAATAGTGAATAGCTATTTCCCTCACATGGGGAGTTCTGAGGTTTGCATCCATAGTACCATGCCTACTACACAAGAGTCATAAAATATTTATGCAGGATGAAGGTTAGAATGAGGTAAGACTGGACGGAAGGATAGTTACGCTGGTGCAACATGTGAGCGGCATGTCTGTGTGCTTCCTAGGGCTAGATGAGCAGCAGACCAGGATTTCAGTCATAGCCTGGCCAGTTTCTATTGTGTCACCTTGGATAGGCTTCAGAATGTCATGTCTTCTTGGTTTTCAAATTTGGAAAATGAGGACAAAAATTCCTACCTTGCCAGGTTGCTCTGAGGATTGGAGGGAATAGGTGTAAAAAGCCTGGTCTTGAGCTATTAGTAGATCTATACAAGTAATAGTTTAATAATAAAAAACAGTTATAATATTTCTAATCTTTAGTATATTACCTGGTTCATGGTAGGTGATCACTAGTCTTAAATCTCACTACCTAAAGATGCCAACGTTGTGGGATTTTTTTTTTTTTTTTTTTTTGAGAAAAGTACTCACTCTATCACCCAGGCTGGAGTGCACTGGCATGATATGATCACGATTCACTGCAGCCTCAACCTCCCAGGCTCAGGTGGTCCTCCCACCTCAGCCTCCCAGATAGCTGGTACCACAGGCACTCACGCACCACCACGCCCAGCTAATTTTTTGTGTTTTTTATAGAGATGTGGTTTCACCATATTGCCCACGCTGGTCTCGAGCTCTTGGGCTCAAGTGATCTGCCCAGCTCTGCCTCCCGAAGCGCTGGGTTTACACGCGTGAGCCACTACGGCCAGCCACGTTGTGGTTTTATTTTTGCATTTATTTTAGGTCTTACTAACAAGGATATGCATTTTAAGTGATGGATGATGCTAGGCTGGGAGTGTTAGGCATAAGGGAATTACTCTGAGATCAAAAAGAGACAGTTGATAAGAATGCCATACGGGCCGGGTGCAGTAGCTCATACATGTGATCCCAGCACTTTGGGAGGCCGAGGTGGGTGGATTATCTGAGGTTAGGAGTTCGAGGCCAGCCTGGCCAATGTGTTGAAACCCCGTCTCTATTAAAAATACAAAAAGTAGCTGGGCATGGTGGCAGGCGCCTGTAATCCCAGCTACCCAGGAGGCTGAGGCAGGAGAGTCACTTGAACCCGGGAGGCGGAGGTTGCAGTGAGCCGAGATCGTGCCACTGCACTCCAGCCTGGGTGACAAGACAGGGAAACTCCATCTCAAAAAAAAAAAAAAAATCCCATACAAATTTAAACATTGTTGCTGGGCGCAGTGGCTCATGCCTGTAATCCTAGCACTTTGGGAGGCCGAGGTGGGCGGATTGCCTGAGTTCAGGAGTTCCAGAACAGCCTGGGCAACACGGTGAAACCCCGTCTCTACTAAAATACAAAAAAAAAAAAAAAAAAAAAAATTAGCTGGGCATGGCAGCGTGCACCTGTAGTCCCAGCTGCTCTGGAGGCTGAGGCAGGAGAATTGCTTGAACCTGGGAGGCGGAGGTTGCAGTGAGCCGAGATCACGCCACTGCATTCCACCCTGGGCAGCAGAGCAAGACTCCATCTCCAAAAATAAAAAATTTAAACATTGCTTAAATGCCAACAGTTTATATGGCATTTAGCTATTCCCAACCCTTGCTCAGAAGTGACACAAATGTGTGTGACCATAATATACTCATCAGATGGGGTTGCTAAAACATACACACTTCTCCTCGGCCTGTCATTGCTGACTTCTTCCCCCTGAAATTTTGCTCCTCCTCAGTCATCTTCTGATGATTTTTTTAAAGATAGTAATGGAAGTTTAATTCATATTTATTTTCCATTAGATTCTTTATATGATCATCCTGGCTTGACATGAGTTCCTCCTCTCTCAACTCCTGTAGAACTTAATTTATGTTACTCTGATGAAATGTCATCTACTGCCTTGGCCCATTATTTGTCTATGTATCATAAATTTCCTCTTCCTTGATGTCAGTTTTTCTTGCAAAGTAACTGAAAGGTGGCATGTTTATGTATTTTTAACACAGCTTAAAAACTCACTGAACCCTTTTGTTTGGAATATGTTAAATCAGGAAATTCTGTTACTGAGGATTTAAAGAATGTAGCAGTTGTTCTCTTTGGTCTCGGGATTCCCTTAAAGTTTAAAAATTATTGAGTATTCCCAAATAACTTTCATGTTTGTGAGTATTGTCTGTCGATATTTAATGTTTTAAAAATCACTGAGTACAAAAAAAAAATGATAAAAAATGTTCATGGCTGTGCGCGGTGGCTCACGCCTATAATCCCAGCACTTTGGGAGGCTGAAGTAGGGGGATCACTTGAGCTCAGGAGTTTGAGACCAGCCTGGGCAACATAGTGAAACTTCATATCTACCAAAAATACAAAAAAATTAGCCAGGTGTGGTAGCACATGCCTCTGGTACCCCCTACTTGGGAGGCTGAGGTGGGAGGATTGCCTGAGCCTGGGAGGCAGAGGTTGCAGTGAGCCGAGATCATGCCACTACACTCCAGCCTGGGGGACAGAGTGAGACTCTGTCTAAAAAAAAAAAAAAAGTTCAGCCTGGGTAACATAGTGAGACTACATCTCTTCAAAAAATTAAAAAATTAGCCAAGCATGGTGGCACATCCCTGTAGTCCCAGCTACTAGGGAGGCTGACAGCAGGATTGCCTGAGCCTAGGAGGTTGAGGCTGCAATGAGCTGTGATCATGGTACTGCACTTCAGCATGGGTGGCAGAGTGAGACCCTGTCTCAAAAATCACAATAACCCACAAGCATGCATACTGTTAACTGTGAGAAGAATCGTGGTCACCTCATCATGTTATATAACCTCTAGAAAACTGCTGGACTCTCATAAGAGAATGAGAGTGAACAAGGCAAAGAATGTCTTAGATTGTGAAAATAGTTCTAAACTCATGGACCCCCTAAAAGGGTCTTGGGGACCCTTGAGGGTCCTTGGACTACACTTTGAGAACTGCTGGTATATAGTTACGAGTTTTTGTGTGACTTTTATATCCTTCTGGTAACAACATAAGAATGGAAACATTAAAAACGTCTATTTTCAAAATGCACTCAACAGTTTTCTTTAAAAAACAGCTAGTTTCTAGCCTCTGATAATATTAATGGCAAAAACCACAATTATTTTTGCACCAACCGAAATAGATGTTTATTTTGGAAGGGCAGCTGTGTGTATTTTTGGAGTATCTGCTAGGTGCCATACTGTTTACATTTGCCATCCCAGGAAAGGTCACCAAACTGAGAACAACAACATTTTTGTAGAAGAAAATTATGTAACTGCTCTTTAAGTTCTAGAACTCTTATAAGCACTTGGTGACATGATAACTGGAAAACTTTTTCGTGGTGCAGGTTTCAGAGTTTCTCGCTGTCTCATTGTCAAGTTTAGTTATGATCCTATTTAAAAGATCCTATTACGGGCTTGCTTTGGCAGCACATATACTAAAATTGGAACGATACAGAGAAGATTAGGATGACACACAAATTTATGAAGTGTTCCATAAAAAAATCTTTTTAACATCCAATTTTTACGGAACTAACCATATTGATGTCATCTGTACTACATGAACCGTACTACATTAGGACGTGAATGAGTGAATGGCGGTACCACACACTCTACACTGTGGAATTTTCACACTTCCTGAGGAGTCTTCCTGAACCTCATGTGCGACAGACATCTGACTTAGGGACTGCATGAGGAGGCCGGTGTCCATGAAATTAAACACCAAGAGAGGTTTATAAATAGGAGGTGTGGTATTTTTCTTCCAATACCCTGCTGAATCACTTTGAGTGCCCTTCGAGGTGTACATCCCGTACATCCCCTCTTTGAGGGCAAATGGCCTGGGCTGTTATAATGGCTTCTTCTTGCTCTGTGCTTAGCCTTCTCCAGTCAGTTCTCCATATTGCTACACGAGCAACCTTTCTAAAACATAGATTTACGTCATTTGTTTATGTACGTGGTTCCTCATTGCCAATGGGATAAATTTCAGACTCCTTAGCGTGGCTTGTAATCCCTCTCCTGCCCTTCTGCTTCAGCTTCCCAGAGTCAGTTTAATTCAGGCAACGCCTCTGAAGCTTTTCCTGAGCCTCCCAGACAATTATTAATTCCCATAATCTCATAACATCTGTTCCTTGTTTATTCCATAACTGCACGAATCACCCTGCTCCTTGAGGGCAGGCACCACTCCCTGTGTGTCCGCTGCTTTACTCAGGTGTGTAACAATGACTTTTGCTGGGACTGATAAGATGGCATAGCTGGTAGCATAGTTCCAGCATAGTTACTTTGCAATAGTCCAGCATAGTTTTTCTAAAATATGTCTTTCCTTTCTGAAAAAATACATGAGCAGATAAACAATATGGAACTACTGCATAGGCCTAAAACATGTAAAGTCTCAGAAATAATAGCAAGGAAAGGGAACATTTATATTTTGTTTTTCTTTTTTCTTTTCTAATTTTTTTTTTTTTTTTGAGGTGGGGCCTTGCTCTGTTGCTTAGGCTGGAGTGCAGGGGTGCAGTTACAGCTACTGCAGCCTTGACCTCCTGGGCTCAAGTGATCCTCCCACCTTAGCCTCCTGAATTGCTGGGATTACAGGTGCACACCACCATGCCCCGGTAATTTTTTTTTCTTTTGTATTTTTTTGTAGAGATGGGGTTTTGCCATGTTGCCCAGGCTGGTCTCAAACTCCTGAACTCAAGTGATATGCCCACCTTAGCCTCCCAAAGTATTGGGATTACAGGCGTGAGCCACCGTGCCTGGCCTGTATTTTCTAATGATGTATTTTACACATACAAGAACAGAACAAATAATTATACCTATCATGAATTTTTTTTTTTTTTAAATGAGACGGAGTTTCACTCTTGTTGCCCAGGCTAGAGTGCAATGGCATGACCTTGGCTTACTGCAACCTCCACCTCCCGGGTTCAAGCGATTCTCCTGCCTCAGCCTCCCGAGTAGCTGGGGTTACAGGCATGTGCCACCACACCCGGCTAATTTTTGTATTTTTAGTAGAGACAGGGTTTCTCCATGTTGATCAGGCTGGTCTTGAACTCTTGACCTCAGGTGATCTGCCTGCCTTGGCCTCCCAAAGTGTTGGGATTAGAGGCGTGAACCACCACGCCCGGCTCTATCATTAAATCTTTTTTTTTTTTTTTTTTTTTTGAGGCAGAGTCTTGCTCTGTCGCCCAGGCTGGAGTGCAGTGGCGCGATCTTGGCTCACTGCAAGCTATCCCTCCCTGGTTCACGCCATTCTCCTGCCTCAGCCTCCCGAGTAGCTGGGACTATAGGCGCCCGCCACCATGCCCAGCTAATTTTTTGTATTTTTAGTAGAGATGGGGTTTCACTGTGTTAGCCAGGATGGTCTCGATCTCCCGATCTCATGATCCGCCCGCCTCGGCCTCTCAAAGTGCTGGGATTACAGGCGTGAGCCACTGCGCCTGTCTATCATTAAATCTTAATATGCCATCTTGCTTGAGTTTTTTTTTATTTTTTAAATAAAGAGAACATTACATTTTTACTGAAAGCCTTCCTAATGTGTTTTTCCCTTCTTCTCCCTCCTTCAACAGAAAAAAGCCACTGTTTGAGTTAAAGGTGTTTAAAGTTCCCATACGTGTTTTTATCCTTCTGCTACATCTTTTTTTTTTTTTTTTTTTTTTTTTTAGGATGGAATCTTACTCTGTCACCCAGCCTGGAGTGCAGTGGAGTGATCTTGACTCACTGCAACCTCCACCTCCCAGGTTCACATGATTCTCCTGCCTCAGCCTCCCAAGTAGCTGAGATTACAGGGGCCCACCACCACGCTTGGTTAATTTTTGTATTTTTAGTAGAGACAAGGTTTCACCATGTTGGCCAGGCTGGTCTCAAACCCCTGACATCAGGTGATCTGCCTGCCTTGGCCTCCCAAAGTGTTGGGATTACAGGCGTGAGCCACCACACCAGGCCTCTTACCTGCTTCTAAAGGGAGTACCTGGCCAGTGACAAAGTATTTTTCAGCTTTACTCTTCTGTTCTCTGTTTTTAAAACCATTGTAGATCATTTGATTTCTACTCAGGAAGTCACTGACTACTCATCTTGCAGGAGTCTGGATCCAATTAAAAGAGAGAAATCACATGGTAATTTGAACAGATAAGGTTTAATGTAAGAATTACTTAACTATTACAGAGAATTGGCGTAATGCTAGATTGGCTAATAAGAAGTAAAGAAATAAGCACATAGAAAGAGGGTTAACATCATCAGCCTTCAGGGGAGTGTAGATCAAAACTACCATGAGATGCTACCTCACACTCTATGGTGGCTGGAATCAAAACAGCAGATAAGAATAAGCGGTGGCTTGGGGCCAGGCACGGTGGCTCATGCTTGTAATACTAGCACTTTGGGAGGCCGAGATGAGCGGATTGCCTGAGCTCAGGAGTTCGAGACCAGCCTGGGCAACATGTTGAAACCTCGTCTCTGCTAAAATACAAAAACAAATCAGGCGGGTGTGGTGGCGGGTGCCTGTAATCCCAGCTACATGGGAGGCCGAGGCACGAGAATTGCTTGAACCTGGGAGGCTGAGGTTGCAGTGAGCTAAGACCATGCCACTGCACTCCAGCCTGGGCAACAAAGTGAAACTCTGTCTCAAAAAAAAAAGAATAAGCGGTGGCTTGGGAGGCTGAGGTGGGCGGATCACTTGAGGTCAGGAGTTGGAGACCAGCCTGGCCAACATGGCGAAAGCCCGTCTCTACTAAAAATACAAAAATTAGCCGGGTATGGTGGCATATGCCTGTAATCCCAGCTACTCTGGAGGGTGAGGCAGGAGAATCACTTGAAACTGAGAGGCGGAGGTTTCAGTGAGCCGAGATCATGCCACTGCATTCCAGCCTGAGCAACAGAGCAAGACTCTGTCTCAGAAAAAAAAAAAAAAAAAAAAAAAAAAAAAGAATAAGCAGTGGCTCACACCTATAATCCCACCAGTTTGGGATTTGAAGTGGGAGGATTACTTGAGCCCAGGAGTTAGAGACCATCCTGTGCAACACAGTGAGACCCCATCTTTACAAAAAATAGAATAATTGGCTAGGCATGTAGTCCCAGCTGCTGAGGAAGCTGAAGCAGGAAGATCGCTTGAGCCTAGGAGGTTGCAGCTGCACTGAGCCAAGGTCATGACACTGCACTCCAGCCTGGACCGCAGAGTGATACCCTGTCTCTTAAAGAAAAAAAGAATAAGTGTTAGAGCTGGTGATGTGGAGAAATTGGAATGCTCATTCACTGCTGTTGGGAATGTAAAATGTGTAGCCACTTTGGGAAACACGCTGTCATTTCTTCAAGCAGTTAAACATAGAATTACCATACAACCAGTAGATGTCATTCTAGGTGTCCTAGTCCATTTTGTGTTACTATAACAATAGCTAAGACTGGATAATTTATAAAAAACAGATTTATTTCTTACAGTTTTGGAGGCTGGGTAGTCCAAGATCAAGGGGCTGGCATGTGGTGAGGGCCTCCTTGCTGTATCATCTCATGGCAGGACCTGGAAGGGCAAGAGAGAGTGAGGGAGAGAGAGAAAGAGACTGAACTCACAGCCTCAAGCCCTTTTATAATTGGCATTAATCCGTTCATGAGGGTGGAGCCCTCATGACCTAAATACCTCTCATTAGGCTTCACCTCCCAGCACTGTTGTATTGGAGATTAAGTTTCCAACACATGCTTTTTTGGGGGACATGTTCAAACCACAGCTCTAGTTACATACCCTCTTCCACTCTTAGGTATATGCCCAAGAGTATGTCCATACAAAAATGTATACGTGAATGTTCATAGCAGCGTTATTCAGCCAAAAAGTAGAAACAACCCAGATGTCTTGCCAGCTGATGAATGGATAAATAAAATATGGTATATTCCTAGGATGAAATAGTATTCAGCAATAAAAAGCAATGAAGTACTGGGCCAGGCATAGTGGCTCATGCCTATAATTCTAGCACTTTGGGAGGCCTAAAGCAGGAGGATTGCTTGAGGCCAGGAGTTCAAGACCAGCCTGGGAAACATAATGAGACCCTTGTCTCTACAAAAGTAAAAAATCAGCCAGGTGTGGTAGTGCATACCTGTAGTTTCAGCTACTTGGGAGGTTGAGGTGGGAGGATCACTTGAGCCCAGTAGTTGGAGGCTGCAGTGTGATATGATCGTACCACTGCACTCTAGCCTGTGCAACAGAGCAAGACCCTGTCTCTTAAAAAGAAAAAAAAAAGAAGAAAAGAAATGAAGTACCTATAATTAAACCTTTTTTTTTTTTTTTTTTTTTTTAATGAGACGGAGTTTCCCTCTTGTTGCCCAGGCTGGAGTGCAATGGCATGACCTTGGCTTACTGCAACCTCCACCTCCCAGGTTCAAGCAATTCTCCTGCCTCAGCCTCCCAAGTAGCTGGGATTATAGGCGTGTGCCACCCCACCCAGCTAATTTTGTAGTTTTAGTAGAGACGGGGTTTCTCTGTGTTGGTCAGGCTGGTCTCGAACTCCCGACCTCAGGTGATCCGCCCGCCTCAGCCTCCCAAAGTGCTGGGATTACAGGCATGAGCCACTGTGCCTGGCTCTTTTTTTGTTTTGTTTTGAGACAGAGTTTCGCTCTTGTCCAGGCTGGAGTGCGATGGTGTGACCTCGGCTCACTGCCACCTCCGCCTCCTGGGTTCAAGCGATTCTCCTGCCTCAGCCTCCTGAGTAGCTGAGATTACAGGCATGTGCCACTGCGCCTGACTGATTTTGTACTTTTAGTAGAAACAGGGTTTCACCATGTTGGTCAGGCTGGTCTTGAACTCCTGACCTAAGGTGATCTGCCTGCCTTGGCCTCCCAAAGTGCTGGGCTTACAGGCGTGAGCCACATACCCGGCCCCCTCATGTATTTTTTTTCAAGCACACTGTAACTGATTGAATAATCAGTTAGTCAACAGACAGTTTTTGAGCACCTACCAGGGATAAAATGGTGAACAAAATAGACATGTTCCCTGCCTGGATCAGCCAGAATATAAATATTAAATTATTGTAAATACTTAGAAAATTATAAGTGCACAATGTAATGGGATAGGGATATATGGGTGTGGTAGGACTATATGACAGGGAAACCTAACCTAAAGCCTGGAGACAGGTAATGCTTCCCTACAGAATTAAGGTTTTAGCTGAGACGTAAAAGATAAGTAAGAGTTGGCTAGATGAAGTGGTGGGGTCAGGAGGGCTTCAGCCTGACATTGGGAAGTAAATAAAGCGGTGGGTCAGAAGGGCTTCAGCCTGACATTGGAAAGGCATGATAAGTTGAAAACACTGAGAGAAGCTCCATGTTGCAGGCTCATAAAAAGATGAGGTGGCAAGAGATGTGGAGGAGAGGTGGGAAGGGGCCAGATGTCTAGGCTTTGTTTAAGGAGTCTGAGACTTTACCCTAAAGAAAATGGGAAATGTATGAAGTTTAAGCCTGGGAGTGAAATAATCCTATCACATTGGCTGCTGTGTGGAGAATGAATTGGGCAGGGGCAAGAATGGATGTAGGAGGCTTACTAGGCTATTGTAGTAGTCCATGCAAAAGGTTATGGTGACTTGAATTAGGATGGTGGCAGTGAAGAGGGAGGGATGTGTGGCTTCAGGAAGTATTTAGGGATAAAATTTGTAGGACTTGATTGATTATGTGTGCAGGATGAGAGTGAGGAGGAGTCTAGTGTCAAGGCTAATTTCCAGGTTTCTTACAGAAGCATCTGTGAAAGGGTTGACTTTGATTGAGATAGTAAATGCTGGAGGAAGAGTAATTCCTCGGGGTGAAACATCTAGATGATGAGGTATAGCAAGAAGTTACATACTTGGACTTGGAACTCAGAAGGGATATCTAGGCTGAATATGTAAAATTTAGGATAGTGACATAGTTTGGATATTTGTTCTCTCCAAATTTAATGTTGAAATTTGATCCCCAGTGTTGGAGGTGGAGCCTAGTGGGAGGTCTTTGGGTCATGGGGGCGGATCCCTCATGAACTGCTTGGTGCAGTCCCTGCATAATGAGTGACTTCTCCCTCAGAGCTGGTTATTTAAGAGGGTAGCAACCCTCCCCTCTCTCTCTTCCCTCCTTTTTTTTTTTTTGAGATGGAGTCTCGTTCTATTGCCCAGGCTGGAGTGCAGTGGCATGAAGTGGGCTCACTGTAACCTCAGCCTCCCAGATTCAAGTGATTCTTCTGCCTCAGCCTCCTGAGTAGCTGGGATTACAGGCACGCACCACCACACCCAGCTAAGTTTTGTATTTTTAGTAGAGACGGGATTTCACCATGTTGGCCAGACTGGTCTCAAACTCCTGACCTCAGGTGATCCACCTGCCTCGGCCTCCCAAAGTGCTGGAATTACAGGCGTGAGCCACCACGCCCGGCCTTCCCTCCTCTCTTGGCATGTGATATCTGCTCCCTTTCCGCTTCTGCCATGAGTGGAAGCACCCTGAAGCTCTCATCAGAAGTGGATGCTGCTGCCTTGCTTCTTATACAGCCTACAGAACTGTAAGCCAAATAAACTCGTTTCTTTAGAAATTACCCAGTCTCAGGTATTTCTTTTTTCTTTTTTTATACCAGTCTCAAGTATTTCTTTTTTCTTTTTTTTAGACAGAGTCTCACTCTGTTGCCCAGGATGGAGTGCAGTGGCATGATCTCAGCTCACTGCAACCTCTGCCTCCTGGGTTCAAGTGATTCTCCTGTCTCAGCTTCCCAAGTATTTGGGTTTACAGGCACACATCACCATGCCTGGCTAATTTTCGTATTTTTAGTAGAGATGAGGTTTCACCATATTGGCCAGGCTAGTCTCGAACTCCTGACCTCAGGTGATCTGCCCGCCTCGGCCTCCCAAAGTGCTGGGATTACAGGCGTGAGCCACTGTGTCCAGCCTCAGGTATTTATTTATAGCAAAGCAAATGGACTAAGAGTCAGCATAATGGTGGTAAACGAAGTCACAGAAGAGGATGACATTGCTTTGGGGATATCTGCAGAATGAGAATGTAAGAAAGCCTAAGATAGCACCCTGAGCTGCTCTCTATATTTAAAATTGTTGTGTGTATATGTAATATATGTATGCATATATATATATGCATTCAAATTATACCTTTAGAATGTATTACTTTTTGGAATGTGTACAAATTATATTGTGTCTAGAGTTGGGGAATATAATTGTAAATATATTTTATTTATTTATTTATTTATTTTTTGAGATAGGGTCTCACTTTGTTTCCCAGTCTGGATTGCAGTGGTGCAATCTCAGCTAACTGCAACGTCTGCCTCCCATGCTCAAGTGATCCTCCTGCTTCAGCCCCATGAGTAGCTGGGACTACAGGCCCTCACCACCACACCTGGCTATTTTCATTTTTTTTTTTTTTTTTGTAGAGATGGGGTTTCGCCATGTTGCCCAGGCTGGTCTCAAACTCCTGAGCTCATGCCATCTGCCTTCCTCAGCCTCCCAAAATGCTGGGATTACAGGCTATTTTATTTTTAAACAAACTCTGCTTGAGTGTTACTATATTTGAGGCACTATGCTGATAAATGCTAGTGATTTAACAGACCTAAGTTATAGGTTCTTTTTTCAAATTGTATGCTAATTATCTGCAGAGGCAGAAAAAGAGACAAGATGTTTTCTAAATGCTATGATGGAGGTGAGCATGGGATGTTATGGAGCACAGTCATGGTGTAGGGCTGTGATTAAGGAAAGCTTGCTGAAGGAACTAACACTTGAACACAGTCCTAAAAGATGAGTGGCAAAGAAGGCAGAGAAAGGCTCTTACCACCTCTCACAGTTTTAGGGGCTGTATAAAGGTCAAATTGCGGGAGGACTGTAAAGTGTCCAGTGGATGTGGCACTTACGAGGTCAGTGGTAAACTCATTTACCACAGTGACAGGTGGGATTAGAAGCCAGATCAGACCACAGAGTTGAAGAATTAATGAGAAGAGAGAAGTCAGAAGTCCTCTAAGGTGGGGCCTGAGTTTCTGTGTTTCGGTGTCCTCGCTGCCATGTGTAATCCCTAGCACATAGTGTTTGTCCTATTAGCTTTGGACAGAAGAGAGCCACTTCCCTCTCTGGGATAAGATGCATGTATGTGGAGAGGATGTGTCCAAATCGCTGTGCTCCATCTGCATTCTAGAGGGAGCATCTGCAACTCTTTACCTGCATGCTTTTTTCTTTTTTCTTTTCTTTTCTTTCTTTTTTTTGAGATGGAGTTTCACTCTTGTTGCTCAGGCTGCAGTGCAGTGGTGCAATCGGCTTACTCCAACCTCTGACTCCCAGGTTCAAGCTATTCTCCTGCCTCAGCCTCCCAAGTAGCTGGGATTATAGGCATGCACCATCACGCCCAGCTAATTTTGTATTTTTAGTGGAGACGGGTTTTACCATGTTGGTCAGACTGGTCTTGAACTGACCTCAGGTGATCCACCCACCTCGGCGTCTCAAAGTGCTGGGATTACAGCATGAGCCGCTGCGCCTGGCCTGCATGCTTTTTTCTGACCATACAGGGAGGCCAAGTGCAGTCCCACAGCCAGAATTCTCTGTCTTAAATCTACTTCTAGCATTTTTATTTTTTATTTATCTTTTTCTGTCTCTCATGGTTGAGTGCCTGATACTCTTATTAAATTTAATTAATTAATTAATTTTTTTGAGACAGTGTCCCACTCTGTCACCCAGGCTGGAGTGTACTGGCATGGTCTCAGTTCACCGCAGCCTCCACTTCCCAGTCTTAAGTGATCCTCCCACCTCAGCCTCCTGAGTTGCTGGGACTACAGGCACGCACCACCGTGCCTAGCTAATTTTTGTATTTTTTGTAGAGACGGTTTCGCTATGTTGCCCAGGCTAATCTCGAACTCTTAGGGTCAAGTGATGTGCCTGCCTTAGCTTCCCAAAGTGCTGGGATTACAGGCGTGAGCCATCGCACCCAGCCTCACGTTTTATTTTTCTCATTTAGTACGATACCAAAAGCATTTCTCTATACCATTAAAAAATTTTTTTAAGTTTATGCAGCCATTTAAAGTGGCTGCATAAACTCTCATTTAGATGTTTATTTGAACATTTAGTTTAAAATTCCTTTCCCTTTTTAACTTTTCATTTTGAAATAACTTCTTATTTACAAAAGAGTTGTAGAAATATTACAAAGAACTCCCATATGTCCCCTTCAGCTAGCTTATTGTGATGTCTGTCAGATTTCTCAACTTCAAAGTTACTCTGTTCCCCTCTGTTAATAATTAGTGAGGAAATAGTTTAAAACTATTTTATATCTTATTTTTTATTTATTTATTTATAAGAGATAGGGTCTTGCTCTGTCACTCAGGCTGGAGTGCGGTGGCATGATCTTAGCTCATTGCAGCCTCTAACTCCTGGGCTCAAGTAATCCTCCCTCCTCAGCCTCCCAAGTAGCTGGGACTACAGGCACATGCCACTATGCCCAGCTAATCTTAAAATTTTTTCTAGAGGTGGAATTTTGCTGTGTTGCCCAGGCTGGTCTTGAACTCTTGGCCTCATGTGATCCTCCTACCTTGGCCTCCCAAAGTGCTAGTATTACAGGCATGGGCTACTGTGCCTGGCCTATATCCCATTTCTTTTTCTTTTCTTGAGATAGAGTCTTGTTTTCTTGTTCAGGCTGGAGTGCAGTGGCACGATCTTGGCTCACTGCAGCCTCCGCCTGCCGAGTTCAAGCAATTCTTCTGCCTCAGCCACACAAGTAGCTGAGATTACAGGTGGGTGCCACCATGCCTGGCTAATTTTTGTATTTTTAGTAATATGGGGTTTCCCCATGTTGGCCAGGCTGGTCTCGAACTCCTGACCTCAAATGATCCGCCTGCCTCGGCCTCCCAAAGTGCTGGGATTACAGGTGTAAGCCATTGTTTCTGGCCCTGTATCCCATTTCTTGTAAAACTTGTATGCATTAATTTTAGCATCCATTGATGTTTCTTGGGTGAATTATTACTATAATGGTTCCTAAATGGTGATTTTCTAATTACATTATTCCTTCTATTTTCATCAGCTGTCGTTTCACTCTGAGAGCTTTCTCCCCCTTTATTAGATTCTTATTTAATGGATTATAATCTGTTATTATCAGTCTTTATCTTGATGCTGAATTGCTCCAGATCTGACCAGTGGGAGCTCCTCAGGCTGATTCCTTTTTCCTTTTGACCTGTCCTCACTCTGAGCATTTTCCCATTTTCAGGCACAACAAGGTGGCCCAGACTTACCTTACGCCTTCTCTGCCCCAGCCTTGGAGTCAGCCATTCTTCCAAGGAGACCTGCTTCCTTTTTTTTTTTTAAGCAATTGTTTATTACACTCCTGCTATATGCTATAAGATGATGAGCAAAACCAGACACAATTTCAGCCCTGGAAGGAGAAAAGGGAGGTCGATATTAATCAAGTAATAACATTAATGGGGGCATTTCTCAAGTGAGAGAAGTGCACTAAGGAAAGAAATGTGATTCTATGGTAGGGTAATAAAAGATCCTTGACTGGGGAGGGGCAGCATACCAGTAATTAACTGATCTGAAGAATCAGTAGAAATTAACTTGGTAAAAAGTGAAAGTGGATGGCTGAGTGGGACCAGCATTCAGAAGGCAGGTGCCTGCAGAGAAAGCCATCAGTTTTAACAAGAAATGCTGTATCAGAGATGAAACTAAACCTATTCCTCATCTTTTCTTCTTGCTTCAAACATAACTTTGAAAAATCATTTATGCTGTCTTTAGCCTCATCCCTTCCCCAAACTTCACATTGTTCTGGGTTTTAGGTGTCTCAAAAATTTTTTTTTTCTCCCGGAAGACCCATGACTCCTCTTGAATATTAAGTGCCTTTTTCTATCTGTGTCCTAAACCTTTTTTAAAAAAATAATTTCAACTTTTATTTTCAATTCAGTGATACATGTTCAGGTTTGTTACATGGGTATTGTGTGATGCTGAGATTTGGAGTATGATTGATCCTGTCACCCATGTACTCAGCATAGTACCCAACAGTTCATTTTTCAACCCTTGCGCCTTCACCCCTCATCCCCATCTAGTAGTCTCCAGTGTCTGTTATTGCCATCTGTGTGTCCGTAAGTACCCAATGTTTAGCTGCCACTTACAAGTAAGAACATGTGGTATTTGGTTTTCTGTTCCTGCGTTAATTTGCTTAGGATGATGGCCTCCAGCAGCAACCATGTTGCTGCAAAGACCTGAATTCATTCTTTTTTTATGGCTGCACCCTGCTTCTTGTTAGTGGAGAATAGTATTTCAAAACCAAGATCTACGGAGGTTATCGTGAGCTGAAATCGCACCATTGCACTCCAGCCTGGGCAACAAGAGCGAAACTCCTTCTCAGAAAACAAAAACAAAAACAAAAACACCATCAAAATCTAGGTACTAGATATGCTTCATGCTGTTGAGATATGACCACTGCCAGGGTCTTTCTGTGGGCAGAGCTAAAGAGTTATATGTTGGGGGGGTGGGCACAGTGGCGCACGCCTGTAATCCCAGCACTTTGGGAGGCCAAGGCAGGAGGATCATTTGAGTCTAGGAGTTTGATACCAACCTGGGCCACATAGCAAGACCCTGTTGCCACAAAAAGTTAAAAAAATTTTAGTAGCTGGGCGTGGTGACACGTGCCTATGGTCCTACCTACTTGGGAAGCTGAGATGGGAGGATCACTTGAGCCCAGGAGGTCGAGGTTGCAGTGAGGTATGATCACGCCACTGCACTCTGGTCTGAATGACAGAAACTGTTTAAAAAAAATTATATGTGTGTATACACACAAATGTACACACACTATCCTCACTATATTTATTTTTATGTCTTTGTATATATAACACACATATATACACATATGTATACACACATATGTACATATACACACACACACATATATATTTCTGTATTATTGTTCGTTTTGAGACAGAGTCTCTCTTTGTCGCCCAGGCTGGAGTGCAGTTGCATGTTCTCAGCTCACTGCAGCCTTCACTGCCTAGGCTCAAGTGCTCCTCCCACTGCAGACTCCTGAGTAACTGGGACTACAGGCACATGCCACCAGGCCTAGCTAATTTTTAAATTTTTTGTAGAGACAATTATTTTTCTTTTTTTTTTTTTTTTTTGAGACAGATTCTCACTCTGTCACCCAGGCTGGAGTGCAGTGCCATGATCTGGGCTCACTGCAACCTCTGCCTCCCCAGTTCAAGTGATTCTCCTGCCTCAGCCTCCCAAGTAGCTGGGATTACAGGTGTCCACTACCACGCCCAGCTATCGAGACAATTTTTTGTAAAGACTATATTGCCCAGGCTGGTCTCAAACTCTTGGGCTCAAGTGATCCTTATTCCTTGGCCTCCCAAAGTACGGGGATTACAGGTGTGAGCCACCATGCCTGGTTATATATTAAAAACCATTTTTTTCCCACTGAATACCTCCAATTTCAATACAAGTCAAAATATTAATTCCAGTTTTCCCTTTCCATATTTGTAACTTTCTTCTCCATCATTGGGAAATCTTGTTCCCATTAGCTTCAATACATTTACTTATCTGGTCAATCCCAAATCACCTGTTGCCACAACCTAGACCCCTCACATGGACTAATGTCCCTCTCTCCCCTTTCACCCCAGGCATGTGTGACTCTCCCTAAAGCCTACTGGTTTTTAGATTATTTAGAAAGGAAGGGATAGAGGGACCTCATTTTGTTTATGGATGCATAGTACCTATTTTGTGTATGTACCATAGTTGATTCAACCCTTGTTGAAGGACATTTGGAGTACATTGAATCTTACTCTGTTACGTTACAAATAGTGCTACAATAAGTGGCCATTCACATAAGACTTTTTGTATTTTTGTCAGTGTATCTTTGGGATAGTTTCTTAGAAGTGAGACTATTGGGTTAAAGGGTTAAAAGCATGTGTAATTTTGTTAGATATTTTCAAATCCCTTCCACCACCAGTAATGTATGAAAGCCTGTTTTTACCCCACAGCCTCACTTCTAGAATGTGTCAGACTTTTGTCCTAGCGGCGAGTTTGAAATTACATCTCTCACAGGATCTCGGGATATTGTTCTCCTTGTCTTGGAGGCTTTGGCTTCCTTTAAGCTCTTTTTTGCTCTTTTGTATGTTGTCTACTTTTGGAAATCAGTTTCCTCCTTGGGATTTGTTCTACTCTTGTCATTTGAAGATTGTTTTCCCTAATGGAAAAGACTGAAATAAAACAGGTGATTACTTCAGCCTTCTCACTGCCATATTTGTTGAAAAGAATGGCTGCATCTGTTGACTCACTGACTGTTGTGTGTCTGCCAGAGCCTTGGGCTGTGGTCACTGTATGGTTGTGACAATTCAGCATCACATCTCTTGCATTTGGCACAGAAAGGAGAGGGGTGGTGCCAGCCACTTCTGCCCCCTTCTAAAAGAAAAGAAAATTCTTTCTAAGAGCCACTTGCCTTTTGTGCGCAGACTACTTACAACTTAAATTTTTAGTTGTTCTCAGTGGGAAGTTTGGACAAGATATATAGTTCCTTGTGTAGTTAGAAATACAAGTTTCTGATTTCTTTTTCTTTTCTTTTTTTCTTTCTTTTCTTTTCTTTCTTTTTTTTTTTTTTTTTTAGACAGAGTCTTGCTCTGTTGCCCAGGCGGGGGTGTAGTGATGTCATAATGGCTTACTGTAACCTCAAACTTATGGGCTCAAGCAATCCTCCTACCTCAGCCTCTCAAATAGCTAGGACTACAGGCCCATGCCACCATGCCTGGCTGATTTTTAATTTTTTTCTGGAGACAGGATCTTACTATGTTGCACAGGCTGGTCTCAAATTCCTGGCCTCTCAAAGTGCTAGGATTACAGGCATGAACCACCATGCCTAGCCATCAAGTCTCTGATTTCTATTTCACTTAAAACTTTATGTATTTACTTTTACAAATATAAACATTAAAAATAAATATATGGATAAATAAATACCTTGTCAAAGTATTCCATCTGAACCCACTTTTCAGAGATAATTATTGTCAATAGTTTGGTGCATATTCTTTTATGTATGTACTAGATACTTAGTCTTATTTTTTTTTTCTTTGAGATGGCATCTCACTCTGTCATCCAGGCTGGAGTACAGTGGTGCAACCTTGGCTTACTGCAACCTCAACCTCCTGGGCTCAACAAATCCTACCTTAGCCTCCCAATTGGTTGGGGCTATACCACCAGTACAGGCACATACCACCATGCCTGAATAATATTTTTTTATTTTTATTATTGAGATAGAGTCTCGCTCTGTCGCCCAGGCTTGGAGTGCAGTGGCACGATTTCGGCTCACTGCAACCTCCGCCTGCTGGGTTCAAGCGATTCCCCTGCCTCAGCGTCCCAAGTAGCTGGGACTACAGGTGCGTGCCACCGCACCCAGCTAATTTTTTTTTTTTTTTTTTTTTTTTGAGATGGAGTCTTGCTCTGTCACTCGGGCTGGAGTGCAGTGGCGCGATCTAGGCTCACTGCAAGCTCCACCTCCCGGGTTCACGCCATTCTCCTGCCTCAGCCTCCCGAGTAGCTGGGGCTACAGGCGCCCGCCACCATGCCCGGCTAATTTTAATTTTTTTTTTTTTTTTTTTTTAGTAGAGATGGGGTTTCACTGTGTTAGCCAGGATGGTCTCGATCTCTTGACCTCGTGATCCGCCCACCTCGGCCTCCCAAAGTGCTGGGATTGTAGGCGTGAGCCACTGCGCCCGGCCTAATTTTTTGTATTTTTAGTAGAGACGGGATTTCACAGTGTTAGCCAGGATGGTCTTGATCTCCTGACCTCGTGATCCACCCACCTTGGCCTCCCAAAGTACTGTGATTACAGGCATGAGCCACTATGCCCGGCCCTGACTAATTTTTAAAAAAAATTTTTTGTAGAGACAGGGTCCTACTGTGTTGCCCAGGTTGGTTTAGAATTCCTGGGCTCAAGTGATCAACCAGCCTCAGCCTCCCAAAGTGCTGGGATTACAGGTATGAGTCATGGCGCCCGGCCCTTAATCTTAATTTTTAAATATTATTGTCATCTTCGTTTGTTGTTGCCAGTATGGGGCCATATATGTACATACTATTCTACAGCTAGATTTTTTTTCACTTAGCAGTAGGTTCTAGACACACTTCCCTGTTAGTACATGCAGATATGCCTCATTCTTTCCAGCTGGTACATTATATTCTGCACTGTTATTCTCCTGCCCTGGCAGATACTTTATTCACCTTCGTTTCTTCTGTGTACTGGCAGCTGGTCTCTGTTACCTGCATCATCTGGGCTTCCTTGCCTTCTGGCTTCCAGCTGGGATCAGCTGATAAAAGACACTGCCAGGAGATCTGAGGGCCAATGTTGGGAGGAGTCAGACTATGTTTTATCCCCCACTGTCCCTTGCCATGGTTCTAGTAGCAGCTGTGCTCGTTATCCGTGATCACTGCTCTTGTAGGGTGGCTTCTCTTCTCCAGCCAGCTCTTGCTGGGCTCCAGTGACACCCTTCTCTTCTTTTGCCCTTTGAGGTTGAAGGGTAGAAATAGCTTCCTGCCGTTTCTAGTCCCTGGCTGCTTCACCATTCCTTGTTGGTTCCTTTAAATGCTGCTCACAACAGCTATAAAAAATCCTGTCATTAAACTGCCTTCAGTTTACTCCTTTGCATATGCCATCTCTTTCCTGCTAAGACCTCAATGGATGTGACCAGGGAGACTTACCATAATTTAATTATTGGGTCCCTATTATTGGGCATTTAAACTGTTTCTAGTATCTTGCTGTTATACTCAGAGTTGCTAATGAACATTCATGTACATGTCCTTTTTAATATTTGTTGGAGTATTGTTTGAGAAAAAAGTCATAGGAATAGAAAGACTGGGCTAAGGTATATGAATATTATAAATTTCAATAGATACTTCTAAATTGTTCCCAAAGGAGTCTACCAATTTACATTTCTACAATGTGTTGTTTGATTTTTTTAATAGTAAAAAATTAATGGAGGCAGTACTTGTGACTTCATAAAAAATACTTTTTTTTTTTTTTTTAAGAGACAGCATCTCTCTGTTGCCCAGGCTGATGTGCAGTAGCATGATCATAGCTCACTGCAGCCTCGAACTCCTCAAGCAGTCTTGAGGCGGGCTCAAGCAATCTTCCCGCCTCAGCCTCCCAAGTAGCTGGGACTATAGGCACATGCCACCATGTCCAGCTAATCTTAAAATTTTTTGTAGAGATGGGGGTCTCATCTCATCATCTTGCCCAGGCTGGTCTCGAACTCCTGGGCTCATGCAGTCCTCCTACTTCGGCCTCTCAGGTCTGAGCTGCCATGCTAGGCCCTATGACAAATAAATTTAATTCAGAAGTGTACAAAGGGAAAAGTAAAAGTCCTCTGAGTCTCACCTGCTTCTCATCATCCCATCCTATTCCCTACAGGTAAGCATGCTAACAGCTGTATAGCCTGTCAGGCCTTTCTCCCATTTTTATATGTACATGCTTAGCGTAGAGTAAATTGAGTACATTTATATGTATAAAGTAAACTCATTCGTATGTGTGCGTATATGTATCTCTTTCTCTATTTGAGATAACATATTTCTAGACTCTGTTCTCTTCCATTGACCTGTTTTTTCCTCTGCCAGTACCTATCTACCTTAGTAATTATAGCTTTGAGTTGGTTCGATATCTGGCAAGGCAGATTCTCATCCCATTATTTTTCATTTTAAGAAATTTCTTGGCCCTTCTTGGGCCTGAACTCTTCAGATTATCTTTAGATCCAAGTTCAGAAAATTCATGGATTTTGACTGGAATGAAACTGAATTTATAGAAAACTCACATTTCAGGAAAACTGACATATTTCAAATTGAATCTTCTCACTTAAGAACCTCTTTCACCGGGCGTGGTGGCTCACGCCTGTAATCCCAGCACTTTGGGAGGCCGAGGTGGGTGGATCACGAGGTCAGGAGGCCATCCTGGCCAACATGGTGAAACCCCATCTCTATTAAAAATACAAAAAAATCAGCTAGGTGTGGTGGCGCGTGCCTGTAATCCCAGCTACTCGGGAGGCTGAGGCAGGAGAATCGCTTGAACCCGGGGAGGTGGAAGTTGCAGTGAACCGAGATCGTGCCATTGCACTCCAGCCTGGGCGACAGAGGGAAACTCCATCTCGGGGGGTAAAAAAAAAGAACCTCCTTTGTCTCTTTATTTACTCAGATATTTTATGTTCTTTGGTGAAAGTCTTGCCCATTTCTTGCTAAGTTTATTTTTAGTTATTTTATAGATTTTGTTGCCATCATGAATGGAATTTTTTCACTTTATGTTTTCTTTTCTTTCTTCTCTTTCTTTCTTCTTCTTCTTTTTTTTTTGTTTTTTTTTTTTTTGAGACAGGGTCTTGCTCTGTCACCCAGGCTGGAGTACAGTGGCACGCTCACAACTCACTGCAGCCTCAACCTCCTGGGCTTAAAGGATCCTCCTGCCTCAGCTTCCTGGGTAGCTAGGACCACAGATGCACACTACTAGGCCTGGCTAACTTTTTAATTTTTCTTTTTGTAGAGATAGGATCTCATCATGTTGCCTAGGCTGGCCTCAAACTCCAGGGCTCAAGCAGTTCTCCTGCCTCAGCCTACCAAAGTTCTGGGATTATAGGCGTGAGCCACTGTGCCCAGCCCACCTAACATTTTCTAATTGGTTATTGCTGGTATGGTTTTTAAGAATGTGTTGATTTTTGTAAATTAATCTTATAATCATAATCACCTACTTTATTGAACTTCCTATTCTAATGATTTTTTAGTATATTCTCTTGGCTTTCCTAGGTGGACAATTATCTGTAAATTATAATGTTTTGTCACACCATTATTAATATTTATACATCATTTTTTTCTCTTATGTCATTGTAATTTTGTGGCTGAGATATCTGATTGGGTTTGGTTGAGGGCCTGACCCAGGGCAGTCTTCTTGGCCAATGTTACATTTTACATTTAAGGTGTACCTGCTATGCATCCTTTTACATCAAAGGATGCATAGCAGGTACAGTAGCAGGGTGGGTGAATTCCAGACAGACCTTGAGGATAGAAACAAGGCAGCATTCAATGAATAGAAAGTACAATGACTAGAGCATAGGGCACAAATGAGGTTGAGAGAAGCAAGAGATGGATTGGAGAGTAAATCGAGGCTCAGTCAGAAACCGCTAGGCTGTAAGGAGCAATTACTTTATTCAGAGGAGTTGAGAATTGAATGAAAGCTATGTTAGGCAGAATGGCTCTTTAAAGATATCCACACCGTAATCCCTGGAACCTATGAATTTGTTACTCGACATGGCACAAGGGACTTCACAGATATAATTAAGGTTTTGGGTCTTCAAATAGGGAGATTATCCTGGATTATTAAGGTGGGCCCAATATAATCACATGGGCCCCAAAAAGCAAAGAAGTTTCTCCAGCTGGAAGAGAAGCAAGATATGGCGGAGGGGGAATTTGGAGAGATTCAAAGAGTGAGAGAGCCTGAAGGGGACCACATGGAAAGCATGAAAAGGACTGTAGGCCTGAAGGCTGGCCCCTGGCAGATAACCAGCCGGGAAACGGGGGCCTTGTCCCTACAGCTGCACGAACTGAATTCAGCCAACGGCCTGAGTGAGCATGGAAGTGGATTCTTCTCCAGGGCCTCCAGAAGGGAACACAGCCCTACCAGCACCTTGGTTTTGGCCTTGTGCGACTCTAAGCAAGGATCCAGCTGAGCCTCACCATATCCAGATTTTGGCCTTCAGAACTCTGAGATAATTTTGTGTTGTTTTAAACTGCTAAGTTTGTGACACTTTGCCACAGCAGCAGTAGAGAACGAATGCAAAGGGGTTTAAGCAGGGATATTGTCAGATTTTGTGTTATTAAAAGACTTCTTGTGCCATGTGGAAATGGATTTGGAGAATGTAAATTTGAAGGCAGGGAAACGTGTTTGTGGGAATGCTGTGATAACACAATCTAGGGTAGTGATCATGGGAAGGGGCTATGATTTGAAAAATATCTGGGAGGCTGGAATTGCCAGAACTAGTCAGGGACTGGATGTCGGCGGCTGGGGTGGGGAAGCAAAGATGATTGCTGCTTTCTAGCTTAGGCGCTGGCTGATGATGAAGCTGTTTTTTGAGATGGGGATGAGCAGGTTAGAAGATGCCATGATATGAAAGTGATAACTCTAAGTTATTCTTCATTTGGAAATTCTCTCTATAGATACTTTAAGAGAGAATATATCAATAAGATGAGTGCTTTGTCTTTTAAGAACTAAACTTTTTCTTTTCTAGGTCATTTAGGAAATCGTAAATCATGTGAAGATGGGACTCTTGGTATTTGTGCGCAATCTGCTGCTAGCCCTCTGCCTCTTTCTGGTACTGGGATTTTTGTATTATTCTGCGTGGAAGCTACACTTACTCCAGTGGGAGGAGGACTCCAGTAAGTATAGTCACTCTAGCTCACCCCAGGAGAAGCCTGTTGCAGGTCAGTTACTGGTTTTTCGTGTGGCTGCGTCTCATATTCTTCAGAGATGGGCAATGAGAGTAAACTGAACATTTCTGGGACTTTGGCCTAGAAATTGCCTGCCATTTTAGCTGGTATAGGCTGAGAACTTTGATGTTTTTTAAAAACTGCATGCCATGACAAATCTCAGTTCCTTTTACAAACTTGGTGAGAATGTGCTATTCTTCAATAAAAACCCAAACTATACTCATACTTCTAGTTCTTGAACGCTTTTGTTCTTTCTAATTGCTGTAGCATATTGCCACTCTATTTTGCCATTTATTGCCTTAGGGATTAGTATTGAAGTTGGTTTCCATCTGCCCTTAAAACATTCATCTTTATGTTGAATTTTCAACATAATATTGTCTCTGTTTTGTTTTCCCTAAAGAAACGTTGTCTACTGAATCTTTGTAGCCGTTGCTGCTATTGAACTTGCACCTGGCTACAATAATGGCTTATTTTCCCTACCCAGTAACTCCTAATTTTTTTCTTCTCTTTGTGCACTTTGTCTCATGTGTTACATAGTGTTTTCCACATAGCCTGAATCCCACTGGTTTGGTTTCTGTTTACCTGATGTGGCCTGTGTTTTGGTTCTAGGCTTGCAGTTGAAGGGCTTACATTGATCAGCACCAGCCTTTGCACATTGTTTTCTTGGCTGTAGCTTGAAATATCACACAGTGACCATAGTGGTTTTCTTTTTGGTTATTTTGTCTGACTGTTATCTGAGCTTGGTGTGGGAAATAGTATAAAATCAGAACAGAGTGGCCTGTTTTGACCTGCAGTGATATGTCTTCTCTTAAAATAGTTTTATTTTTACTAACATCTACCAGATACCAGTATAGAACTCACTTGAGAAGAGAGTCAGTCTCTAGGTACAAGGTGAAAGTGAGCTGCAGTGAGTGGGAAGAAGCAACGGGCAATTGGCCTGCTGTTGTTCTAAGACCCTAACATGGGAAGTATTACAGTGAAGTAGCTCATTTATTTCTCCCATGGCTCAAACTACTGAGGCAGTTTCAAGCCAGTTTTTAAAATATAGTGTTATATCCTTAATTTACTGTTTTATATAGAATATTTAAGTGCCTTTTAAATGCTTAGCTTATAATTATCACTAATTACTTGTGTTTCAAAAGTTTACTTAAATTTCTCTGCACTGACTTATTTTTAAAACCAAGGAGACTACCCAGGATAAGGAGTGTTTGTATCAGTGAAATGCAGAATTCTGTATTTAGAGGCATTCATTGTCTGTATTGGTAGTGGTGGATCCATCTCTATCAATAATTTAGATGGAAATGTGTGTGAAGAACAAGGGTCTCCTTTTCCGCTAAGGGCTGCTGACCTGTAGAAGATATAACCAAGGATCAGATAAGATTTTCCTAGATCAGTAGGGAAGGGAATTAACTTTATGGAAGACTCATTGTGTTTCAGGCATTAGGCTAGACAATTTACAAATATAATTTCATTTAATGTAATTCTTACTGCAGTTTTGTGAAGATGCCATTATTATCCCCATTTTCCAGTTGAGCAAACTGAAACACTTTAATTTACCAAGGTTATATTGTTGGAACTGGAATTCAATTCCTGTCTTTAAAACCTATGTTCATTATTTTATTGAAAAATATAATAAATACTGAAGGCAGAACTTAATTTAATATTCTACCTGGTAAAAAGAGAGAGAGAAAGGGGCTCAGAGAAGTAATAGTAGAGAGTGTCAGGAAGGGGGTGTGAAAAGAAAAGGAGGGAAAGAGAGAAAGTTATCAAAAGAAGACAGAGAGGCTTATTAGGTTTGAAGGTGACAAGCTGCTATTCACTTGGGCCGTAGGCTTCAGAAGTTTATTGCTAGTTATCTGCTGTCCTTTCCATTAATTGTTAGCTGACTAACCAGTATTTATAGCTTTTCTATTCTGACTCCTAAGCCTTTTAGATGTTTGACTTTGAATAGGTTGTTTAGACCATCTGACCAAAGCATACTATTTTATGTGCTGTAATATCAGAGAACAGAGTAATAGGACCCACCCTGCATGGCTTACTAAATCAGACGGGTCCTCTTTGTTTTTTTTTTGTTTTTTTTTTTGAGATGAGGTCTCACTCTGTTGCCCAGGCCAGAGTGCAGTGGTGCAGTCATAGCTCACTGTAGCCTCAACCTGCCAGGCTCAAGCGATCCTCCTACCTCAACCTCTCGAAGTAGCCGGGACCACAGACTCACACCACCATTCCTGGCTAATTTTTGTGTCTTTTGTAGAGATGGGGTTTAGTCATGTTGCCCAGGCTGGTCTCAAACTCCTGGGCTCAAGTGGTCTGCTTGCCTTGGCTTCCCAAAGTGGTGGGATTCCAGGCATGAGCCACTGCGCCCGGCCGGAGAGGAGTCCTTTACTTAGAGTCAAGCTGAAGGAGCATCACAACCCCAAAGACTGTTATGTTGTGAAATTTAGGCTGTGTTTTAATAATACTGATGATGATAAGATGAAATAGTAATTTATTGATTACTATATCTACTATATGTCCGTAAGATAGCAGGGTCTTTATACTCGGAATCTCATTTGATCCTCATAGTTTTTATTGGTTATTATTATCCTCATTTTACAGATACAGAAACTGAGGCTTCAGAGAGGCTGTGTAATCAAGAGTTTGTATGCCTTTCATCTGAGGAGGTTGAGGACAATCCCAAGTTAGAAAAATAAATGTCTTTAGCATTATTTTTCCTTAATGTTTAGAATATTAATAAGTTACTCAGATAATCTATTGGAATTTCTTCATGGCAGGGGGAAGAGGCTAGAGTTGGTTTTTGGTTTTTGTTTTTGGCACAGGGTCTCACTCTGTCACCCAGGCTAGAGTTTTGTGGTGTGATCTCGGCTCACCGCAGCTTCAACCTCCTGGGCTTCTACCTCAGCCTCCCAAGTAGCTGGGACTACAGGTGTGCACCACCACGCCCAACTAATTTTTCAAAATTTTTTTGTAGAGATGGGGTTTCTCCACGTTGCCTAGGCTGGTCTCAAACTCCTGAGCTCAAGTGGTCTTCTCACCTCAGCCTCCCAAAGTGCTGGGATTACAGGCATGAGCCACTGCACTTGGCCTGAGGCTAGAGTTTTTATTATTATATTATTCATTCAGTAAGCAGTATGTTCTTATTATGGTCCATGTACTGTTCTGGGTAAACTGGATATAAGATGAACATAGGCCTTCATACTCTTAGCCTATAATATGAGAACAAAACACAACAATTATTATAATATACTGAGTTCTAAAAGAGCAATCTGTGTGAAATGCTGTGTTGGAGCATAGGATTCCTTCCAGAGAGAAAATTTATGTTTTCATTAATTCCAAGGTGTATTGTAGAGGGCTACAAACTGCTTTGTCTTGGGTAGTTTAGAGACACTTGTGACCTAGGCTTGGTCAGGTTGCCAAGACTTGAGTCAAATGCTTAATGTGAAAAGCTTCAAGTATGAAAATAGTCTAGTTATCAACCTGTTTTAAAAAGTAGTGTAGAATTATTATACATGTAGTATGATAAAATATGTACGCATACATATATTTTTAATATATATTTTAATTAATGAACAAATCACCAGTATCTGGAGTTAGAAGGAGTTGGGTGTGCTTGATTCTTCATCTCCAAAATGAAGATAAAAGACTTATTTCTTGGCCGGACACAGTGGCTCACACCTGTAATCCCAGCACTTTGGGAGGCCGAGGTGGGCGGATCATGAGGTCAGGAGATCGAGACCATCCTGGCTAACATGGTGAAACCCCGTCTCTATTAAAAATACAAAAAATTAGCCAGGTGTGGTGGCGCGCCCCTGTAGTCCCAGCTACTTGGGAGGCTGAGGCAGGAGAACCGCTTGAACTCGGGAGGCAGAGGTTGCAGTGAGCCTGGGCCACAGAGCAAGACTCAGTCTCAAAAAAAAAAAAAAAAGACTTATTTCTCTTTGCTCTGATGCTTTATTTAGGTCAGTACCTTGTATAGGAGTCGGGTAGTTGCCTCTTTGCAATAGCCCTTATTTCACAATGGTTCATTTCATGGAAGCCTTGCATATTTTTATTAATTTAAAATTTTACTTATTTCTGCTGGGTATGGTGGTTCACATCTGGAATTCCAGCACTTTGAGAGACTGAGGAGGGAGGATTTCTTGAGGCTGGGGGAATTATTTGAGGCCAGGAGTTTGAGACCAGCCTGGGTAATGTCACGAGGCCTTGTCTCTACAAAAAAATTAAAAAATATTATCCAGGCATAGTGGTGCACACGTGTACGGCGAGTGGTATAGCTACTCAGGAGGCTGAGGTAGGAGGATCACTTAGGCCCAGGATTTCAAGGTTGCAGTGAGCTATGATTGTGCCACTGTACTCTAACCTGGGCAACAGCATGAAACCTTGTCTTAAGAAAGAAAGAGAGAGAGAGAAAGAGAAGGAGAGAGGGAGTGAGGGAGGGAGGAAGAGGGAGAGAGAGAGACAGAGAAAGGGAGCGAGGAAGGGAGGGAGGAAAGAAGGAAGGGAGGGAGGAAAGGAGGAAGGAAGGAAGGAAAGAAGGAAAGAAATTCATTTCTAATTAATAAAGTAGATCTTTCATAGGATTAGTTTCCTGTGCTGTGAGACCTTTAAAAATTCATGACTGGGTGAGGTGGCTCATGCCTATAATCTCAGCACTTTTGGAGGCTGAAGTGGAAGGATTGCTTGAGCCCAGGAGTTCAAGACCAGCCTAGGCAACATAGGGAGACCCTGTCTCCACAGAAAAATAAAAAAAATTAGCTGAATGTGGTGGTACATGTCTATGGTGCCAGCTACTCGAGAGGCTGAGGTGGGAGGATCGTTTGAGCCCAGGAAGTCAATCAAGGCTGCAGTGAGCTGTGGTCACGCCACTGTACTCCATCCAGCCTGTGTGACAGAGTGAGACCCTGTCTCAAAAATGTTTTAAAAATTAAATTCATGCTACTGTGTTTATCAATTATTACAGCTCCCTTTGTGTTCTTCCTCATATTTATAAAAGATTATAACCAGATAAATTATAAAATATGCATTCAAATTATAAAGTACACATTGTTGATCTGATTGCCCTGGAGAATACTCTCTGGCACAAAAGCGGAAGTTGGATCTGATATTAGGAGGACAGGTTGAAGTGAGTTTAATAGACGTAGGACATTGTATTAACTCTTAGTTTTCTGTCTTAAAAATGAAGAGGAGGCTGGCATTTCTGGCCATGTTTCTGGCCTCTGGCTTAGGGAGGTACTCTGCTTCCCATGGTAAGGAAGTAAGTGGTATCAGAACTAGCCTCCTCTCTATAGGAAGCTATAAAACTGGACAAAAGAAATGAAGCAATTGTGTCAGCCTGTAGACAACAGGCAGCGTAAAATTTCAGTTCCTAAGAGAAGGAAAACTCGAGGTGAGCGCCACATTTGCTCAGTTTTCTGTCTGAGGACGGTTTCCCAACCCTGTTCTGTGAGTGGAGTCTAAACAGGCTGTGATGATTTCCCCTGAGCTGAAGAGGCAGAGGTCAGAGTTTGGGCAGCTGAAGCAGTTGGAATCTGTGGGGTGGACCATCATAGGGTAGGGAATTGTTCAGCAAGAGGGTCTCAGAAGTCTGTGGGGGCATTCCTGTGAGGCTGAAGCTAAGGACTGGCCTATTATTTATACATGGGGTGAAGCCACCTGAAGCTTACCATATAGACAGCAGCTGGTACAGGATGAATAGAAAAGAGATACTGGAGGTCAAGTCCTGTTGGGGTGAAAGCAATGCCAGGAACGCTGATGGTCCAGCCCTACCAGTAGAAAGATCTCATTAACACTTTGTTAACACCCCTGGCGTCCAGCTGAGACCCCAGACAGGCCATGCCTTATGAATAAAGATCTTACCCAAGAGTAAGATCTACCGTAGACCCGCCCTAACAAGGCCTAAAGCCAACCCCCAGCAAGACAGATTTCAAAGTTTGGGTCTTATCAAGAGAGGTCAAAAATGCCATGGGCTTTCCTCAGATCCACACTCATGATGCATAAAATCAAGACCACACAAATTCAGGGCCGTCAGGTAGTCATTGAACCATCTGCTAAAATACAAATTGACACTCTTCATAGGAAGATAACAGTATTCATAGTTTTTATGTGTAATATCCACAGTGGCTAATGTTCAAAAAAAGTTACTAAGACATGCAAAGAAACAGGAGAATATCCATATTCAAGAAGAAAAATCTATGGATAAGATGGCCTCAGTGTTGCACTTAGCAGACAAAGTAACTATTATGAATATATTTAAATAATTAAAGGAAAATACAGTAGTGAACAATGAGTAGTCTCAGCAGAGAAATGGAATCTATAAAAAAGAACCAAATGCAAATTCTAGACCTGAAAAGTGTAGTAACTGAAATGGAAGTTTCACTTAACAGCAGATTACATAAAACGGAAGAAGCCCATGAGTTTGAAGAGAACACAATGGAAATTATCCAGTCTGAACCACAGAAAGAAAGATCGAGACCATCCTGGCCAACATGGTGAAACCCTGTCTCTACTAAAAATACAAAATTTAGCTGGGCCTGGTGGCACGTGCCTGTAGTCCCAGCTGCTTGGGAGGCTGAGGCAGGAGAATTGCTTGAGGCGGAGCTTGCAGTGAGCCGAGATCGCGCCACTGCACTGCAGCCTGGTGACAGAGCGAGACTCCGTCTCAAAAAAAAAAAAAAAGACAATTGGGCAGGAAAAAAAATAACATTTTATTTTTTGAAAATTAATTTCCCATACTTACTCATCTGAAGGAAAAAAAAATAAATAATGGCTGAAAACTTCCTAAGTTTGATGAAAACCATTGACTTACAGAACCAAAACAGAGCCCCCTTATAGAGCCAACCCCAAGAAAGATAAATATTGGGGGAAAAAACCTAGGTACATCATAGTTAGACTTCTGAAATCTAAAAATAAGGAGAGGCTGCTGCTGGTGCTGCTGATGAGCTCATTTGGTGTGGACATGGTGCCTCTTTAGTGAAGCAGCAACTGATATCTCTGGTGTTCCCTGTGGCCCATG
The DNA here is from genome assembly GCF_000001405.40 of Homo sapiens. Taxonomy (NCBI): domain Eukaryota; kingdom Metazoa; phylum Chordata; class Mammalia; order Primates; family Hominidae; genus Homo; species Homo sapiens. The sequence continues at coordinate 43,743,441 of NC_000001.11, forward strand.
AAATGCCAAGAGAGGTGTCAACACTTAAGAGCAACGATCATACTAATTTGAAGGTGGTGGGGCAGATTGGTTCTGTGGTGCAGTTTAAGATTAAGAGGGATACACCATTTAGTAAACTAATGAAAGCTTATTGTGAATGAGAGGGTCTGTCAGTGAGGCAGATCAGATTCCCATTTGACAGGTGGCCAATCCATGAAACAGGCACACCTGCACACCTGGAAGTGGAAGATGAAAGTACCATTGCCATGTTCCAGTAGCAGACAGGTGTCTACTACAAAGGAACCTGCTACTTTAGTCCAGAACTCCATTCTTACAGAGCAACAATACATTCTCAGTTAGAAAACTGCAATTTGGTTCTGCCACATCCTGACTACTACAGTATAGTATTCTCTATTCTTTCATTCCCCCCCCCCCCATTCCTATATTACATGTAGAGTAAGTGGTGTGTGTACACACGCATATTGTACTTTTAAGAAAACAAAATGGCCAATGGTATGTTTTGATTACCATCAAATGGATATGGGATGGGGAAAGATACTGGTTCTGTGAAAATACTCTTTCTCCATTAGTGGCATGCTTATCTTTATATTCCAGTAACTTAATTTCCTCTCACTATTTCAACAAAAAAGCCAACATGAAAAATCCTTGCATACCTTGTTTGATTGGAGAATTTTAATGTTTTTTATTTATCATCATAAAACCAAAGACAGTTTTACAATTTTTTGTATGTAGGTGTTTCATATAGAGAAGTCTGTCTTTAAGGCGGGTAATTACTCTTAAAAATGAATCCTAGTTTTTCCTTCAAATCAAGCATCTTCTTTTTTTTTTAGACAGAATCTTGCTCTCTCGCCCATGCTGGAGTACAGTGGAGTGATTTTAGCTCACTACGACCTCCACCTCCTGGGTTCAAGCGATTCTCCTACCTCAGCCTCCCGAGTAGCTGGGATTACAGGCACCCGCCATCATGCCCAGCTAATTTTTGTAGAGACGGGATGTCACCATGTTGGCCAGGCTGGTCTCGAACTCCTGACCTCAGGTGATCTGCCCGCCTCGGCCTTCCAAAGTGCTGGGATTACAGGCGTGAGCCACCACACCTGGCGGCATCATCTTCTTTAAATAAACTTCTCGTTTAAAAAATAAACAGTGAGCTTGCAGTGAGCCAAGATTGCACCACTGCACTCCAGCGTGGGGGACAGAGCGAGACTCCCTCTCAAAAAATAAATAAATAAATAAATAAATAAATAAATAAAATAAAATAAAAAATAAAATAAAATATAATAGCCTGGCGTGGTGGTTTATGCCTGTAATACCAGCACTTTGGGAGGCTGAGGCAGGCGGGATCACCTGAGGTCAGGAGTTTGAGACCGTGAAACCCCATCTCTACTAATAATAATACAAAAATTAGCTTGGCGTGATGGCATGTGCCTGTAATCCCAGCTACTTGGGAGGCTGAGGCCTGAGAATCGCTTGAACTCGGGAGACAGAGGTTGCAGTGAGCCAAGATCGTGCCACTGCATTCCAGGCTGGGTGACAGAGTGAAACTGTGTTTGAAAAAAAAGAAAAAAGAAAGAAAGAAAGAAAGAAAAATAGGCTCATGCCTGTAATCCCAACACTTTGGGAGGGCTGACTTAAGGTCAGGAGTTTGAAATCAGCCTGGCCAACTGGGCTATACAGGAAAGATGAAGACCACTGGAAATGGTAAATGGTAGGCAAATATGACTCTCTTTCCTTCTTCTCATAACTTTCTTAAAAGACAACTAATTGTTTAAAGCAAAAATAATAACCCAGTAAAGTGAGATTTTGGACATATGTAGAGGTAAAAGATATGTCAACACTTGCATAAGGGATGGGGGATGGGTAAATGTAATTTTACTGTACAAGGTTATATTTGTGAAAAAAGAAGTAAGTGGGAAACAAGAATGTTTTATATAAAGTGAGAAAAGGAAAGGGTAAAGTAATAAATATGAAATGTCAGATTTGAAGAGGTATTATACTGACTCTAAATAGACTGATAAGTTAAGGATGAGTATTGTTAGCTCTAGAACAACTACTTAAATAACACAACAAAAAGAGACAAACAGTCATACACTGCATAGCAGCATTTTGGTCAGTGACAGACCACATATGCAAAAGTGGTTCCGTAAGATTATAATATCATATTTTTACTGTAGCTTTTCTATGTTTAGATATGTTTGATTGATTGATTGAGACAGAATCTCACTCTGTAGCCCAGGCCAGAGTGCAGTGGCATGATCTTGGCTTACTGCAGCCTCCGCCCTCTGGGTTGAAGCAATTCTCATGCCTCAGCCTCCCGAGTAGCTGGGACTACAGGTGCATGCCACCACACCCAGCTAATTTTTCTATTTTCAGTAGAGACAGGGCTTCGCCATGTTGGCCAGGCTGGTCTTGAACTTCTCACCTCAATTGATCTACCTGCCTCAGCCTCCCAAAGTGATGGCATTGCAGGCATCAGTCACTGCGCCTGACCTAGATATGTTTTGATACGCAAATACCATTGTGTTACAATTGCCTACAGTATTTCAGTACAATCACATTTCTAAATACACTCTATGATATTTGCACAATGACGAAATTGCCTAACAGCGCAGTTCTTAGAATATATCCCTGTCGTTAAGTGATGCATGACTATATCTGAGAAGCTATCAGAAGAAATAAAATGGAATACTAAAAAATATTTAGTCAGTCCCAAAGAAGGAAGGAAATTTTGACACATGCTGCAGCATGGGTGGACCTTGAAGGCATCATGTTAAATGCGTAAGCCAGTAACAAAAGGACAAATACTGTAAGATTCCTCTTATACGAGGTTCCTAGAGTAGTCAATTCATAGAGACAGAAAGTAAAACATGGCTGCCGGAGACTGGAACAGAGGGGAGCGGAGAGTTCAATGGGTTCAGAGTTTCAGTTTATAAGATGAAAAGAGTTCTAGGGCTGCATGGTGGTAATGGATGTACAACAGTGTGAATGTACTTGATGCCACAGATGTGTAAACTTAAAATGGTAATTTTTTTTTTTTTTTTTTGAGATGGAGTCTCACTCTGTCACCCAGGCTGGAGTGCAATGGTGCAATCTCGGCTCACTGCAAGCTCCGCCTCCTGGGTTCATGCCATTCTCCTGCCTCAGCCTCCCGAGTAGCTGAGACTACAGGAGCCCGCCACCACATCTGGCTAATTTTTTGTATTTTTAGTAGAGATGGGGTTTCACCATGTTGGCCAGGATGGTCTCAATCTCCTGACCTTGTGATTCACCTGCCTTGGCCTCCCAAAGTGCTGGGATTACAGGTGTGAGCCACTGCGCCTGGCCTAGTTTTTGTTTTTTTTTTTGAGACAAGTCTCACTCTGTCACCCAGGTTGGAGTGCAGTGGCGCCATCTCGGCTCACTGCAACCTCTGCCTGCTGGGTTCAAGCAATTCTTTTGCCTCAGCCTCCCAAGTAGCTGGTACTACAGGCATGTGCTACCATGCCTGACTAATTTTTTTTGGTTGTTTAGTAGAGACGGGGTTTCACCATATTGGCCAGGCTGGTGTCAAAATCCTGACCTCAAGTGATCCACCTGCCTCAGCCTCCCGAAGTGCGAGGATTACAGGCGTGAGCCACTGCGCCTGGCCTAAAATGGTAAATTTTATGTTGCATTATCTTACCACAATAAAAACGTAAAACAAAAAAATGAGGCCGGGCACAGTGGCTCACGCCTATAATCCCACCACTTTGAGAGGCCAAGGCGGGCAGATCACCAGGTCAGAAGTTCGAGAGCAGCCTGGCCAGCATGGTGAAACCCCATCTCTACTAAAAATACAAAAATTAGCCTGCCGGACATGGTGGCACGTGCCTGTAATCCCAGCTACTCGGGAGGCTGAGGCAAGAGCATCGCTTGAACCCAGGAGGCGGATATTGCAGTGAGCCGAGATCATGCCACTGCACTCCAGTCTGGGTGACAGAGTGAGACTCCATCTCAAACAAACAAACCAGCCAGAGGCAGAGATACCTGGGGTGAAGGATGGGGAAACGGGCCCAGGGCTTCCATGCTGTCTCCAGGCATGCCACTCTCCCGCACCTCCACGTGTTCAACGGTCTGGGAACTCTGCAGACCCCATAGCTCAGGGATTTTTTTTTTTTTTTTTTTTTTTGAGATGGAGTCTCGCTCTGTTGCCCAGGCTGGAGTATTATCTCCAGCCTGCAATGGCACCATCTTGGCTCACTGCAACCTCCGCCTCCCAGGTTCAAGCAATTCTCCTGCCTCAGCCTCCCGAGTAGCTGGGATTACAGGCGCCCACCACCACCTCTGGCTAAGTTTTGTACTTTTAGTAGAGACAGGGTTTCACCATGTTGGCCAGGCTGGTCTCAACCTCCTAACCTCAGGTGATCCGCTTGCCTTGGCCTCCCAAGGTGTTGGGATTACAGGTGTGAGTCACCATGCTTGGCCAGCTCAGGGATTTTTATGGAGGATTCGTTACGTATGCAGGATTGACTAAATCACTGGTCATTGGTGATAAACTCAACTTTTAGCCCTCCAAACACATTGTTGGTTCCCCTGGTAACCAGCCCTCATCCCGAGGGACTGTCCAGGAACCCACTAAGAGTCACCTCATTAGAACAAAAAATGCTCCTACCACCCAGGAAATCCCAAGGGATTTAGGAGCCCTGTCTCAGGAACTAGGAGCAGAAACCAAATATATATTTCTTACTATATAACAATATCACACAATATATAAAACTCAGTTGCGTTTCTATATACTGGAAGCACACAAATAGAAAATAAGATTAAACAACATTATTTGCAATAGCATCAAAAAAATAAGATACTTAGAAATAAATCTAAACATATGCAAGACCTCTACACTGAAAACTATAAAAATACTGCTGAGAGGAATTAAAGATCTAAAGAGATTAAATAAAGACATCTAAATAAGGAGAGATTTATGATGCCTATGTATTGGAACACTTAATATTGTTAAAACAGCCCCCATTTTTTTTTTTTTTTTTTTTTTTGAGCCAGAGTCTGGCTCTGTCATCCAGGCTGGAGTACAGTGGCAGGATCACAGCTTACTGCAGCCTCAACCTCCCCAGCTTAAGCAATCCTCCTGCCTCAGCCTCCTAAGTATCTGGGATTACAGGCATGCCCAGCCAATTTAAAAAAAAAATTTTTATAAAGACAGGGTTTTACATTGTTGCCTAGGCTGGTCCTGAACTCCTGTTGTCAAACAGTCCTCCCACCTTGGCCTCCCAAAGTGTTGAGATTACAGGTGTGAGCCACCTTGCCAGACCTGTTTTTAATTTTTATGTTTTATTTTTGCAGAGATGAGGTTTTGAGTTGTTGCCCAGGTTGGTCTTGAACTCCTGGCCTTAAGTGAAGATCCTCATTCTTTCAAGATTGATCTATAGATTCATGCAATCCTAATTAAAATTTCAGCAGGCTTAAAAAAAGAAATCAATAGCTGATTCTAAAATTTATATGAAAACACAAAGAATCTAGACTTTGGAAAGTAGAAGTTAGAGAGCTTACACTACTTCACTTCAAGTCTTACTGTGGTAATCAGGACAATACAGTATTGGTGAAAGATCAGTAGACAGAATAGAGTCCAGAAATAGACCATGCATATGTAGTCAATTGAATTTTGATAAAAGTAATAACATAATTCAGTGGGATAGGGAGTCTTTTCAATATACTCTGGTGCAATAACTAGATATCTATATAGAAAAATAAGGAACCACAATTCCTACCTCACACCATATACAAAAATCAATTTTAAGTGGATCGTAGACCTAAGTGTAAAATTTATAGAAAAGGAGAAAATCTTCATGCTGTTGTGGTAGCACAAAAAGCATTAACCATAAAAGAAATATTTATCAATTGTATCCATTGAGATTCTTTCTGCTCTTCAAATTGTTCCATCAAGTAAATAAAAAGCAAGCCACATGCTGGGAAAAATATTGACAAGATACATTGGGCAAAGGACTTGGATCCAGAAGATATAAGGAACTCTTACAACTGAATAAGGAGGCAAACAACCTAGTTAAGGAGTTGACAGAGTACTTTTGGGAGACCAGGTGGGAGGGTCACTTGAGCCCAGGAGTTCAAGATCAGCCTGGACAACACAGTGATACCCCATCTTAAACAAACAAACAAAAAAATGAACAACAAAAAGAAACTGACAAAGGACTTGAACAGATATTTCATACAAAAAAAATTACAAATGACTGATAAGCACCTTGCTATGGTTTGAATGTTCTTGTCCCTTCCAGAAATTCTTGTGTTAGAAACTCAATCCCCAGTGCAACAGTGTTGGGAGATGGGACCCTTTGGGAAGTGATTGGGTCATGAGTGCTCTGCCCTCATAAATGAATGAATGCCATTATAAAAAGGGCTTGACAGAGAGAGTTTGGTCCCTTTTTGCCCCTTCTGCCTTCTGCCATATGAGGACACAGTGTTTTTCCCTTCCTGTGGATGCACCGTTTTAAGGTGCCCTCTTGGAAGAGAATACTGGGGCTTTTCCAGACACCAAACCTGCTAATGTTTTGATCTTTGACTTCAGAATCTCTAGAACTATGAGAAAATAAATTTCTTTTTTTTCAATATAAATTACCCAGTCTCAGGTATTTTGTTATAGCACACAGAGTGGATTAAGACACACCTCAAAAGATTCATCATCATTAGACGTCAGGGAAAGCAAATTAAAACCTCAGTGAAATGCCACTTCACACCCATTAGAATTGCTGAAATTTAAAGATTAGCATGCTTCAACTTAGCAACTCTCTTGTGTTTTCAAATGGAGTGTAAAATGGTACAACCACTGTGGAAAACAATTTGGCAATTTCTTTTAAAGTTCAGCATATGTTTAGTACATGACTCAGCAACTCATACTTCCCAAGATAAATGAAAACCTTTGCCTACAAAAAGAGTTGTAAACAAATGTTGGTGGCAGCTTTATTAACAATAGCCAGGTACTGGAAACAACCTAAATTTCCATCAGTAGGTAAGTAAAACAAATATACACCTTAGACAAAAATAAATTTCAGCTAGATTAGATATTTAATTATAAAGAACTAAATTAAAGTACTAGAAAACAATAAAGAATATGATATTGGGGTTGAGAAAGGGATTTTATTCGCTTGATACCAAACCATAAAAGAATGAAAAATGTTATCTTTTGGCCCAGCACAGTGGCTAATGCCTGTAATCCCAGTACATTCAGAGGCTAAGGCAGGAGGATCTCTTGAGCCCAGGAGTTTGAGACCAGCCTAGGCAATATTGGAAGACCCTGTCTCTACAACAAGTAAAAAAAAAAAAAAATTAGCCCAGCGTGGTGGTGTGCACCTGTAGTCTCAGCTACTTAGGAGGCTCAGTGAGCCATGTTCATGCCTGAGCTGTGCTCACGCCTCTGCACTCCAGCCTGGCTGATAAAGTGAGTGAGACTTTGTCTCAAGAAAAAAAAAAAGCTATCTTTTATTAAAACTTCTGTTTTAAAAAATTCTCTAGAAATTCTAAGCAAAGTTAAGATGAACAACAAGCCAGGAAAAATATTTTTGGTATATATGACAGAGAGATGATATTCTTAATATATATAAAGAGCTTGTATAAATTGGAAAAACCAACACTTAAATAGAAAAATTGATAAAATGCAGGAACATCTTAATTTCACAGAAGGAAAATTATAAGTGGTTAGTGTTTATTTACAAAAATATTCTCACTGTTTTTTAAAGAAATACAAAGTATAAAAGAATGATGGTACGTAATTGTTATTTTATTTTTCCATATTGGCAGTACCTTTCATGCTGGCAAAGAGTTTAGAATTATAATGCCCTGTACATGCATAAGTAAACCATTATTTTTATATAATATAAGTGGGTTCCTGGAAGGCAATATAATAGTGTGTATTCAAAAGTATAAATATACATGCCTTTTGATCCATCAGTTTTACTTCCTAAAGAAATACAGAACAAGCATGCACAGATATATGTACAGGTGTGCACATTGCATTGTTTATAAGAAAAAAATGGAAACAATAAAAGATTGAGTAAATAAATAATGGCATGTCCATTTGACAGATACTCTGCAGCCATTGAAATGGCTAAGGTAGATCTTCATATACTCCTACATGAAGATGGAAAGTATATAAGGATGATCTTTTTCACTTACATACACACAGAGACACACTCAAATGCATATGTATACAGATAGGTCAATCCCACACTTTATTTGTAGGAAGCTCAAAATCAACAGCAGTAAACATTAATTGGCAGTTAGAGTATTCCTGGCGTATTCTGTGTCAGGTCTTTGGGATAGAAAGATGAATATAGGCCTGTCCTACTCTCATGGTCGTTATAATCTAGCAACCTTACGAGGTTGTAATTGGTTACATTTTTTTTTGTTCTGTTTTTTTTTGAGACGGAGGTTCTCGTCACCCAGGCTGGAGTGCAGTGGCGCGATCTCGGCTCACTGCAACCTCCACCTCCGGGTTCAAGCGATTCTCCTGTCTCAGTTTCCTCAGTAGCTGGGATTACAGGCCCTGCTACCACACCCGACTAATTTTGTCTTTTTAATAGAGGCAGGGTTTCACCATGTTGGTGAGGCTGGTCTCGAACTCCTGACCTCAGGCTATCCTCCTGCCTTGGCCTCCCTAAGTGCGGGGATTACAGGTGTGAGCCACTGCGCCCGGCCTAAATTTTTTGAACATTCAACTATGTGCTTGGAGCTCACAGTGTTCTAAAGCGCTTTGCATGCATCATGTTATTTAATCTACTAGGTATGTTTGATAGTATTTCCACATTTTACAGGTAAGGCTAATGAGGCTCAACAAGTTAATGCCTTTTTTGAGATCACACTGGTAAAGTGGGGACTGCTCTTGTTCCATTTTGCAGGTGGGAAAACAATTTTAAGTGGGTTGATCACTAACAGAGACAAAGCTTTAACTAAAGGTTTCCTGTCTTCAAAGTTTGTGCTCTCAGTAACAATACTTGATATCTGAAGCCCCTGATTCACCCACCTGTTTCATAGACTAAATATTTTTTCCTTGGCTCTTCTTCCTCACTTATTCCCTCACAATATTTTGTTTGTTTGTTTCAGACAGGGTCTCGCTCTGTGTCCCAGGCTGGAGTGCAGTGGCACAATCACGGCTCACTGCAACCTCCACCTCCTGGGCTCAAGTAAGCCTCCCATCTCATCCTCCCATGTGGTGGTTGGGACTACAGGTGCACACCACCATGCCTGGCTAATTTTTATATTTTTGTAGGAGTGGGTCTCACCATGTTTGCCCAGGCTCGTCTTGAACTCCTGGGCTCAAGCGATCCTCCCACCTCAGACTCCCAAACTGCTGGCATGAGCCACCACGTCCAGTCAACAAGTTTTCTTGACTATAGCAAACTTTAAGGCAAAAAACCTCTTGTTCATCTAATTTCACTTTTCAGTAGAGAAAGAACTGGATGATAGAGATGGACTGTCTCTCTACAAACAAATTTTAGAGGATTATGTATAAATCTTTAAAAGATTATTCATATTTGAACAGTAACTCATATATGCCTTGAGACCTTGTAATTGGAAAATTAAGTCAGAAATCTTATTGATGTAAATATGCATCAGTACTCATTGTAAAGGTTATAACTAAACAATTTACAGAAACTGAACTAATGGCTAAGCTAACTCAAATTTATAATTTAAAAGCAGTAACACAGTGGGACACCATGTCCAATTCAAGACAGCACTGATGGCACACTGATAACAGAGTATATTCCAGAGAACTGTAGGGACCCTGTACACGCGTGGGCATGAGTTAGAGCTGCTGTGCAGTGCAGTTGAATATTGCCTGGTGTGCAGACTGCTTAATGAAATAGTGGTATAGGGCTCAGAGTACACTCCAGTAAAGTGCTATTTTTGGTTTTACCTATAGCACATTTTTGTAACTCAGTAATTTATTTTGTGGGTTTCTAGTAACTTAAGTAAGGCCTAATTGTAAATAAAAGTGAAAGTTTGTGGATTCCATGTCGTGTGTCACAAAGAAAGACTTGCATTTTTGGATCAGTTTATAGGCCATTGTAAGAACCCATCAGTAGGCTGTGGACCATACTTTGAGAATCACCACTTGTTCTGAGAGGGTATGTGATGGTGGGAGGAATGCAGACAGGTCTCAGTTCCCTCCCTGCTGCTCTCTATTACTTTTTCCATCCTTGCTGATGTCATGTTCTAAACTTCATGTTACTGTAATCTATTCTAGACTGCTGACCTTTGTCAGTGGCTTTCTCCCTCTTTGACCTGATGAAAGTTCCTCCTGCTTCTAATGAGCTGCTCTTTCTGAAGGGATTCCCCTAGCTGGGCCTCTGGTATCCCAGTTCTTTATATCATAGCCTTCTCAGGATTCATAAGTGCCCTGGGTTAGGAGGGCTGCAGCTGGGTTGAAGGATGCTCAGGCACACCCTCCTGCTGGACCTGGAAGGGCTGTACTCCCTCCCGCCCAGATCCTGCTCCTGCCTTGGTCTACTCTCAGGTAACTTACTGTCTCCTCTCTCTCCAGTCCAGCCACCTTCACAGAACGTCAGTTCATTAGAGAAATCTGTACGTATATGCACCAAAATTATGGGCTAGCTTTATTTCTCACTGTAAAAAGGAGAGGGTCTTGCTCTCTCAGGTATTAAGATATTCTTAGAGCCATACAATTAAAAATGGTAGTGTTGTGCTAAGACAGAAAAAGTAACCAATTTAAAAAATAACTCAGAGACAAAACTCATGTATAATAGGAATTGTGTTTGTTTGCTTTTTGAGACGGAATCTTGCTCTGTCACCCAGGCTGGAGTGGTGCAGTGGCACAGTCCCGGCTCACTGCATCCTCTGCCTCCTAGGTTCAAGGAATTCTCTTGCCTCAGCCTCCCGAGTAGCTGAGATTGCAGGCACCAAGCACCCCATCCGGCTAATTTTTGTATTTTAGTAGAGACGAGGTTTCACCGCGTTAGCCAGGCTGGTCTCTAACTCCTGACCTCAAGCAATCCACCCACCTCAGCCTCCCAAAGTGCTGGGATTACAGGCATGAGCCACCACGCCAGCATCATGTATAATAGGAATTTAGTAGAACGTAAAGATGGCACCACAAGTCGAAGGAGAAAGGGCATACAGGCTCGTTGGATGAAGCTGAACAAAACTGAGTCCATCCCTAACTCCAGGTACAAGTGTAGAATTCAGGCAGACTAAAGATTTAAATGAGACTGGTAAAATTAGAAAGTAACCAAGAAAACAAAAGATTATCTCTGTGGCTTGGTGCAGCAGCACTTCGGGAAGATGAGGCAGGAGGATGGCTTGGACTTTGATACCAGCCTGAGCAGCATAGTGAGATCCCACCTCTACACAAAATTACAAAATTAGCTGAGTGTAGTGGTGTGTTCCTGTAGTACCAGCTACTCGGGAAGCTGAGGTGGAAGAATTGCTTGAGTTTGTGAGGTCAAGGCTGCACTCCAGCCTAGGTGATAGAGCAAAACCCTGTCTCAAAAAAAAAAACATAATAAAAGATTATCTTTGTGAATTAGGTATCTAAGGGAAGGACTAAACAAAACCTTAAAGGCAAACATTGTAGGCAAAAAGTTGATGAACTTGTTTAAATCTAATTTAAGGATTTTGTGCTATTAATGACATCATAGACATGGTTAATACACAGATAATTTACTGGGAGAAAACATTTTCAATGTTTAAAATTCTCAAGGAATGTACAGGGAATTCCTGCAAATCAAGAAGAAAAAGAACAACCCCAGTAGAAAACAGGCAAAGAATTAGAACAGACAGTTTACAGAATAAGAAACCCATAATGCTAAGCATATGAAGAGATAGTCAAACTCATGGGCTATAAAAATATTCAAATTAAAATAAGATGTTTTATATCTCTTAGACTGATAAGAAATTAGAAAGCTAGATAATGTCACGTGTTGGCTGGAATGTGAGACTATTGTAACTTATATCCTTTACTGGTAGAAAAGTACATTGGTACAGCCATTCTGGAGAGCACGCTAGCAATAATTAATCAACTTAAGTATACACATATGCTTTAGCTCAGCAAGTCTTTTATTTATATTCCACAGAACTTACCAGAAACATGCATTACTTGTGAACCCAGTGAGTTAGAGGATGAATGTATTTCCTTCCTGGGGTGGGGGTTCAGTAGGCAAAAAGTAGGGTATTTATATCATCAAATGATATGCAGTTGTTAGAAATAACAGACCAAATATACAAAAACTATATGGACGAGACTTAGAAAACATAGTTGGAATCAAAAAGGAAGCAGAAACACAGTTTCACTTAGGTAAATTAGAAAGATACAGACAAAGGTTTTTAAGGATACAAGAAGCATGAACCATAAAATTAAAAATTGATAAACTTTACCAAAATTAAAAATATTGGCCAAGCACATTGGCTCCTAGTGCTTTGGGGGGCCAAGTTGGGAGGATCACTTCTAGGAGTTTGAGACCAGCCTGGGCAACATAGTGAGACACCCATCTCTACAAAAACTGAAAATAAAAAATTAGCCTGGCATGGTGGTACATGCCTGTTGTCCTAGCTACTCAGGAGGCTGAGGTGGGAGGATCACTTGAGCCCAGGATTTTGAGGCTGTAGTGGGCTATAATTGCACTATTGTACTCTAACCTGGTAGACAGAGTGAGAACCAGTCTCAAAAAAAAAAAAAAAAAAGAAGAAGAAGAAAAGAAAAGGAAAGGAAAAATAAAAGGAACAAACTTGATACATATGACATAATAGATAAATATCAAACTAACGCTGAACAAAAGAAATCCTACATTTAAAAAAGTACATATTGTATGGCACCATGTATGTGAAATGGAAACTAAATTAGTAACTTAGATCAGTATTTATCTGGGGTGAAGAGTGAAGGGAGGGAGGGATTGCAAACGGACACAAAAAATTTTTTTGGGATCAGTGGAAATGTCCTTTACCTTGATTGTGATTTTATGTATGTGTACAACTTTCAAAACTTCAAATCATGTACTTTAAATTGATGCAGTTTATTATATGTAAATTATTCCTTTATAAAGTTGATAAGAAAAAGCACATGATATAAAACATAAATGTATTAAGAGAACATAAACTATATATGTATTGTATACACACACACACACACGCACGCACACATTAAACAAAATAGAACGGTTGCCTTTGCAGGAGGAGAGACATAGTGAAAAGGGAGAATAAAAGTGAAGACTTGATTTATATTATTTCCATAGGGTTCATTGCAACTCACTTGATATGGTTGGATAATTGTTTCTGTATACCTATACATTCCATGATGGTTAGAAGGATGGCCCATCTAAGCACAAGGAGTAAGGCCCTCTAGGGAGCAGAATGGCCAAGATGTTCACTAAAACCTACAAAAGATTACTGTGGGAAATTAAAGAATATTGAAATCGACATACCATGTTCATGGGTCAGAAGACCTATTAATGTTACTAAATCTCCCCAATGTGTTTTATTTTATTTTTTGAGGCAGGGTCTCGCTCTGTCACCCAGGCTGAAGTGCAGTGGCGTGATCTCAGCTCACTGCAACCTCTGCCTCCCGGTTCAAGTGATTCTCCTGGCTCAGCACCCCCAAGTACCTGGGACTACAGGCACCCACCACCACGCCTAGCTAACTTTTATATTTTTAGTAGAGATGGGGTTTCACCATGTTGGCCAGGCTGGTCTCAAACTCCTGACCTCAAGTAATCCGCCTACCTCAGCCTCTCAAAGTGCTGGGATTACAGGCATGAAGCACCGCACCTGGCCCCCAATGTGTTTTAAAATGCAGCACATTCTCTCAATCAAAATCCCAGAAGGCTTGGGTTTTTTTGTCTTTAAAAAATTTTTGCTTTGGTAGAAATTGAAAACTGATTTTAAAACTTATATAGAAATATAGAGATTCAAGAATAGTCAAACCATTTTGAAAAAGAACAAAGTTGGAGGGTTTACATTACCTGCTTTCAAAACTTATCATAAAGCCAGCAGCAATCAAGATAGAGTGGTACTGGTATAAAGATAGATATATAGATCAATGAGACAGAAAACAGAGCCCAGAAATAGACCCACACATATATGGCCGATTGATTTTTCACAAAGGGGCCCAGGCAATTCAAAGGAGAAAGTATAGTCTTTTCAATAACTGGTTGCACAAAAACAAACAAAAGAACACTGATTCTTATTTCTCACCATGTACAAAATTAACTTGAAATGGATCATGCAACCTAAACAGAAGAGCTAAGACTAAAAAACGCATAGAACAAAATATAGGAGAGAAATGTTAGTGATTTTGAGTTTGGTAAAGATTTCTTAAATAGGGCAGAAAAGCATAAAAAAAAACATTGAACTTTATCAAAAGTAAAAACTTTTGCTCTTTAAACAACACTGTTACAAATATTTAAAGGCAAGCCACAGCCTGGGAGAAAATATTGTGAAACATCTACAACAAAGGTCTTGTACTTTACTGTTGTACTTTACTAAGTCAATAAAAAGTCAAAACAAAGTCAATACAAGACAAAGGTCTTGTACCTTACTATTCAGTAATAAGTAGACAAAGAGCCAGCTAAAAATAAACAAAGATATGTATAGACACTTCACCAAAGTAGACATACACATGGCAAGTAAGCACTTGAAAAGATTCTCAGCATCAAATTAGTATTAAATGCGAATTAAAACCACAATAAGACACTACTCTTATACTATACTATACTCCATTGGCTGCATACCACCCCCCCCCCCAAAAAAAAGGCAGTATCATCCAATCAATATTTGGCATTATAAAAACAGAAGAATGGAACTATACTACCAGTTAGTAATTTAAAAACAATTTTTTTAAGACATGGTCTTGTTCTGCCACCCAGGCTGGAGTGCAGTGGTGCAATTATAGTTCACTGCAACCTCAAAGTCCTGGGCTCAGGCAATCCTCCCACCTCAGTCTCCTGGGTAGCTAGGACTACAGAAGTGTGCCTCTATACCTGGCTAATGTTTTTAAATTTTTTGTAGAGACAGGGTTTTGCTATATTGCCCAGGCTGGTCTTGAACTCCTGGCCTCAAGTGATTCTCCTTCCTTGCCTCCCAAAGTGTTGGGATTACAGGCATCAGCCACCGCACCTAATCTTAATAATAAAATTTAAATTGAGAGACAGCATTAAGATTTAAAGTATTTTTCTTATATCCTTTGGTGGGTCAGTTAAGTATGTTGATAAACTTAGACTTTTTTCAGTTAATTATGTAGGCTAAAGATTTCTAGGTCAACCACAACAAGAATAGAAAGTATGTAAAGTGCATAACTTAAAAACTAACTAGAAGAGGTCAGGCATGATAGTTCACACCTATAATTCCAGCACTTTGGGAGGCTCAGGCAGGAGGATCATTTGAGGCTAGGAGTTCGAGACCAGCCTGGGCAACATAGCAAGACTCTGTCTTTACCAAATAATAATGGTAAATAATTTAAAAATCAGGCAGGCGTGGTGGCGTGTGCTTGTAGTCCTAGCTACTCAGGAGGAGGCTGAGGTAAGAGAATCAGTTGAGCCTAGGAATTCAAGATTGCAGTAAGTTATGATCATATCACAGCCCTCCAGCGTGGGCAACAGAGCGAGACTGTCTCCTAAAAAACAAACAAAAGCGCGCGCACACACACACACACACACACACACACACACACACACACACAGAAGGGGATATATAGTGATGAAAAAAAGGCATGAAACTCAATAAAAGAAAAAACTAGGCTGGGCGTGGTGGCTCACGCCTGTAATCCCAGCACTTTGGGAGGCCGAGGCAGGTGGATCAGGAGGTCAGGAGATCGAGACCATCCTGGCCAACATGGTGAAACTCCACCTCTACTAAAAATACAAAAATTAGCTGGGCGTGGTGGCATGTGCCTGTAATCCCAGCTATTCGGGAGGCTAAGGTGGGAGAATCGCTTGAACCTGGGAGGTGGAGATTGCAGTGAGCTGAGATCACGCCACTGCATTCCATCCTGGGTGACAGAGCGAGACTCCATCTCAAAAAAACAAACAAACAAAAAACAAATGTTGAGGGAAGAGTCCAGCACTTAATATCTGAAACATAAAGCTGAGTGTATTGGTAGTTTAAGCAAGAAGAGCTGTGCTTATAAGACTTAGTCTCTCTGAGCAAAGCAGAGAACTACTGTCTTTTGTAGAGTGGTTATTAAAGTTTGGTCAAGTGTATTTTGGTTGCCTGTTGCACTGTGTTGGCATCTGCACTGATGCTACAAAGCGATGGCAGGTAAAGCTGCTTGCCCCTTAGCACAAGTCAAATCAGTAGCACTAAACTGCTATTATAGTTGTCATTATATTTCTCACTGCCACACGTGGTAGGAAATAAAATGAAGCCAATTTTACTTAAAAATGTTATTGACGAAACATTTAATTTCATGAAATCTCAATTTTTGGATATGCGTTGTTTCACTCAAAAACGAATGTCTACTCAGGAGGTTGAGACAGAAGGATCACTTGAGGCCAGCCTGAGCAACATAGTGAGAACCCATCTCAAAAAAAATGTGGTGATGAAATGGGAAAAATACGCATAAAACACTACCACTGCACACTGAAGCTTTATTGTTGCCCCAA
Source organism: Homo sapiens (assembly GCF_000001405.40). Taxonomy (NCBI): domain Eukaryota; kingdom Metazoa; phylum Chordata; class Mammalia; order Primates; family Hominidae; genus Homo; species Homo sapiens. Next base: position 43,760,030 of record NC_000001.11, read on the forward strand.
GGAAAAGCCCTCATGGTATGGATTGTTTGTACTACAAGCTGAACTAGCTGCTCTTTTGGGGGTACCATTTTTACTTGAAAGAAATGATAGACAAAGTATGGTTATTTAGACTGGGTTTTGACAGACCTTTTCTCAAAGATGAATGAAGTAAGCCTGTCACTTCAAGGGAAACCACTGGCAGTATTTTTTTGCAGTGAGAAAACTCTGGCTTTCAAGTGAAGACTAGAATTCTGAAAAACTTACATCTGCTGCCATAAGCCTGACATCTCAATATTTAAACACTTGTCTGATACAGTCAGTAGATATATTAACAAATGAGATTTTTTGATATTTTATAACGAATGTGAAATCATTGGAAGATGTGTATAACTCAGTGAACCCATAATGCGCAAATGACTACTGTTAGGATGTTACAGAATCATGCATGGATAAAAGATCTATTCAGGCCAGGCGCAGTGGCTCACGCCTGTAATCCCAGCACTTTGGGAGGCCAAGGCAGGTGGATCACGAAGTCAGGAGATCGGGACCATCCCGGCTAACACGGTGAAACCCCGTCTCTACTAAAAAATACAAAAAATTAGCCGGGCGTGGTGGTAGGCACCTGTAGTCCCAGCTACTCGGGAGGCTGAGGCAGGAGAATCGCTTGAACTCGGGAGGTGGAGGTTGCAGTGACCTGAGATCATACCACTGCATTCCAGCTTGGGTGACACAGCAAGGCTCCGTCTCAAAAAAAAAAAATGTTGATAGCACTATTATTTCTTGTAGCCAAAAAGTGGAAACAACTCAAATACACAACAGCTGAAGAAGGGATAAATAAAAAAATAAAATGTGGTATATCCAAACGATGGACTGTTCTGCAATAAAGAGGAATGAGATACTGATAATGCTACAATATGGATGAGCCTTGAAAACATTATGCTGAGAGAAAGAAGCAGGCCACAAAGGCCACATATTTAATGGTTTCACTGACATGTCCAAAACAGGCAAATCTATAGAGTCAGAAAGTAGATTAGTGGTTGGAGGGGATAGGAGGATGATATCTAAGGGAAATAGGGTGATTCTTCCTTAACCATTATCTGCCAAGGCCACACTAGGCTGAGCAGTGGAAGAATGTCCCTCCGGGAGCTGGACAGCTTCAGCAGTTCATTTCCTGTTGTTGGGGGTTTTGGGAGCCTGGGAATTCTTGTAAGATTTAATAGTCACAAGCCATTGCAGGCTGGGCTTGGAGTTTATTTGGCTATATATTTCCTTCAAAATTTAAGTAGCTAACTGTAAAAAGATTTTTTTTTTTTTAGATAATTGTGGAAATATGAATGTAGTTTGAGCATTTGATGAAATTAAGAAATTTACCTTGTGTTAATGATATTGTGGTCGTGTAAAGAAATGTCTTTGTGTTTTATAATGTCCAGAAGGATGTATTTAGATATGAAATGACATGGTGTCAGGGACTTGTTTTATAATAATGCAGCCAAAAAAGAGAGAAGGAGAAAGAAAAGGGGGCAAGGGAAGGAAGGAAAAAACAAAGGAAGAAAGGAAGTCAGAAGTAAAATGTTTTAATTGTTGAATCTGTAGGATGGGGTTCATTATACTATTCTCTCTACTTGTGGTTAAAAACTTTCATTAAAAAAAAGTCAGGCTGGGCCGGGCGCGGTGGCTCATGCCTGTAATCCCAGCACTTTGGGAGGCCAAGGTGGGCGGATCACGAGGTCAGGAGATCGAGACCATCCTGGCTAACACAGTGAAACCCAGTCTCTACTAAAAATACAAAAAAATTAGCCGGGCATGGTGGTGGGCGCCTGTAGTCCCAGCTACTCGGGAGGCTGGGGCAGGAGAATAGCGTGAACCCAGGAGGCGGAGCTTGCAGTGAGCCAAGATGGCACCACTGCACTCCAGCCTGGGCAACAGAGCGACACTCTGTCTCAAAAAAAAAAAAAAAAAAAAAAAAAAAAATTCAGGCTGGGCTTGGTGGCTCATACCTGCAATCCCAGCACTTTGGGAGGCCAAGGCAGGAGGTTCACTTGAGCCCAGAAGTTTGAGACCAGACTGGGGAACATAGTGAGACCTCGTCTCTACCGAAAATAAAAATGAAAAATCAGTCGGATGTGGTGGCACGTGCCTATAGTCCCAGCCACTTGGGAGGCTAAGGCAGGAGGATCGCTTGAACCCAGGAGATTGAGGCTCCAGTGAGCCACTGTACTCCAGCCTTAGCAACAGAGCAAGACCCTGTCTCATTAAAAAAAAAAAAAAAAGAAAGAAAAACCAAAAAGTCAAACCAAACCTTTACACAGGTATGTAACCATATCTGTGAAGGTATCAGAGACTTATTTAGTCTCTGATGTTTTACTTATTGGCCTTTGTGCTCTATCCTTCCCTCTAGCCCTTAAATTAATGCATGGCTACTTGGCGAGTAGTCCAGGGTGGGAGACAATACTTTTAATCTTCCCCTTTGAGTTCACTCCAGTTGCCTGGCAAAGAATTCAACTATAGGTTGAAAAGTGTTGGGGGCCACAGTTTTATCTCCTGTGAAGGTTGTTGCTTGGCGGCATCCCCTTAAAACTGCTTCCATTGAGGATATAAACGCTACCATTTATAACAAGAGGACGGGGAAGTTGTCTGTGTGTATCTCCATAGTTATACATACATAAGCATATATATTATATATAGGTTTGCATACATATGCATAAAATAACTGGAAGCATAAAACCCAGAAATAATAACTTTGGTTTCTTTCTGGGAAGAAAACTGATAGCTGGAAGATAAGAGTGGGTGAGACTGCTGGGGAGAGAGGAGATAGGATGAAAGGGGACCAAAAACCAAGTCCTGGGGAAATGATAACCAAGGAGGGGTAAGCAGGAGGAAGGGCACAATGGGAAGAAGCCTGAGAAGGAGCAGCCAGACAGATAGGAGGGAAAACCAACAGAAGAAAAAGTTTCAAGAAGTCGTGCAAAGGCATGTATGTGCCCTTGCCCTTGGACCCAGCATTTCCACTTCTAGGAATTCCCCTACTGGGATTCTTGCACACTTGCAAAATGATATATGCACAAGGTTACCCATCGCAGCACTTTGTTTATTTGCAGCATTGTTTTTAATAGCAAAAATTTGGAAGCAATTAGAATGTTTACCAGTAGAGAACAAGTTAATTAAATCATGGTTCCCCCATCCGGTGAGTACTCTGCACCTGAAGATGAGGAGGCTCTGTATACACTAATATGAAAAGATTTCTGAAATATACTGTTAGGTGTAAAAAAGCAAGGATGGGGAGTTTTCTTTGGGGCTTATAATGTTTTAAACTTTTATCATTGTTGTAAATGGATGTAGCTGGTTGTTATATTCCTTACAATTACGAGATACTGGGTTCTTGGGTTTGTTTTTCTATGAGTTCTAGTATTCTGTTATTCTTTCTAACTTTCTTATTATGAGCAATAGTTGGCATGGAGGAGTGGCGGATCAAATTTTTAGGTTATTAAATAGGCTCCATTTCAAGCCAATCAGCGTTGCCTTCTGCTGTTTTGTGCCTGGCTGCCAAGTGCCTTTATATGGTGTTTCAGCTTTTTAATGGAGCTTTGATATGTAGCAGTCACCCTGAGCCACAAGAGGGCAGAAGAACCTTTTGATTGCCACAGGACAGATTAGCGCTGGAATGACTTCTGGCAAAATCCTGCATGGAGTAGTTCTTCAACTCACTTACTAGACCGTGGGCATCCAAAGGCAGGCCAGTGTCTAAGCCATCAGAGGAGGCAATGGAGGGGTGAGAGGAGAGAGTGTGTGTTTTGGAATCCTCTATATCTGCCTTATGTTCCAGGCTCCCCTGCAAATTACTTAGTGAACTATACTCCTTACAGTGTTAACCTCTCTCAGAGCTTGAATATGCAAGACAGTAGAGGCATTACAACATAGTGGAACATAAGAGTTGAGGCTTTGGAATCCACCCCACCTAACGTTGAGTCCTGGCTATGTGACTTTGGGTCATTTCTTAACTGTCATTTATTCAATGAGATAGTGTGTGTAGAGCTCTTAGCACTGTGTTGTGAACACTCAGAAAGTAACTGCTATAATTACAATAGTACAAGGTATCAGCACAGATGAATAATATTAATAGATCCTTAATAACTTTTATGTAGCTCTGTTATGTATTTAATAATTTATTTGGTTATAAGCAAGGAGGTAATATTTTCCTTAAGACAATTTCAGAGCTCCTTTTCTCAGAGGGGCCCTCAAAATGTCTGTGGTATTTCTTACTTTCTTATAAACAGTCTTTTAATAGTATAGTACATTCTGAATTTTTGCAGAGTCTCAATTTTAAAGGTTCCATCCCACTGTGATTTTGTGTATTTTTGATTGGAAAATATAGTATTTGGGCTATATAATGAGGTAGAGTCGCGCAACACAATATTGCATCGGGATATAGTACCTGTCTCAGGCCGAGATCCAGGGGAAGCAAACTCTGAGATAAAGATTAGGGTGTGAAAAGCTTATTAGGGAGTGGTTATGGAATCAATACTCCTGGAAGGAAAAGAAAGGAAATGAGGAAGAAGGGAAAAGAAAAGGGAAAGATGTGGAGATTGTATAGGGGGAAAAATCGGGCCGTGATTCAGTCTCAGTAAAAGGCCTCAGCCCACCCCATGGGGACTAGGGCTCAGATAATCCATGTTTTCTAAGCCATAGAGTGAGAGAGCTGTGCCTTTACAGCTCCTCCTGACCCGTCATTGGACGAGGGCTGCCCCAGGAAGGGGCATGGCCGTGGGCCAGGCAGCGCTCTTCAGCAGATGCATTCCCTGAAGAGGGCTGACAGTTGAGGCCTTTCTGTCCTTCACCATCCCAGCAGCTGGGGAATAAGCCCTTTAGTTACTGAGTGGCCTCTACAGCTTCCACCATAGTGCCCAAAGGGCTCTCCTGAAAGGGCTGGTAGAGTAATAGAAGACAGCTTTAGACAGAATTGCTTTGAAGCAATACTTAAGAATACTTGTTATTTTTAACTTTAAGAATAAAAATAAAAATAATTTCATTTTTCATTTATCATTTTAGTGTCAGGGTGAACTCTAGTGTAACCAACTACCCCCAAATTTCAGTGGTTTTAACACAATAAAGGTTATTTCTCTCCTGTCACAATCTGGTGCAGTTCTATATTGGTGGGGAGGAATTCTGCTCTACCTAATTCATTTAGGGCCACAGACTTCATCTAGTGACTCCCCCAGGCCCTAGGGCCTGGAGTCCTTCACTGGATTCTCTAAACCAGCTCCCAGAGGAGAAATGGACAGGAACATGGAGAACTGTGCAGGTCTCAGTGAAGAGACCTCTCTCTTCAAGCTTCTCTCTTCAAGCACAGAGAAGTTCATGTGCTTCCCTGCAGCGCACGTTCCACAGATCAGTACTCAGTCGTGTGGTCCCACCTAACTGAGAGGAGGCCACGTAGCCCTCACAGCTACACTGTGATGTTGCTCATACCTGTGTGGTGGCTCCATTTCATCACTATTGGTGAATCAAAGACACTTCTAAAACTGTATGTTTTAGGTTCCCCACACTTAAAATACTTAAATTGCCACCATCATAGTATCATAGTTTTACTTACCTGGGGACATTTTAAAAGGCTGAGGAAAGCTAAACTTTATCAGAGAGAAGGAAAAGAAGGGAGGAATACAGAGCTGAGAATTTAAGGATTCCTTGCTCTGGAAAGGCAAAAAAGGGTAAAACAATTTCATGTGCATGTGTGTGTCTGTGTGTGTCTGTGTGTGTGTGTGTGTGTGTGTGTGTGTGTGCGCGCGCGCGCGCGCGTCCGCGCGTCCGCGTGCGCTTTTTTTTTAGTGGTATAGGAGAAGATTGAGAAGCTTCTGATCCTGCCATGTAGCTGTAAAAACAAGCTCCTCTTTCCCTCAGCCATAACAGGATTGATGTCTTTCACATGGTAACAATGGAGATAGATGTGTGCTGCAGGGAAGCACATGAGCTTCTCTGTGCTTGAAGAAAGAAGCTTGAAGAGACAGGTCTCTTCACTGAGACCAGCACCATTATTCATGTTCCTATTTCTCCTCTAAGAGCTGGAATAAAAAATCCAGTGGAGGAAATTACAAGGAAATAGTCATTCAAATAGCCCTGACAGCTCCTTGCCCGGATTCACATGAATACCACCCAAGTAGCCCTTAAGTCAGAGGAAGAGAGGCCAAGGGAGAGATATCAATGACTTCTTCTGTCAGTCTATGAGGATTACTGCTGACTGACAGCTTGTTACTTACTCAGCTTTATTCCAGGCAGTGTGGGGCATTTAGGAAGAGAGGTGCCTGGGCCTGGGAATTTTAAAGACTGAAAGCTGAGACTCACAGGAAGTAACCAAGGACAAGACAATGAGATGAAGTGTTTCAGAGACAACAAAGAAGTGGCGATTTAAAAAAAAATAAGTAAATAAATAAGAAGTGATGTCAAGGAAAGCTTTGAGGAAGAGATGGGCACTGAAGCAGGGACCTGGCGGTTGGGGTAGGACATGTGGGGACCTGGGAAAGTGCTCTAGCAGACAGAGTACTCGAAATATTTTGTAAGCTTCAGTGAGAGCTGAGAGCGGCTTGTGAGGAATGGTGGGGGGCGGGGAGTAGTGAGACCGAGGATTGCAGAGCAGGGCAGAGTCGATGACAGAAGGCCCTAAGGTGAGGTGTGGAGTTTAGATTTAATGCAGCAGGGCCATTAAAGGCTTCTACCCTTAATGGAAAGACCTGGTGGAAAAGTAGTGTTCTGGACTTTTGTGTGAAGGAAAATTAACAACACAGAGGTCTCTTCTGGAATTTCTGTTGAGCACCTAGAATTTAAAATGGGAGGTTGTGTTCCTTTATTCCCTCAGCAAAATAAGAGGAAGTGACTCTCAAGCCTGGACTTGAAAGATGAATGAATAAGATGAGAAGTGCATTCTAGGCAGTGATAGTAGCATGAATAAAGTGGAGGGGCCTGGAAAAGGGCTGGGAGAGTCTTGTGTGGAATGCAGAGTTTGGATTCTGAGTTAGGCGGAAGCAGCTGATGAAAAGGAGAGAGAGAAATGTGGTCGGATTTGCATTTTAGAAGGCTCACTTTGGCAGCTGTGTGGAGGCTAGATTGCGAGAGAAAGAAAAGAGGTAGGGATACCAATAGCCACAGCACTTCACCACTTGAGGAGTTTCAGGGACGGACAGATGCTTGGAAAGGCCTTGTGGTGGAGGTAACATCTGAGCTGAGTAGGGAGGGCTAGGAGGAGCAGAAAGGCAGAGGGAAGATTATGGATAGAGGCGCAAGAGTGCAAGGCATGGCATGAGTGAAAACCAGGGGAAGATGGATGTGGCTGGCATATAGAGTCTCTGGGGGATGGTACTCCCTGGGCAGGTAGGTAATGAGTCAGGTCACAAAGGTCCTTCTTTATATGTCACAGTGAACAGGGAACAGTTTAGACTTCATCAGGTAAATGAAGGGGAAGCCACAGACCATACCTAAAGCAAGTCTCAACAAGTGTCAGAGGATTGATCACATGCAGAATCAATCCTCTGACCACAGTGAAATTAAGCTAGAAATGAATAACAAAAAGATAACTAGAATATTAAGAAATGAATTTGTAAATAATCATTGGGTCAAAGAAAAAATCATGGGAAGTAGAAAATATTTTGAATTGCATGATACTGAAAATATCAAAACTTGGGTGGGGGGGTAGGGGAAGGATAGCATTAGGAGAAATACCTAATGTAGATGATGGGTTGATGGGTGCAGCAAACCGCCATGGCACGTGTTTACCCATGTAACAAACCTGCACGTTCTGCACATGTATCCCAGAACTTAAAGTATAATTAAAAAAAAAAAAAGAAAATATCAAAACTTGTCAAAACTTGTATGATGCTACTATAACCTATAAGCATAGAGGGAAGTTTGTAGACTTTAATGCATGTTAGAAAAATAACCGAAGGTTGAAAAAAATTAGTAATCTAAACATCAATTTCAAGAAGTTAGAAAATGTAGAGCACATTAAACCCAAAGAAGGAAAACAGAAAATAATAGTTTGATGAAAAAGAAAAAAAAATACAGAGGATCAACAAAGTCAAAAATTTGTTCTTTCAAAAGATTAACATACTTTTCCAAGGAGCAAGTTTTTTTAAAAAAAGATTAATAAAATTGACAAATGCTGGGCACAGTGGCTCATGCCTATAATCCCAGCACTTTGAGAGGCCAGTATTTGAGGATCACTTGAGGCCAGGAGTTTGAGACCAGCCTGGACAACACAGCAAGAGCCTGTCTCTACAAAAAAATTTTTTTTAAAATTAGCTGGGTGTGGTGGTACATGCCTGCAGTCCTAGCTACTCCAGGTGGCTGAAGCAGGAGACTCACTTGAGCCCAGGTGTTCAAGGCTGCAGTCAGATATGATCACACTACTGCACTCCAGTCTGGGCAACAGAGCAAGACCCCATCTCTAAAAATAAAAAATAAATTTTTCAAAATTAAAATTGACAGACTTCTGGCAAGACTGATTGTGGAGGTCAGGGAGGAGAGAAATTGAAGCACAAGTGCCAGTGAACAATGCCAGGAACAGGAAGGGAGACCACACTACAGGAGCTATAGGCTTGAAAAAGATAAAAAGAGGCTGTATGAACAATTTTATGCCAAAAGTCCTGAGAATTTTGTGAAAATAGATCCATTTCTAGAATAATATCCGACTAAAACTGACTCAAGACATCATGGAAAACCTTAGAATCCTATAAACTTTTTAAACCAATGGAATCAATAATCCAAAATCTTTCTCCCCAGAGAACTTCAAACCCAGAGGGCTTCACTGGAGATTTCTTCAGCAGATTGAAAAGAATAATTAATTCCAGCTTTGTTCAAACAGTTCCAGAGAACTGAAAAAGAGGGACACTCCTTACTCATTTTTTTGAGACTAGCATAACCTTGATACCAAAACTGAAGAAAGACAAACTCAAGAAAGGAAGATTAAAGGCCAAGCTACCTAAAAATATAAATGTAAAAATCCTCAACAGACATTTAGCAAATTCCACAATATATAAAAAAGATAATAGATCACCATCTAGTAGTTGGGCTTATCCTAATATACATGGTTGATGTAACGTTAGAGAAATTCATCAGTGTAATTAATCACATTCATAGGTTAAATAGATTTTTATTAGATTAAAAAGAAAAACATTTCAGTAGATACAGAACAAGCATTTAATAAAATTCAGCATGTGTTGATGCTGGAACTGCTTAGCAGACTAGGACTAGCAGAGAGCTTTCATCTGAAAAAGGGTATCTGTTCGTAAAACTCAAGCAAATATTTTAAGGGTGAAATTTTGAAAGTTTTCCCTTCAAGATCAGGAACAAGACAAGAACATTCCCAAACCACTTTTTTTCTAATATTGAGCTGAATGCCTAGCCTGGTGCACTGAGGCAAGAAAAACCCATGATGAAAATCTTAACCGAGGAAGTAGCAGGATGGGGAGGGGAGGGCATGGGCTTGGGAGACATTTGGGAAGAAGCCTTGTCATGCCTTGGGTTCCTGTGTTCGTTTCTTTTTTTCAACACATATTGACTAAATATAATATCTGGTAATAGGGAAGGTAGGAAAGAGAAGCAAAGGAAAGGGGCCTAACATTTATTCAGTTCCTACCCCGTGAAGGTGCTGGACTAGATGGTTCAAGTGTTTTAGCTTATTTCATTCACATACTCTCTTTGCTATCTTGAGAACTCCTGTAATTAGTCATCCGGGAAACTACATAAGAAAAAGGTAATATACTATATATTTGCATAAAATCATTCCCATTGTAAAATAGTAGTTCAAGCTTGTTTTTAGGTATAAAAGGATGTTGTATTTTATGTACTAGTTCTGTTTTTATTTTTTCTCTCATTTTTATTCATATAACAGGTCTTTGAAGTAGAATAAAGTCTGGCAAATGGTCTTTTTCTAATTTTATAGATAAAGAAGCGAGTACAGAATTACACTGATTAGCTCAATTGTCAATATGGGACTGAAACTTCAATCTTTCATCCCAGGGAGTAAATAATTTAAACTATAACTTGAACCATGGAGTAAATAATTTAAACTGTAACTTGAAAGCACATAATCAAAAGATTTTTGAAATGGAAATATGCTGGGGTCCTGGAAGCATGGTTCAAGGAATCAAGCAGAATATTCTCTAGTAAAAGTCTTTGTAAGACTAACTATGAAAGAGAGAGGAGACAGAGAGAAGTGAGGAGAGGAGAGGGGAGGGGAGGAGAGGAGAGGGGAGGGGAGGAGAGGAGAGGGGAGGGGAGGAGAGGGGAATGAGTAGGGGAAGGAGTAGAAGGGAGAAGACCAGTGGACGGGCCTCAAGTTTTTAGCTGTGTGCGTAAATTAACAAACACAAACAGAACAGATTTTAAAAGCACTGACATAGGAGGGAAGGAAGGGTCAACCTCATTATGACTTGTTGAGATGGGACTAGTGACAAAAACAGGATGATAAAAAGATAGGACATTTCAAAGACTACATTTAAAGGAGAAAAAGAAGCAAGCTGTCCTGGAGGCAAGACTAGGGGTGAAAATTGCTTGGACAGTTGTTGTTTTTTTTCTTTTTTTTGAGATGGAGTCTCAGTATATTGCCCAGATTAGTCTTGAACTCCTGGGCTCAAGCGTTCCTTCAGCCTCAGCCTCCCCAAGTAGCTGAGAGTACTACAGATGCACATGAGACTTGGATAGTTGTTGATTGACTGTTAACTCTAGAAACAAAGCATCTAATAAAATCTTGCCTTGCTTCTTATTGCTTGGAAGGGAGAAGTTATTCAATTTAGCAAACATTTCTGAATTCCTGCTGCATGCCAGGTACTTTGCCAAGTACCCAGGATATTATGTCTGGTGAAGTTCAATCTCTGAGCCAGAAGAAAGTTCTGAGCCCTGATCTCTATCAGATAATCCAGAACGTCCTCTCATGGCCTACAAGGCCCTTCATATTCTGATCTCTGACTGTCTTTACAGCTTTATCTTCCAAAGTAACAAAGATAGCTATCATTGATTGAGTTTAAGTGCTTTGCATGCCTTACCTTCCTTAATCAGATCTTCACTCTTCCAGCTGTAGTTGCCATTTCCAGTGGAATTCTTTTGTCCCTCATCAGTTATCCCCTTCTTTTGAACATTTTCATCCTCTATTTTGTCATGGCTGTTTCCCTTTGGGCAATAAACATGCTTATTGACATGTAAATGAAAACTGAATGTATTTTATATTCAAATTGAGTGTCTGAATATATCTGTTATAAATAGAATGGCTGGCTTAGAAAACATGAATTAGAGATTTATTTTCCAGGTACTATAAAAGTGATTCTTGGAAATCATTATATTTAAATAAGCGAGACTGTTGGGCGACTTTTTGTTTTTTTTTTTTGGAGACAGAGTCTCGCTGTCGCCCAGGCTGGAGTGCAGTGGCGTGATCTCGGCTCACCGCAGGCTCCGCCCCCGGGGTTCACACCATTCTCCTGCCTCAGCCTCCGGAATAGCTGGGACTACAGGCGCCTGCCACCACGCCTGGCTAATTTTTTGTATTTTTAGTAGAGACGGGATTTCAACGTGTTAGCCAGGATGGTCTCGATCTCCTGACCTTGTGATCTGCCCGCCTCGGCCTCCCAAAGTACTGGGATTACAGGCGTGAGCCACCGCGCCCGGCTGGGTGACTTCTTTTGGAAACCACTTTTGACCCCTAATTTAGTCCAGAACTCAGATTATAATGTTTTAATAAAGTTGTGTGTGTGTGTGTGTGTGTGTGTGTGTGTGTGTGTGTGTATAGTATCTGCACTATCCAGATCATGGTTGTTATAGTTGTGATGCTTATAGTGTTAATTTGAGGAAAATAACTTTCTTAGACAAATGAACACCTCCCTTTGTTTTTTTACAGAAGATGGCCTGTTTCAAAGGTGTGTGCCCCTGGATGTTGGGGTCACCATTTTTCTCTCTTTCAGGAGCATGGAAGTTAAAAGGAAAAATAAGGGGGAATATGAGAAGTCAACTGACTTGAAACTGAGCGTATCCTGCAGAGGTGGTCTTTTTTTTTTTTTTTTTAGATGGAGTTTCACTCTTGTTGCCTAGGCACAAGTTTCACTCTTGTTGCTGGAGTGTGATGGCATAATCTCTGCTCACCGCAACCTCCGCCTCCCGGGTTCAAGCGATTCTCCTGCCTCAGCCTCCCCAGTAGCTGGGATTACAGGCATGCACCACCACACCTGGCTAATTTTGATTTTTAGTAGAGATGGGGTTTCTCCATGTTGGTCAGGCTGGTCTTGAATTCCTGACCTGAGGTGATCCGCCCGCCTCAGCCTCCCAAAGTGCTGGGATTACAGGCATGAGCCACTGCGTCTGGCCAGTGATCCTTTTTTTAATCCTATATGTATATTTGCTTTTTGTCATGATGGACAGATTTCCTGGAATCTAGAGCGCTTGTGACAGACTCAGCCTTCCATCATGAGCTCATTGCTTACGTCTTATTCTCTCCAGCTACACGCTTGGTGCCCTTTCCTATTGCAGTGATTTTTTTTGGTTTGTTTGTTTTTGTTTTTGAGACAGGTTCTCACTCTGTCATCCAGGCTGGAGTGCAGTGGTGTGATCATAGCTCACTGCAGCCTCAAACTCCTGGCTCAAGCGATCCCATGGCCCCAGTGTCCCTTGCAGTGATTTTTTTTTTAGAGAAAGTTTTAAAATTTGTATTCAGTAGAGTTGTTTAATAAAATGATGAAATACTTTTTCTTGGCAGATACTGACTTTATTTTATTTTTCGTTTTTTGAGGAAGAGTCTCACTCTGTCACCAGGCTGGAGTGCAGTGGCGTGATCTCGGCTCACTGCAACCTCTGCCTCCCAGGTTCAAGCGATTCTCCTGCCTCGGCCTCCCGAGTAGCTGAGATTACAGGCACGTGCCACCAGGCCCAGCTGATTTTTTTGTATTTTTAGTAGAGATGGGATTTCACCATGTTGGCCAGGATGGTCTCGATCTCTTGACCTTGTGATCTGCCCGCCTTGGCCTCCCAAAGTGCTGGGATTCTAGGCGTGAGCCACCTCGCCAGGCCTATTCTCAAATTTTTTTAAAAAAATCACTCTATTTATGAATTTCCTAGTTAGTTTTGAATGCTCTGATAAGTGAGAAAGTGGAAGTGAGAAAGGAAGATGTGAGGGTTATTGAGTGTTGTAACTGTAGTTAATTAATGCCTTCTGAGATAGCTGGATCTGGGGAGCCACATCCACCTCACTCCAGCGGGCGTGATTTTGGCTCCTGATTGACATCCTACCTGTGATTTTTTTGTTTTTGTTTTCTAAAGACCAGAAGGATACTAACTCATGCCTTCCTTGGCATCTCAGTGTTGTCTTACTGAGCTTACTACATGCTCTGGTCCCAGGGCTCCAAGTTCTGACCCACTGTTAATCCTTTTTATTTATTTGTTTCCTCTTAGCATTTTGCTTTGGAGAAATTACAAGCCATTGGAAAAGTTGAAAGAACAAGCTGATGATCATCAAGATCCTGTTAACTAGATTCCCCAGTTTACATTTTAACATTTTCCACATTTGTCCTATCTTTGTAGATGGATAGATAGATAGATGATAGACAGATAGGTAGATAGATAATAGACATTTTTCTGTACAATTTGAAAGTAAGGTGCAGAGTTTTTGATATTTCCTCAAATATCTCAGTTTGCACCTCCTGAAAAAACAAAGTTTTTCTCCTTCATAGCCATGGTACCATTATCACACTAAGACAATGGACTTAATTCTTACATTAATTATTTAATAATTAACTTACTAATCACAAGGGCAAAACTGTTCTGTGGTTCAACACCTTAACCAAATGATCCAATTTAATATCACCAGTAGTGGGACAGTCTGTCATTATGTGCCTTCTGATGTGATGCAGTAAGAAATACATATCACCTACATAGTGTCTGTGCCAAGGTGTTTAACCTGAATTTGATCATTTAAAAAAATCAGATGAATTCAATACACAGGACATGCTACAAGCCAGCTGGCCTGAACTCTTCAAAAGAAGGCAGTCACATGAGAAAACAAAAATGGAGAGGGTGAGCTGTTTCTAATTATAAGAGGCAAAAAAGACAGAATAGCCAAATGCAATGAGTAAAATTTATTCAAACACAGATATATAAGGGAAAAAGACATACTTGGGGGGGCAATTGGGTACATTTTAATATAGACTATAATGACAATATTGACTCCTTGTTATTCTTATATATAATAAATCCCTGTTAGTAGTAGTTTTGGATTCCAGTTCTAACTTGGTTTTTTCTTTTGCTATTGTTACTCTTGTTTCACTGAGCACATGGAACTATATATCTTATATTTTAATTTAAAAAGGAAGTATTTTCTGTCTTATTGCCTTGTGGAAGGTTTTGTAATGATTTGTTTCCAGAAGGCTGCCACCTTGCTGCCTTTCAGGTGTTGAGTGGATCACTGAGGGAGCTCCACTCTCTGGGATCTTCAGGACTTTTGCATTGCTGATCGTGGACTGGAGTTTTTAGGATAGGGGCCCAGCAAAAGAATGAGAGGAGTCAAGGCCAAGCGTGGGCAAGCCCCATATGAAGAAATAGATGACTCACCTCTGTGGAAGGTGGAGCCAAGCATCTCCAGGGCTGTAGATGTCCTAAAATACAGATTTGTAAAAGTCTGTTGTAGTTCTGTGTAGAATTTGGTCATCCTTTCATTTGGAAAAGTGAGTGGTAGGATTTTTGTTTCCTAAAGATGACCTGTTTCCAGATCCTGTTTTATAGCATTTTTCGTTCATTCATTAATTTCTCACTCAGCAAATACATATTGAGTGTCTGCTGTGTGTCAGGTACTGTGCCAAGTGAAAGGGATTATGGAAAAGACATTATGTGTCACCTCAAGTTTTCAATCTAGACAGGGAAACCAACATTAAACACAGGTAAACCTTCAGTTACATCCGCGGTAAGTAAAAGCAGGGAGCGTGAGAATACCAGAAAGATGCCAGTCTGAGATGCTATCTCAGAGTCTAGCTCTGAAGATGCTTACGCCACACCTCCGTCCTCAGCCCCTAGTTACTTCCAGTCCCTGACTCCCTGATTCTGGCGCGTTCTCTTTCCTAGTGTAAGAGCGAGAACCAGCTAACTTAATCCATGAGTACCTTGTATATCAATTTATAAAGATAATTTGTTACCTTTGCTGAATAAAAGAAGCTCTTCCTGATTGCCAGAACCTCCCTATTTTTCAAGAGAAGCTGGAAATCTGAATTTTTTTTTTTTTTTTCGAGACTGAGTCGCGCTCTTGTCACCCAGGCTGGAGTGGAATGGTATGATCTCAGCTCACTGCAACCTCTGCCTCCCAGATTCAAGCGATTCTCCTGCCTCAGCCTCCAGAATAGCTGGGATTACAGGCGCCCACCACAATGCCTGGCTAATGTTTGTATTTTTAGTAGAGATGGAGTTTCGCCATGTTGGCCAGGCTGGTCTTGAACTCCTGACCTCAGGTGAACACCTGCCTCAGCCTCCCAAAGTGCTGGGATTACAGGTGTGAGCCACCGCACTCAGCCGGAAATCTGAATTTTTATGTGAAATCTCCTGACTTATAAATGTTAACAAATTCAGACATTTGCAAACACTTCGTGGGCTAAACCTAATACATCTGTGAGCCTCCAGTTTACAACTTCTACTTGGGGGGACACAAAAATATAGTTATGCAGGAATTCTAATTCAAAGATTAAGGAAGTTCCCTTTTTCTTGTGCATACCCTTGTTCAGCATAGTTACCAAATAAAAGATTCAGAATACCAAGGACACAAACCAGGAGTTTTTTTTTTTAAGTCCCTTTTATTTTCTCCTCAATATAATATTAAGTAATAAATAATTATGACTTTCACTGATCTTCCTTCCTTAACCTAAGCAGTAAAGATCTCCCTATCTTGCAAGAGGCAGGTGAAGGAGATTTGTCCACAGTCAGCCTCCATTGACCACAGTATGGTCAGTGTTTCCCTGGAGGTGAGGTGACCTGCCTTCTATTCCTTTTTCTTCCTTTCTTGTAGATAATAGTTTTCTTGAAATATAATTTACACACCATACAATTTACTTACTTAAAGTTCAAAATTCAGTGGTTTTTAGTATATCCACAGAGCCGTGCTAACAGCACCACAATTACAAACATCACCACAATTCATTTTAAACATTTTCATTACCCCAAAAAGAAATCCTGCAGCCATTTGCCGTCAGGGCCCATTTTCCCTCAGTCACCCGTATCCCTAGGGCAACCACTGATCTGCTTTCTGTCACCGTAGATTTGCATGTCCTGGACATTCCATATAAATAGAACCATATAATATGTAGTCTTTTGTGACTGGCTATATGGGTTTTTGCACTTAGGATAATGTTTCAAGGTTTGCCCATATTATAACATTTATCTCATTTCTTATTATGGCCAAATAATATTCCATTATAGGATAACACCACATTTTATTTATCCATTCATCAGTTGATGAATGGATAAATATGGATGATATTTAGGTTACTTTCACTTTAAACTCTTATTATCAATAATACTGAACATTTGTGTACAAGTTTTTGTGTAGACATACTGTTTTCATTTCTCTTGGGTACTGGCAGTGGAATTGCTGAGTCACATGGTAACTCTATACTTAACTTACTGAGGAACTGCCAGACTGCTTTCCAAAGCTGCTACATCATTTTACATTCCCACCAGCAGTGTGTGAGGGTTCCCTTCCTCCCTGTGCCCTCCATTCTTAATACTTATAATGATCAACAGTGATGACAACCCATTACAACTTCACATTTCTCAGTTGGGGCGCTGAAAGCTATGTGTCCTCTCTTTTTTAATGGAAATATTATAAATTGCTAGGCGTACAAAATTTCTCATGAGAAAGTATAAAGACTTTGTTGAGCACCTTTCATTTTTGCCCCTTCTCTGGCTTAACTAAGTAATCTCTTGAGAATGGTATGGTACCATGCTCTTTTAAGGACAGCCTATCAAGTTCATCTTTTTCCCAGGTGAAAGGAGGAATGTCATATGGCTAATGACTTCAGAGTCTCATCATGTCTAAGGGTCTCTGGCACATGTATATTATATAGGTCCTGCTATCAGAGAGATTCATATCTTTTTTATTATTTGGGTTTTTAAAGCAAATCCCAGACATCATGTCATTTTACCCATGAATACTTAATTACACATCTCTAAGTCATACGATCTTTTTTAAAAAAGCCAATGTGTTATTACCTCACATTAACAATAATTCCTTAGTGTCTTCCAATACACAATCCATATTCAGATAACCCCAATTATTAAAAATGCCTTTTTGAGCTCATATAGCCAAGACAATCCTAAGCAAAAAGAACAAAGCTGGAGGCATCATACTACCCAACTTCAAACTATACTTCAAGGCTACGGTAACCAAAACAGCTTGGTACTGGTACAAAAACAGACACATAGACCAATGGAACACAATAAAGAACTCAGAAATAAGACCACACACCTACAACCATCTGATCTTCTACAAACCTGACAAAACAAGCAATGGGGAATGATGCTGGGAGAACTGGCTAGCCATATGCAGAAAATTGAAACTGGACCCCTTCCTTACACATTATACAAAAATTAACTCAAGACGGATTAAAGACTTAAATGCAAAACCCAAAACTATAAAAATGCTAGAAGAAAATCTAGGCAATACCATTCAGGACATAGGCACAGGAAAAGATTTCGGGATGAAAATGCCAAAAGCAATTGCAACAAAAGCAAAAATTGACAAATGGGATCTAATTAAACTAAAGAATTTTTGCACAACAAAATAAACTATCATCAGAGTGAATAGATAAACTACAGAATGGGAGAAATTAGTTCAACCATTGTGGAAGACAGTGTGGCAATTCCTTAAAGATCTAGAAGCAGAAATACCATTTGACCCAGCAATCCCATTACTAGGTATATACTCAAAAAATATAAATCATTCTATTATAGAGATACATGCACTCATACGTTCACTGCAACACTGTTCACAAGAGCAAAGACATAGAATCAACCCAGATGCCAATCAATGATAGACTGGATAAAGAAAATGTGGTACATATACACCATGGAATACTATGCAGCCATAAAAAGGAATGAGATCATGTCCTCTGCAGGGACATGGTTGGAGCTGGAAGCCATTATCCTCAGAAAGCTGATACAGGAACAGAAAACCAAAAACCGTATGTTCTCATTTACAAGTGGGAGCTGAACCATGAGAACACATGGACACATGGTGAGAACAACACATACTGGGGCCTGGTGCGGGGAAGGAGAGCATCAGGAAGAATAGCTAATGGATGCTGGGCTTAATACCTAGGTGATGGGTTGATCTGTGCAGCAAGTCACCATGGCACACATTTACCTCTTTAACAAACCTGCACAACCTGCAGATGTACCCCAGAACTTAAAAGCTGATGGGAAAAATAAAAAGCCTTTTCATAGCACTTTGGATCTGGGTCCAAACAAGGTCCACACATTTGGGGTTTTTTTAAACTTATCTTTCATTCTAGATTAATTCTTTTCAATCATATTTAGACAAAGAAAACAATTACAAAATAATATGAGTATTTAGTAAGATATTCAATAGGATATGATCAAATGTGAGGCATCCAGATTTCTTTTCTTTTTTTCTTTTTTTTTTTTTTTTTTTGAGACGGAGTCTCGCTCTGTCGCCCAGGCTGGAGTGCAGTGGCACGATCTCGGCTCACTGCAAGCTCCGCCTCCCGGGTTCACGCCATTCTCCTGCCTCAGCCTCCCGAGTAGCTGGGACTACAGGCACCCGCCACAACGCCCGGCTAATTTTTTTTGTATTTTTAGTAGAGGCAGGGTTTCACCATGTTAGCCAGGATGGTCTCGACCTCCTAACCTCGTGATCCACCCGCCTCGTCCTCCCAAAGCGCTGGGATTACAGGCGTGAGCCACTGCGCCCGGCCATTCTTTTTTTTTCAGACAGAGTTTTGCTCTTGTCATCCAGGCTGGAGTGCAATGGCGTGATCTCGGCTCACTGCAACCTCCACCTCCCAGTTCAAGTGATTCTCCTTCCTCAACCTCCCGAGTAGATGGGATTACAGGCACCTGCCAGCAGGCCCAGCTAATTTTTGTATATTTGGTAGAGATTGGGTTTTGCCATGTTTGCCAGGCTAGTCTCAAACTCCTGACCTCAGGTGATCCACCCGCCTCAGCCTCCCAAAGTGCTGGGATTACAGGTGTGAGCCACTGCGCCCAGCTAGATTTCTAACAGACTCTTCATTGGCCCTATTGGTAGGTATATGATATGCTGTAATAATTAAGGAACCAGATCAACTAGATTTGAAGCCCCAGTCCTATCCTTATAGGCTGTGTAATCTTGTGCAAGTTACTTTAGTGTTTGTTCGTATTGAAGTTATACATGTGCATAGTTTACAGGGCTTGTTCCCAACAACAAAAAAAGCACTTCCTCATTATCACCACTAGTTGACTTCCTACCTCCAAGAGGCATTCATTTTTAACTCTTTTAGGTAACTTGTTTGGTTTTTTAACCTCTGAATCTCTAATAACAAGTGTATGTTGCCAGTTCTTGATTTTTCTGTTTTGAGTATTACCTACTGACTTTCTTCAATGGAAGATGAATATTTAATACTCTGTCACACTCACCACTCCTCTACCACAGCCATGCAATCTATCCTCCAATTCTTCTAATACGGTTAGAGCAATATTCAGTCTATATACTATGACCATAGAAACACTATTCATAGATACCATGATTACTGGTTTTTCATTGTATGTTTTGTTTTTCCTGAAGTCAGTAAAAGTCTTGCTTTTTGCTTTCCTTAGTTTTCTATGTATTTGTCACTAATTCAACCCTAAACTCTTCCCCAGTTGTATAAATCTTTCTCCATATGTTCAGACATGTTAGATTGTCTATCAGCTTCATTTTCTTGAAGAACTCTCTTTGGGAGCCTCTGACATGCTCTCTTTGGATGGTTTGCTCTCTGTGTAGCTGCACATCTGTGGTCTTGAAGTCCCTGTCACCATCCTCTTGTGGTATATCTCATTTCCTGGGCCCCATATTTTTTTACTTCTTCATTTAATGGAACACATCTTGTACTGATTTCCTGAGAAAGGATACATGAGAGGTAATTTTTTGAGAACATACCTGAAAATGTCTTTATTCTGATTTCACACTTAATTGATAGTCTTGCTGCGTATAGAATTCTAGGTTGGAAACCATTTTCCCTCAGTATTTTGAAGATACTGCCCCCATTGTATTCTAGGCTTTTGGTGTTCCTCTTGAGGAGTCTTAATGCTATTCTGATTTTTAATTATTTATATAAAACCTGTTTGTAGTTGTTCTCTCTGGAAATTTGAAATTTCATGATAATATACCTTGATGGAGGGCTGTTTTCATACTGTGCTGGACACTCAGAGGGCCCTTTTAAGCTCAAAAAAACTCAAAACCTTTAGTTCTGGGACAACTTTATTGAGTTATTCTTTTCAGCATTTTCTCCTTTTCATTTTTTCCTGTATTCTTTCTTTCTAGAACTCCCATATTCAGAAGGCATGTTTTCTGGACTTGTCCTTTAATCTTTTAAAAATATTTTAATCATTTTCCATCTCTATCTTTTTGTTCTATATTGTGAGAAATTTCCTTAACTTTTCCAATCCCTTTTCCAGGTCCTTTTTATTTCTGCTGTTATGTGTTTCATTTTCCAGGGTTACTTTTTTCTTTTTGTTCACCTCACCAAATATATTTTTTATGATATCCTCCACCTGTTTCACGAATAACATTTCTTCTCTCTGAGGAGTTTAATGATTTTTTTTTTCCTGAGTTTTCATCCCCCTGAGTCTCTTCAGTTTTTCCATGTTGCATTTAGGTTTCATTTGTTTTGGTCTCCTGTCGTTATAGCAAATACTTTCCTCTAATGCCTCAAACAATCTTGGCTGTCTGCTCATATTTAGAAACCGGGAATCTTGTTTTTAGTATCATCTTCATTCCCTCTTCTAGTGGTACCTGATGCTGCCAGTGATTGAGTCTTTGGGGAGTTCTGTGATGTATTTCACGTTCAGTTCAACTTTTCCCACTACCAGCACAGGATTCAGCTTTCTTGAGTTTGCTGACTTCCACTTGTCTACTTGGTTTCCAGTTTTGTGTCTCTTCTGTCTTTGTCCTGGGTGCTTCTGCTTTACAATGAACATGCAGTCGTTTCTGTCACTTGGGGAGATTTGAATGGGAGTAATCTAAATCAGGTCAGCAAACTGTGGTTCCTATGCCAGATCTAGCCCACAGCTTGTTTTTGTGTGACCTGACTTAAAAATGATTTTTATATTTTTAGGCCAGGCACAGTGGCTCATGCCTGTAATCCCGGCATTTTAGGAGACTTTGGGAGGCAGCGGATCATTTGAGTCCAGGAATTTGAAACCAGCCTGGGCAACATGGTGAAACCCCCACTCTACTAAAAACACAAAAAATTAGCCAGGCATGGTGGCACACACCTCTAATCCCAGCTACTTGGGAGGCTGAGGCATTAGAATCACTTGAACCCAGGAGGCAGAGGTTGCAGTGAGCTGACATCACGACACTGCACTCCAGCCTGGGTGGCAGAGCAAGACTGTCTCAAAAAAAAAAAAAAGATTTTTACATGTTTAAAGGGTTGCTAAGCAAAACAAAACAAAAAAACAGAAGGATATGTGACAGAGACTGTGGCCTACAACGCCTAAAATATTTACTGTCCACCTACAGAGAAAGTTTTTCAACCCCCAACTGAAATCTCCTATTTCAAACTGGAAGGCTAGTTCCTTCCCTCCCAATTTCCACATGCAATGATCACCTCCCATTTCATAGAGAAAATAAATCTATTGGGCAATCTACTTCTTACTCTCCCATCCCTATACCAAACCACTGCGGTTTGCCAGTTACCCATAATACTTCATTAAGTCAAACTGCAATGAATTTGAAAGGTCATTGAAAACCTCCTTGTTACTGAATTCAGCTCCCTATTTTTTCAGTCTGTATTTTACTGGCTGCTCTATGACATTTGATAACGTGTGGCTTCCATTCTCACGGAGTTAACTGAACCTGCTCTTTCTGAAATCGCCAGTAGCATCCTAATTGGCAAACCCAAAGAATGCTTTCCACACCTTATCTTCTCCTTTCTTTTGCTACATTTAACATTATTGCTTCCCATCTATTTCTGGAATATTTCTACTCCCTTGTATTCTGTGGTAGTATTTTCTCTTAGTCCTCACCATCCCACATCCGATCAGTTTCCCAATCCTGTCCATTCTCCCTTTGAATTTCATCCGGCCCCCAACAGCCTCACGTGAGACCCTCATTGTCTGTCACCTGGCTTACCACAAAGCTCTCCTGCTAGGTCTTAGCCTCCTTACGCTCTGTCTTACACACTGCCGCTAGAATGGTTTTCCTGAAGCAAAAATCTGTTGATATCATTAATTTTCTGAAAAATATATAGTGTCTTTCTCTACTCTGTCTACTTTTACTCAATAAAATCCAGACTCCTAACTTGGTATTCAAAACCCCATCTGGTCTGCTTTTCTGCCTTATTTTCACTGTTTCTCCCTCTCTATATTCCTCTCCACTTATCAGTCCCTCTTTTACTTCAGCCACACTGTCATCAACGGTGATGATGCTGATGATAAAAACACTAACAGCAGCATGTATTGAGGACTTAACTACATGCCAGGCACTGTGTTCAGTGCTTTATGTTAATTTGGACATCTAATCCTCATGACATGGCCTTATGAGGTGGGTTCTATTAATGGTCCACCAGTATGGCAAATATGAACTTGAAACATCTTTAAACATTTTTTTTTCAAAAGATCAGTGTCAAAATTCGTTTGGCAGTAAAATCTGACCTGAAATGGTATGAATGTATTTATAGTCCCTTTTAGCATAAAAATTCATTTCATAGAAGAAATATTAATATTTAATTACAGGATGCTGCCCCAAACCTCATAGGGGGATGTTAAATAATATATGGTTTGTGCAGTATGCTGCTTTCCTAAAATCTGAACACTTTGGGATTCTAATACTATCTAGTTTGAGGGGGCTCAGATAAATTTTGAACTTTGTGTTACTCTTTTTACAGATGAGGAAATTAAGGCTCAGCAAGATTTAAGTAGGTTGCCCAAAGTTACATAGTGGGAAAAACAGTGGAGCCCGGATTAGCACCATGGTGGCCTGGTTCAAACGCATGCCTTGTCTGCTGTGCTGCACAGGTCCATGCCACCTGCAGGTCCCTGCCCTCGACCTCTTCTGGGTTGCTGGCTTTCTGCCCTCCCTGTTCTCCCAGTGCTCAGCCCTGGCTGACTTCCCTTCCATTCCTATTCACCCAGGCTGGCTCCTTTCAGTAGCAGCCTCCATGCCTTTACCCCCTTGTCCTCCTGAAAATGTCCCACTGATACCAAGCTCTGACCAAGTCTGCCCATCTTGTCTCTGATTGGGCTGTCTTTCATTTGAGACTCGATAGAAAGGTGAATCACACTCATCTCCCAGTTTCAGACTGTGCCCTATTCAGTACTTGGCAATATTGCCTTTTCCATTTCCTTTATCAGCTTCCTTTCCTGTTTCTAGAGCAGCTGTACTAAAACTTTTCCCATCCCCTGAGCTCCAAACCTTATATACCATCTTACTCTCAGTTTCAGCAGCACATGCCTAGTTCCATATTCATTCCACCTGCTTGAGTCGTACACACAGGGGTTTGTAAGCAGTGCCACCCTTACACTGCCCCCACCCCCCGCAGTCTTAGAGGGCAGCAGCTGGTAGAATTCCAGCTACTCCCAGACTTCCTGATGTCCCTGTGAACGCTGTTGCCCTAGGGGATGTCCTGCCCCTGATCTGCACCCAGGTACCTTTTGTCTCCTGGCATGACATAGCAGTTTCTTCCTCAATTTCATGGTGACTCACTTTTTAAAAATAGTCTTTGATGTGTCAAAGCCTTTTTATGAAGGTCTAAATAGATTGTATGGACTGGTTCCCTTTCAGTCACATGCATTTTTACCTCCTGAAAGAAACCCTACTAAATTAGTTAGGTATGATTTTACCTTCCTGAAACCACACACCCCTCACTTTCCATGCTTCAGTGCCTTTCCATAGCTGTTCCCACACTACCAGTACAGCCTGTCCTATAAGGTCATCTCATACCAGCTTAAGTACTATCTCCTCCATATCTTCCCAGTTTCTCCCAGCCAAAAATTCTCCTTGCATCTAAACGACAGGCCAGGCGTGGTGGCTCGTGCCTGTAATCCCAGCACTTTGGGAGGCCGAGGTGGGTGGATCATTTGAGGTCAGGAGTTCGAGACCAGCCTGGCCAACATGGTGAAACCCCGTCTGTACTAAAAATACAAAAATTGGCCGAGTGTGGTG
Source organism: Homo sapiens (assembly GCF_000001405.40). NCBI lineage: Eukaryota > Metazoa > Chordata > Mammalia > Primates > Hominidae > Homo > Homo sapiens. Next base: position 43,784,376 of record NC_000001.11, read on the forward strand.
GCACATGCCTGTAGTCCCAGCTACTTGGGAGGCTAAGGCAGGAGAATCGCTTGAACCTGGGAGGCAGAGGTTGCAGTGAGCCGAGATCGCACCACTGTACTCCAGCCTGGGTGACAGAGCGAGACTCTGTCTCAAAATAAATAAATAAGTAAGTAAAAATAAACTCCCATAGCAACTTCTCTAGAGACTTGTAATATCGTTATTTGAATCTCTCTATTATCTCTCTGATGGTTCAAAAGCTCTTTGATGTCAGATACCATGTCTGATCTTTTCATACAGTCTCTCGAGCTTAGTAAGAACTCTGTATATGTTTGGTAAGTTAAATTAATGAAAGTTAAGGAGAAACTTCTTGACATAAGTATACTGCATCAACAGCTTCCATTCACAGTTGAGTCTTTGCCATCAAATTGTTGTACAGAAATTGTTTCCACTGAAGTTACAGATGCTCCCCAGTGAATAATTCTGTGCTATCTTTTCAGCCATCAGCTTCTTCTGCCTCTTTGCCACATTGGGATACTCCTTGTGATCAATTCTCACCTCCTTTGGCTTTCTCTGTCCTGCTACTCCTGTCTCTGATTATTTCACTGTTTTCTTGTCCATATTATCACATCCTCCTAAATTAATGATGATGTTTTTTCTCCTCAGACTTTTCTTTTCTCTGTTTGTCCGCAGGAATCTCATTTACTCAGGTTTTGTTTGGGATTGGGGTTGGGAGGGAAGAAATTGAGGGACTAAGACTGGGGGGGTTAGATCCCTCCAGGATCTAAACAGTTGAGAGACTAAAAAACAAGAAACAGGTGGCGACGTGAACATTGAGGTATCAGTTCTGTTAACAGACTGCTAAACCTCCCAAGTTAAGGGCTCTTTCATAAAGCTAGATTGGAGAAGAAAGTTGAGAGCTGTGGTCCAAGTGGAGCCTCTGCTTCTGAGCTTCAGACCCTGTGGAGGAGACATGTGTTGCTCAGATCCAGCCTGGTGGCAGGTTCACCTCACACAGCCATCCAGAAGGTAGAGGCCTGGATGGTGCTGGAAGGTGAGGTGAGGCCGCTCAGACTGCAGACAGCTTCAATGTAGCAAGAGACATGAAGAGTATTAACTATAGGCAAGGCCTTCTGGGAACTGAAGAAAAACCAAACCTCAAGGCCTCATGGAAAGATGATCCATGGGATAGCTGGTTTTCACAGAGACTGGAACAGGGAGAACATTTTGAATCTAAAGTTGTCTTGCTGCCCTCAACAGCAGGGTTGTGACTCTTGGCTCTGATGCTCTGCCACTAATGTGGGCGCTAGGGCCCAGCATCTAGCGCAGCCTACAGCATCCAAGTCTCTACACTTCTTTGTCTGCTTGTGTCTCCTACCAATCCCCCAACTGTCTGTACTTCCCAATTTAAATTCCCAAAAGAGAGACCCTATCTGCCTCTAGGTGGATGAGGAGTCTATGGATTACCTTCCCTTGAGCCCATGGGCCAGTTGTCAGTGGCCAGAGGGGAGGAAGGGTCATGTGGTTAGGATGCAGCCTACTTTCCATCAAGCAACAGTCAGCATCCATTTGCCCAAGCCCAAGCTAGATATCATTCTCTTCCCTTCCTGTCTCACTCATGTCCCATCAGTCACTACATCCTGAAGTTTTCCCTTTTAAGCATTTTTTTTTGGCATTTCTCCTTTTTTCTCTATTCCCATTGCCATCGACCCGGTTCAGGCCACCATCAGTTCTCACCCAGAGGGTTGCATGAGTCTCCTCCTTATTGATCTCCCTGTCTTCAGTCTCTCTCCCCTAATCTACCTTTTACTCAGTTGCCAGAATAATCAATTTAGTTCCCACATAATGGCCCAAGTTTATATTTAAAAATATAAATCCGACTCTGTTACTCCCGGGGTTTTAAGCAGGGCTTCTCATTGCTAATGAAATAGAACACAGACATCTTTCTGCGGCCTGTACACCCTCCTGCAGATGCGGCTCCTGTCTTCCTCTCTGACCTCGTTTTCCCACCTCCTGCTTTCTGTGCTCTGTGCGCCAGCAACACTGACCTTCTGACTTCTTCTTTAGATGTAGCAGGGCTGCTGCGCTTGCTTTTCCTTCCGCCTGGAACTCTTTCTCTTGATCTTTTCTTAGCTTGCTTCTGTCTCCAGGTCTCAGCCTGGGTGCCACCTCCTCAGAGAAGCCTTCCTGAAACACCCTGTCTAACACTGCCTGTACCTCTACCCTTGGTCTCCGTTACATGCTTTAATATTCTTCGTACTGCTTATCACTGTTCAGTATTTTGTTCATTTCATTTGTTTGGTTGTTTTGTATCTCCCTGACTAAAACAAAAATTCCTTGAGAATAAGAACATTTTTGTTCTTACTCACCACTGTATTTTCAAGCCTAGTGTGTCGTAGTTTCTCAGTAAACATCTGTTAAACTGATAAACAGTGAAATCTCCCTTGTTACTGTTTTTCCCACGGCTGTGTCTTGTGTTTAGCTTTATATGTATTTTTATTTTACCTGTTAGGTTGTGAGCTACTTGAGGGAACAATTTTCTTTTAGTTCATTTTTACGTCTCTCAGGCTTACACATGGTAATTGGCTGAAGATAAGTATACCCCAAAAGGTAGCTCATTTGCTGCATAATTTGTGCTCTGGAAACTTGTCCAATGGCAGAAAGACTGAGCCCTATTCTTCTTCATACTCCCTTTAGATTCCTTTTATTCCACTTCGGAAACCAGACACAGGAAACATCTGACTATAATAAAAGATTGCCAGTAAATTCTAGGTTTCCTCATTGAACAAAGTCATGTGCAGCAAGGCTGTGCTGTACTTTGGTCTGGAATTCAGTTTGGTCACTTGTATGGCAGGCCACATGGCTGCCTCTGGCCTGGGAGCCAGGAACAGCTGGAGCCTGGGATGACTGAAGTAAAAATGACATATTTGCTAGCCTGAGAGGGAGAAGTCTGGATATTCTTGCTCTGTTCCTTGCAAAGCAAACTTCTCAATTTGTTGAATACTAAGTTTTCCCGTTAGCTGTCAAAGTGGTTTATAACTAAAATAATCTTACGTCCTTTAGAATAAATCACAAATAATGAATGGCCAAACTGTTTCTGAAGTCAAAGCAAAATTCATCAAAACAAAATTCATCAAACCTTTAATGCTCACAGCAGATTTCATTTAAAAACTTACACAAAACATGAATATGTCACCAACTTCCTCTGAAAATTTCTGCCCTCTCACTTGCCTCTTCTGAAGTTTAAAAATGTGTGATCGTAAGAGCATTCCGCTACCATTGGAAATAATATTTGCAAAGACTTTGACTCTTTCCAGTAGACTGTCACCTGTTTGATGCTTACCCTTATCACTTTATTTTTATCTTAAGTGCTTATGAAGTGGTCTGTCTTCCTTGGCTTGAAGGCGAAGGCTATCTCTAATTTGGCTCCATGGGGCCTGGCGTGTAATAGCCACTTGATAATATTTGTGAGAAGGAGGGAGAAGTAAAGAAGGGCGAGGAAAGCCCAGTCCATTTAGACTGATATTGTTGGGGTATATTTAAGTATCATGAACTATAAGGATGACCTCAGTAATTAAAGAGAAAAGCTCAACAGCGTTTCAGCATGTACAGTGAATAATGAAGGCATTCAAGAACCTGCCATCCTTTGGCATTGGTACCAGTGAGTTGGAGGTTAAAATCCTAGAGCGGGATTCAGAAGTTCTGTTTTGAACTTTTTGTCCCCTCAAACAATGCAAGTAATACATGTTTACTGTACAAATTTTACAAAAATGCAGAGAATAAGCATTACTATAATTCTGCCACCCAGAGACAACCATGTTTTTAGTCTCTTTTAGTCTTAATTAGTTTTAGTCTTTTAGTTAACTTTTAGCCTTTTTTCTGTACATGTCATTTGAAAAGTTTAAAAGAGACTTTATATCAGGACTGCTTGTGAGTACAAAGAAGATAAATTGCAATTGGAAAAATACTTGTCAACTGCAATAAAAATTTGAAGTGCTTGTTTTTATTGTTGCTCATCCGGGCAGTCAGCTCCTCAGAATTCCATTCCCAATCTTCTTCAGGGGAATGTGATCTCTCGCCTGGAAAACTCTTAGGATGCTTTTCTTATTCCTCCTCTGCGGAGACTCTTTGTGTGAGCACTCATTTTCCTAGGGTGAGGCCAGGTTTGGACCCCTGAACCTTCACAGGACAAGCACACTTCAGGACTGATTGGAACTGATGGGAGTCAATACCCAGAATGGATTTTACCTCCAACTTGTAAAATATCACTCAGATAACATCACCTTTGAAAGAAAGCAAGAATATTTACTAGCTTATTTCTTAGTTGAATAAACATATTGACCACTTTGTATGTATCAGTCATTAGTTAGGCATCAGAGCCTCAAAATGAATAGACAGTCTTTGTCTTCAGGGAACTTTCAGTTTAATGAAAGAAGAAGAAAAGCAAACAAGGATTATAGTGCAGTATAATGAATGCCATAATAGAAGCACAGTGATGGCCTAAAGAAGTAAGTGAGCAGAATTGATCAGAGAGGTCTTCAAGAAGAAGGGGTCAATTGAGTTGGTCTTAATGGAAGAGTGGGAGGTTTTTTTTTTTTTTAATGCAAACCTGCAGAGAAGACAATGTGTTCAACGTCTGAAGACATGAAGGCATGCATCTCTTGGGAAATATAAGTAATTTTGCATATCTGGAACTCAAGGTGGTAAATGAGGCAAATGGTAAAGACATTGAATGTCAGAGCTTGAACTTTATCTTACAGGCCACAGGAAGCCTCTGAAGGGTTTTATTAAAGAACAGAGACACAATCTGTTATGCTTTTTGGAGAAATCAGTAGAAAGGATGGATGGAAATGGGCTATGTTGGAGGCAGAGGTGTGTTTTGGGGGCAATAAGAGCAGTCCCAGCAAAAGATGATAGGCACATGTCCAGAAAAGCAAATCTATAGACAGAAAGTAACTTGGTGGTTCCTGGGGTTGGAGGTTGGGGCAGGGAATGACTGAATGGACATGAGGGATCTTTCTGGAGTGATGAGAATGTTCTAAATTGGATTGTGATGATGGTTATGGAGCTCTGTTAATTTTCTAAAAATCATTGAATTGCACACTTATATGAGTGAATTTCATGGTACGTGAATTATACCTCAATAAAGCTGTTTTTAAAAGCAGGGGTTGGAGGAGTCAGTCTTCTCAATGAGAGGAGATAAATGTGAGAAATGCTGATAAAGAAGTAGAATTGGCCAGGCATGATGGCTCGTGCCTGTAATCCCAACATTTTGGGAGGTCAAAGCAGGAGGATCACTTGAGGCCAGGAATTTGAAAGCAGCCTGGGCAATATGGCAAGATGCTCATCTCTAAAAAAAATTGAAAAGTTAGCCAGGCAGGCTGGCACATGCACCTGTAGTCCTAGCTGTTGAGGAGGCTGATGTGAGTGGATCACTTGAGCCCAGGAATTAGAGGCTGCAGTGAGCCACAATTGCACCACTGCACTCCAGCCCAGGGGACAGGGCAAGACTCTGGCTCTATTAAAAAAAAAAAAAGTAGAATTTATAAGAGTTAGACATTGATTGTATGAGATAGGGTGGTCACCTATCTGTTCAGCCAAGTGTCCTGATTGTGATTCTACATTTTGTAAAAAAGTGGCAACCCTACCTTTTTCTTGGCAGATTTCAAAGCATATGGATCTATCTTTAACTGGCAGTACAGAGTACCTGCCTCAGAAACCACATCCTCCAGCTCTCTGCCACCCAGTTCTTAGCAAACACATGGTTGTGAGAAAAAAATATCGATGAAAGAGTGTCTGAAGATTTGTGATTCATTCATTTTTCTGTACATTGTTATTCAGCAAATATTGAGTGCCAGGTGTAGCAGTGAATAAAGCAGATTTGGTGTCTGCCTTTATGAAACTTACAACCTAGCAGTGGGAACAGATGTTATGTACAGTTATGATAACTATTGTGTTGAATGTCCATGTGCAATGAGAGAAAATGCCCATAATGTTTGGGTGGGGTGTGGCTCTAGACTCTGGTGCCATTTGCATCCGGCTGACACTCCTTTGGAGTAAGTCTGTGGAATCTGATCCCTTTTGAGTCTGGGGTTTCTTGGGTTATCTTGGGCCTTACATCATCTTGGTGCCCCTTATAATTGCTTTTATTGAACTCTATGTTTAATTTATGCCATCATTTGGCATTGGCTTATGTTGTAGGAAACAGCCATACAAGATTTACAGCTGCTTAGTATAGAAATGTAGAATATACAATCTTCAACATCATATGGCGTCTCCTTTTTTTTTTTTTTTTTGACATGGAGTCTTGCTCTGTCACCAGGCTGGAGTCCAGTGGCATGATGTCGGCTCACTGCAACCTCCGCCTCCCAGGTTCAAGTGCTTCTCCTGCCTCAGCCTCCCAAGTAGCCAGGACTACAGGCACGCGTACCACGCCCAGCTAATTTTTTTTTTTTGTATTTTTAGTAGAGACTGTGTTTCACCATGTTGACCAGGATGGTCTCGATCTCTTGACCTCGTGATCCACCCACCTCAGCCTCCCAAAGTGCTGGGATTACAGGCATGAGCCACTGCACCCGGCCGGCATCTCTTTTTCTAAGGCCCACAAGAGAAAGTTCTCTCTGATCACTGTACAGTATTTGCTTTTATGTTTTGGTATTTCAGTTGCTCTGGAGCACCAGACTCCATTTTGCCTCAGGTCTTCACACATGGCCTTCCCTCTGCTTTGAATGTCCTATTCCATTCTTGTTGGGTTTGACCCTCACTTATCCTTCAGCTATGAGTTCAAGCGTCACTTCTTCAGAGATGTCTTCCCTATCCAGTACCCACTCCCCTTCTGTACTCAGTCCAGTTCCTAATATAAACTTTAATAACACTTTCTTTTTTTCTCTTTTATCAGTTTCTAGTTAAATAGTTTGTTCTTTGGTAACATTTTTTTCTCCTAGACTGATAGCAGAAAGATCAATAAGGATAGAGACCATGCTTTTTCTGTTTGCTGCTGTATCTCAGTCATAGTATAGTATCTTGCACATAGCAGTTGCCCAGTGCATATTTATTGGACATTTGATTGAATGAATGAATGAATGAATGAATGAATGCCTTGTGGGTACTGAATCTTGTAACCATTCATTTCCTTTTTTCTTTGGCTGTTTGAAGGCTCAGGCCCTGATTCTGCCTGCGGTGTTTGCGTAGGTACTCATGGCATGCATTTTGTGCACTAACATTTCCCCAACTATATAGTCTTTTTCCTTTCTTTGACATCTTCATTTTAAAATTCTAGTGTACATTGTAAATTTCAATAGGCCACTATAAGCCTTTTTTGGGGAAGAAACAATGAACAATTGAGTATATAAGTAGAAGAAAGGGCAAGATCAAAGGGGAAATGTTAGTGCCTTTAACTAGATTCAGGAAGGAACTTTTATTTTGCTTTGTTTTAATTCCATTTTCACTAGAAGAAAGAAAAAGAAGTAAATTTGTCCCCTAATCTGGCAAGAAATGCCTCTAAAGAATTTGGGGCCTGTCCCTGCCTTGAGACGTCTCTCCCTCTGGCAGGAGGCAAGGGGTACTGGGCTGGGCAGGGTCTCCTGGCTCAGTGGATGGGTGGGCATGGGCCTGGGAGGCTGGGCTGTTCGACTGAGTTCCCTTCCAGTTGACTCTGCTTTGAGGGAGGGTTTGGGCAGAGCCAGTGGGAGCTTGCTTTTTTATTATAAGAAGGAGAAAGAAATGAACTTGTCCTCTTGTGTTGCAGATTCAGTGGTTCTTTCCTTTGACTCCGCTGGACAAACACTAGGCTCAGGTACCAACTCTTCCCCCTCTATCATCTTTTTGGCCTTCAATATTAGCCATATTTTTTGTGAAGCCTAATCAAGTATGGGTTTGCTGGGGAGGGCAGTGGAATATCCCAGAATTGGGGGAAGTCTCAAGAAGCCTTTCTAGAGACTTTATGGTCAGGGAAGCAGAAGAGGGACATATCCAGAGAACTTTTCCAGTTACTTTAAAAGTGCACAGAGGAGTTACAGTAGATGCTCCCTCTTCATTCAGAGTTGTCAAGAGTCACATAAAAGGATGTCTGTTTTCTGTGCATATATCCTGTCTCAGAAGGTGGGGCAGAGGGCATTGAAAGACCCCAGGCTGTGGGAATGCTGGAGCAGATAACCATCAGGGCTCTCTACTAGAATGCTGGGCTGGTGGGAGCATCCCAGTTTCCTGAGGACATACACTCCATTGCATGTTTACATGCACACCCCATATATTCAAATACAGACCTCTTCCAGGAGAGGAGTACCACACTGTACTGTGTACTCATGCCAAAATGCATGTAGGTGGACACACTCCTTCTCTTCCCTGTTTACAGTGCAGGACACACAGATCAGCACACCTGCCCCAAATTCACCCAGACCCAGTGGAGCCTGGCTCTGCCATGTCTAGGGCAGTTTACCTGTTCCACATCACTGTGCCTGTTGACAGGAAGTGGGAAGAGACTACTTTGATTCCTCAGCTTGCTGCCATTGGGTCCCTATGGGAGCCTCAGAATGACGTGACTTTGAGGGAAGAGTATCTCTGTGTTTTTAGGTAAAGTCAGGTGGGCCTCATACCATGGGTACTGCCAGTGAATGCCAGGGAGACTGCTGGCCTGTTGAGGGCAGTTAATTCATTTTGCCGTCCTTAGATATGGTAGATTGATGATTCACAAAACAGCCATGAGGGTCAGGCAGTTGTAGTAGAGTGGACAAGAGGAAAGACATTCAGAGAATATGATCACAGCCACCACTATTTACTGAGGGTCTGCCTGTTTTACTGTGTGCCAGCACTGTGCTGAGTGCTTGATACACCTCTCAGCTATCTCTTACAATCGCTTTTTATTTTTATTTTTTTTATTTTTAATGTTTATGGGTACATAGTGGGTGTATATATTTATAGGGTACATGAGATGTTTTGATACAGGCATACAATGAGTAATAATCACATCAGGGCAAATGGGGTATCCATTATCTGAAGCATTTACGGTTTATTTGTGTTACAGACATTTCAATTACACTCTTTTAATTATTTCAAAATACACAATAAATTTTTGTTGACTATAATCACTCTGCTGTGCTATCAAATACTAGATCTCCTTACAACAGCTTTGATATCTTTAATTATAGATAAAGAAGCTAATGCTCAAAGACATGAAGTAACCTGTTCAGGGCCATTCATATCTGTCTAACTCTAGAGCCCATCCTCTCTCCCTTAGCATCTTTCTATCTCATACCTTGTGTGCTTCCCACCAAAATGCTGAGGCTATGAGAAGTCACTTTAAGGTAGAGTGGACAGACAGAAAGAGTTCTTAAATGGATCCAAAACTTGCATCTATTTGTATAGTAAAAGATTGGTCATTTTATTACATAAAAGTTGAGAACTTCTATTAATCAAAAGACCCTATTAAGAGAGTGAAAAGGCAGGCTGGATGGGCATAGTGGCTCACACCTATAATCTCAGCACTTTGGGAGGCTGAGACAGGAGGACAGCTTGAGGCCAGGAATTTGTGACCAGCTTGGGTAACACAGTGAGACCCCAACTCTACAAAAATTTTTTTAAAATAGTAAGGGCACGGTGGCGTGTGCCTGTAGTCTGAGGTACTCAGGATGCTAAGCAGGAGGATCACTTGAGCCCAGGAGTTAGAGGCTGCAATGAGCTATGATTGCACCACTGCACTCCAACCTGGGTGACACAGTGAGACCCTGTCTCTGGAAAAAAAAAAAAAAAAAGAAGGAAAAAAGAGAGAGAGTGAAAGGAAATCCAGAGTGAAAAAAATATCTTTACAACACAAATAATCAACAAAAGGCTTGTTTCCAGAACAAAGAACGACAGAAGTCAATAGGAATAAAGGAGCAACTCATTACAGAAATGAGCAAGACTTGAACAGGCATTTCACAAAAGAGAAAGTCCAAATGGCCAATAAACCCAAGAAAAGGTGTTTGATTGTATTAGTACTCAGCAAAATGCAAATTAGAATCCCAATGAGATATCAATACACATCTACCAAATGGCAAAACTTGAAAAGCTTGACAATTCCAATGTTGATAAGGATGTGGTGCAGTGGAAACTCTGATTTTCTACTTGTTGGAGCATAATTTGGTACAACCACTGTGGAATAAACTGTGGCAGTATCTAGCTAAATTTGGATATACACATACCTGGTGACTTAGCAATTCCTCCTCTAGGTATATTATCTGCAGAAATGGATGCTTATACATAACAGGACATATATATGCAAGATATGTGTATAAGAATGTTTATAAGAACATTGTTCATAATTGTCAAAAACCAAAAACAATCCAAATACCTAACAACAGTAGAATGACTATGCAAATTGTATTATATTCATAGGGAACAGTAAAAATGAGCAAACCATAGCCAGATGCAACAATATGGATAAATATTAAAGACATATTGTTGGGTGAAAGAAGTCAGACAAAACAGTACATACTGTGTTTATCCTTTCATAAAAAGTTCAAAAACAAATGAAATTAAACCATATTTGCTTTTAGATACATAATTCAGTATTAAAACTATAAAGAAAAGCAAGGAATTGAATTCTATAATAGCTAGATGGTGGTGTTCAAGGGGGTATGTTGAGGGATGGGTACAGGGGGGCTTCTAGTGTGTTGATATATTATTTTTAGTGACCTGAAGGGGTTTTATAGGTGTCCATTTTACAGTAACTCACTAGCTGTGCTTTGTATTAAAAATGTAAAATATAGCAAATATATAGAAAAGTACATAAAACCTCAATGTACAGCTAATAATGTTCAAGGGGATTTTGGTCCTCAGCCTCCATCTCCCTTGGAGTTATAAAAAGATCTTGGGCTTAATCTGCAAATAACTATGGACCATGGCAATAAGCCTCCCAGGTTTGTACAAGGTTCTCAGTGAAGGCTGGCAAAGAATGAGAATTCAGACATTTTTCCACTGATTCCCTCTTAGTGGAAGATAGATCAAGTTGATTCAGAGTCAGCCTCAAATTATAACTGGTTTTCAGTTTACCTAGCCTTCAGTTTTCCCGACAACACCTACCAGCTTCGACACCTAGTTCTGCCTTATTCATGCTCTCATGGAATATTTGCAAGAGGCCAATAGTTTTGCTATCTCCTGCTTTGCATCAAGCCTAAAAGGGAATGGTAACCAGGCAAGAGCTGGGTAGAGGTCTTCACAGTGGCCACTTTACTGTTTTATTTGGAGAGAATTTACAAAGCGCTGGGCATACCACATCGCCAAAAACGTTTTAGAACTTTAGCAGGATAACTTTGGAATTAATCCCTATTTGACTTTCTTTCTGTTAGTGTAGGTACTTAAAAGTAAGAAAAAGGTTCCAGTTCCAGATAAGACAGAGTGAGCACACTCACTCTATCTCTGAATGCAGCTAAAGGCCTGTTCAGAATGCATTTAATAGCAGTTTGAGGACTCTGAAACATAAATAGTAGCAGACAGATAGGGGAAGAATACCAGAATTCAATGTATTACTGAACTGGCAGTGAGTTTCCTATTTTCCCTTCAGTGTCCCATGTCTTGGACTCAAGGCACCCCAAACCCCAGCAATGGACACCAAGGCACAAACAGCTTCAGGAAAAGACCTCTAGTTAAAGCTCTGGGGTGGGAAAAGGGCTCCCAAGGCTCAGACAGAGGGGAATATCCCAAGAGTTGTTCCCTCATGCCCCAGCCCCCAGGCAATCCCACAGTGATGGTGGTTGGGAGAGTGCCAGCAGTAGGCCCTTCAAGCACCTAAAACTGAGAGAGAGGAACTTTCCTCTCTGATCAGAGGAGCTATAGTCCCAAGAGGATGGGGTGCAATTTTGGTTGCTTGTTTTCTGTCTTTGTCTTCCTGCTGCTTGGCCCCAGATTTGAGTGCAGTTCAGAAAATTCA